>NC_000011.10:52369018-52669018 GCF_000001405.40 Homo sapiens | reverse complement strand
TTTCTCACAATGCTTCCGTGTAGTTCTGGGAAGTTTATCCCGTTTCCAACGAAATCCTCAGAGAAGTCCAAATATCCACTTGCAGATTCTACAGAAAGTGGGTTTGGAAACTGCTCCATCTAAAGGAATGTTCAGCTCTGTTAGTTCAATCCAATGATCACTAAGAATTGTCTGTGAATGCTTCCGTTTGGTTTGTAGATGAAGTTATTTCCTTTACTACAGTAGGCCTCAAAGCAGTCCAAATCTCCAATCGCAGATTCTACAAAAAGATTGTTTACAACCTGCTCTATCTATAGGAATGTTCAACTCTGTGAGTCGAATGCAATCATCACAAACTAGTTTCTGAGAATGCTTCCATCTAGTTTTATGTGAAGATTTTCCTTTTCCACCACAGGCCTCAAAGCCCTCCAAATGTCCACTTGCAGATTCTAGAATAAGAGGGTTTCAGAGCTGCTCTGTCAAGAGGAAAGTTCAATTCCTGAAGTGGAACACAAACATCACAAAGCAGTTTCTGAGAATGCTTCTGTTAATTTTTCTGTGAAGATGAACCCGTTTCCAACGAAATCTTCACAGAGGTCCACATATCCACTTGCAGAATCCAAAGAAAGAGAGTTTCAACACTGCTCCATCAGCAGGATTGTTCACCTCTGTGAGTTGAATGCAGTCATCACAGGAAACATTCTGAGAATGCTTCTGTCTAGGTTTGATGTGAAGATATACCCGTTTCGAAGGAAGGCCACAAAGTGGTCCAAATATCCACTTGCAGATTCTACAAAAAGAGTGTTTGAAAGCTGAACTATGAAAGCAAGGTTCAACTCTGTGAGTTGAATGCAAACATCACAAAGAAGTTTCTCAGAATGCTTCCGTGTAGTTCTGGGAAGTTTATCCCGTTTCCAACGAAATCCTCAGAGAAGTCCAAATATCCACTTGCAGATTCTACAGAAAGTGGGTTTGGAAACTGCTCCATCTAAAGGAATGTTCAGCTCTGTTAGTTCAATGCAATGATCACTAAGAATTGTCTGTGAATGCTTCCGTTTGGTTTTTAGATGAAGTTATTTCCTTTACTACAGAAGGCCTCAAAGCAGTCCAAATCTCCAATCGCAGATTCTACAAAAAGATTGTTTACAACCTGCTCTATCTATAGGAATGTTCAACTCTGTGAGTCGAATGCAATCATCACAAAGTAGTTTCTGAGAATGCTTCCATCTAGTTTTTATGTGAAGATTTTCCTTTTCCACCACAGGCCTCAAAGCCCTCCAAATGTCCACTTGCAGATTCTAGAAAAAGAGGGTTTCAGAGCTGCTCTGTCAAGAGGAAAGTTCAATTCTTGAAGTGGAACACAAACATCACAAAGCAGTTTCTGAGAATGCTGCTGTTTAGTTTTTCTGTGAAGATGAACCCGTTTCCAACGAAATCTTCACAGAGGTCCACATATCCACTTGCAGAATCCAAAGAAAGAGAGTTTCAAAACTGCTCCATCAACAGGATTGTTCACCTCTGTGAGTTGAATGCAGTCATCACAGGAAACATTCTGAGAATTCTTCTGTCTAGGTTTGATGTGAAGATATACCCGTTTCGAAGGAAGGCCACAAAGTGGTCCAAATATCCACTTGCAGATTCTACAAAAAGAGTGTTTGAAAGCTGAACTATGAAAGCAAGGTTCAACTCTGTGAGTTGAATGCAAACATCACAAAGAAGTTTCTCACAATGCTTCCGTGTAGTTCTGGGAAGTTTATCCCGTTTCCAACGAAATCCTCAGAGAGGTCCAAATATCCACTTGCAGATTCTACAGAAAGTGTGTTTGGAAACTGCGCCATCTAAAGGAATGTTCAGCTGCTGTTAGTTCAATCCAATGATCACTAAGAATTGTCTGTGAATGCTTCCGTTTGGTTTTTAGATGAAGTTATTTCCTTTACTACAGTAGGCCTCAAAGCAGTCCAAATCTCCAATCGCAGATTCTACAAAAAGATTGTTTACAACCTGCTCTATGTATAGGAATGTTCAACTCTGTGAGTCGAATGCAATCATCACAAAGTAGTTTCTGAGAATGCTTCCATCTACTTTTTATGTGAAGATTTTCCTTTTCCACCACAGGCCTCAATGCCCTCCAAATGTCCACTTGCAGATTCTAGAAAAAGAGGGTTTCAGAGCTGCTCTGTCAAGAGGAAAGTTCAATTCTTGAAGTGGAACACAAACATCACAAAGCAGTTTCTGAGAATGCTCCTGTTTAGTTTTTCTGTGAAGATGAACCCGTTTCCAACGAAATCTTCACAGAGGTCCACATATCCACTTGCAGAATCCAAAGAAAGAGAGTTTCAAAACTGCTCCATCAGCAGGATTGTTCACCTCTGTGAGTTGAATGCAGTCATCACAGGAAAACATTCTGAGAATGCTTCTGTCTAGGTTTGATGTGAAGATATACCCGTTTCGAAGGAAGGCCACAAAGTGGTCCAAATATCCACTTGCAGATTCTACAAAAAGAGTGTTTGAAAGCTGAACTATGAAAGCAAGGTTCAACTCTGTGAGTTGAATGCAAACATCACAAAGAAGTTTCTCAGAATGCTTCCGTGTAGTTCTGGGAAGTTTATCCCGTTTCCAACGAAATCCTCACAGAAGTCCAAATATCCACTTGCAGATTCTACAGAAAGTGGGTTTGGAAACTGCTCCATCTAAAGGAATGTTCAGCTCTGTTAGTTCAATGCAATGATCACTAAGAATTGTCTGTGAATGCTTCCGTTTGGTTTTTAGATGAAGTTATTTCCTTTACTACAGTAGGCCTCAAAGCAGTCCAAATCTCCAATCGCAGATTCTACAAAAAGATTGTTTACAACCTGCTCTATCTATAGGAATGTTCAACTCTGTGAGTCGAATGCAATCATCACAAAGTAGTTTCTGAGAATGCTTCCATCTAGTTCTTATGTGAAGATTTTCCTTTTCCACCACAGGCCTCAAAGCCCTCCAAATGTCCACTTGCAGTTTCTAGAAAAAGAGGGTTTCAGAGCTGCTCTGTCAAGAGGAAAGTTCAATTCCTGAAGTGGAACAAAAACATCACAAAGCAGCTTCTGAGAATGCTTCTGTTTAGTTTTTCTGTGAAGATGAACCCGTTTCCAACGAAATCTTCACAGAGGTCCACATATCCACTTGCAGAATCCAAAGAAAGAGAGTTTCAAAACTGCTCCATCAGCAGGATTGTTCACCTCCGTGAGTTGAATGCAGTCATCACAGGAAACATTCTGAGAATGCTTCTGTCTAGGTTTGATGTGAAGATATACCCGTTTCGAAGGAAGGCCAGAAAGTGGTCCAAATATCCACTTGCAGATTCTACAAAAAGAGTGTTTGAAAGCTGAACTATGAAAGCAAGGTTCAACTCTGTGAGTTGAATGCAAACATCACAAAGAAGTTTCTCAGAATGCTTCCGTGTAGTTCTGGGAAGTTTATCCCTTTTCCAACGAAATCCTCAGAGAGGTCCAAATATCCACTTGCAGATTCTACAGAAAGTGTGTTTGGAATCTGCTCCATCTAAAGGAATGTTCAGCTCTGTTAGTTCAATCCAATGATCACTAAGAATTGTCTGTGAATGCTTCCGTTTGGTTTTTAGATGAAGTAATTTCCTTTACTACAGTAGGCCTCAAAGCAGTCCAAATCTCCAATCGCAGATTCTACAAAAAGATTGTTTACAACCTGCTCTATCTATAGGAATGTTCAACTCTGTGAGTCGAATGCAATCATCACAAAGAAGTTTCTGAGAATGCTTCCATAAAGTTTTTATGTGAAGATTTTCCTTTACCACCACAGGCCTCAAAGCCCTCCAAATGTCCACTTGCAGATTCTAGAAAAAGAGGGTTTCAGAGCTGCTCTGTCAAGAGGAAAGTTCAATTCTTGAAGTGGAACACAAACATCACAAAGCAGTTTCTGAGAATGCTCCTGTTTAGTTTTTCTGTGAAGATGAACCCGTTTCCAACGAAATCTTCACAGAGGTCCACATATCCACTTGCAGAATCCAAAGAAAGAGAGTTACAAAACTGCTCCATCAGCAGGATTGTTCACCTCTGTGAGTTGAATGCAGTCATCACAGGAAACATTCTGAGAATGCTTCTGTCTAGGTTTGATGTGAAGATATACCCGTTTCGAAGGAAGGCCACAAAGTGGTCCAAATATCCACTTGCAGATTCTATAAAAAGAGTGTTTGAAAGCTGAACTATGAAAGCAAGGTTCAACTCTGTGAGTTGAATGCAAACATCACAAAGAAGTTTCTCACAATGCTTCCGTGTAGTTCTGGGAAGTTTATCCCGTTTCCAACGAAATCCTCAGAGAGGTCCAAATATCCACTTGCAGATTCTACAGAAAGTGTGTTTGGAAACTGCGCCATCTAAAGGAATGTTCAGCTCTGTTAGTTCAATGCAATGATCACTAAGGATTGTCTGTGAATGCTTCCGTTTGGTTTTTAGATGAAGTTATTTCCTTTACTACAGTAGGCCTCAAAGCAGTCCAAATCTCCAATCGCAGATTCTACAAAAAGATTGTTTACAACCTGCTCTATCTATAGGAATGTTCAACTCTGTGAGTCGAATGCAATCATCAAAAAGTAGTTTCTGAGAATGCTTCCATCTAGTTTTTATGTGAAGATTTTCCTTTTCCACCACAGGCCTCAAAGCCCTCCAAAGGTCCACTTGCAGATTCTAGAAAAAGAGGGTTTCAGAGCTGCTCTGTCAAGAGGAAAGCTCAATTCTTGAAGTGGAACACAAACATCACAAAGCAGTTTCTGAGAATGCTCCTGTTTAGTTTTTCTGTGAAGATGAACCCGTTTCCAACGAAATCTTCAAAGAGGTTCACATATCCACTTGCAGAATCCAAAGAAAGAGAGTTTCAAAACTGCTCCATCAGCAGGATTGTTCACCTCTGTGAGTTGAATGCAGTCATCACAGGAAACATTCTGAGAATGCTTCTGTCTAGGTTTGATGTGAAGATATACCCTTTTCAAAGGAAGGCCACAAAGTGGTCCAAATATCCACTTGCAGATTCTACAAAAAGAGTGTTTGAAAGCTGAACTATGAAAGCAAGGTTCAACTCTGTGAGTTGAATGCAAACATCACAAAGAAGTTTCTCACAAAGCTTTCCGTGTAGTTCTGGGAAGTTTATCCCGTTTCCAACGAAATCCTCAGAGAGGTCCAAATATCCACTTGCAGATTCTACAGAAAGTGTGTTTGGAAACTGCGCCATCTAAGGGAATGTTCAGCTCTGTTAGTTCAATCCAATGATCACTAAGAATTGTCTGTGAATGCCTCCGTTTGGTTTTTAGATGAAATTATTTCCTTTACTACAGTAGGCCTCAAAGCAGTCCAAATCTCCAATCGCAGATTCTACAAAAAGATTGTTTACAACCTGCTCTATCTATAGGAATGTTCAACCCTGTGAGTCGAATGCAATCATCACAAAGTAGTTTCTGAGAATGCTTCCATCTAGTTTTTATGTGAAGATTTTCCTTTTCCACCACAGGCCTCAAAGCCCTCCAAATGTCCACTTGCAGATTCTAGAAAAAGAGGGTTTCAGAGCTGCTCTGTCAAGAGGAAAGTTCAATTCTTGAAGTGGAACACAAACATCACAGAGCAGTTTCTGAGAATGCTTCTGTTTAGTTTTTCTGTGAAGATGAACCCGTTTCCAACGAAATCTTCACAGAGGTCCACATATCCACTTGCAGAATCCAAAGAAAGAGAGTTTCAAAACTGCTCCATCAACAGGATTGTTCACCTCTGTGAGTTGAATGCAGTCATCACAGGAAACATTCTGAGAATGCTTCTGTCTAGGTTTGATGTGAAGATATACCCGTTTCGAAGGAAGGCCAGAAAGTGGTCCAAATATCCACTTGCAGATTCTACAAAAAGAGTGTTTGAAAGCTGAACTATGAAAGCAAGGTTCAACTCTGTGAGTTGAATGCAAACATCACAAAGAAGTTTCTCAGAATGCTTCCGTGTAGTTCTGGGAAGTTTATCCCGTTTCCAACGAAATCCTCAGAGAGGTCCAAATATCGACTTGCAGATTCTACAGAAAGTGTGTTTGGAAACTGCGCCATCTAAAGGAATGTTCAGCTCTGTTAGTTCAATGCAATGATCACTAAGAATTGTCTGTGAATGCTTCCGTTTGGTTTTTAGATGAAGTTATTTCCTTTACTGCAGTAGGCCTCAAAGCATTCCAAATCTCGAATCGCAGATTCTACAAAAAGATTGTTTACAACCTGCTCTATCTATAGGAATGTTCAACTCTGTGAGTCGAATGCAATCATCACAAAGTAGTTTCTGAGAATGCTTCCATCTAGTTTTTATGTGAAGATTTTCCTTTTCCACCACAGGCCTCAAAGCCCTCCAAATGTCCACTTGCAGATTCTAGGAAAACAGGGTTTCACAGCTGCTCTGTCAAGAGGAAAGTTCAATTCTTGAAGTGGAACACAAACATCACAAAGCAGTTTCTGAGAATGCTCCTGTTTAGTTTTTCTGTGAAGATGAACCCGTTTCTAACGAAATCTTCACAGAGGTCCACATATCCACTTGCAGAATCCAAAGAAAGAGAGTTTCAAAACTGCTCCATCAGCAGGATTGTTCACCTCTGTGAGTTGAATGCAGTCATCACAGGAAACATTCTGAGAATGCTTCTGTCTAGGTTTGATGTGAAGATATACCCGTTTCGAAGGAAGGCCACAAAGTGGTCCAAATATCCACTTGCAGATTCTACAAAAAGAGTGTTTGAAAGCTGAACTATGAAAGCAAGGTTCAACTCTGTGAGTTGAATGCAAACATCAGAAAGATGATTCTCACAATGCTTCCGTGTAGTTCTGGGAAGTTTATCCCGTTTCCAACGAAATCCTCAGAGAAGTCCAAATATCCACTTGCAGATTCTGCAGAAAGTGTGTTTGGAAACTGCTCCATCTAAAGGAATGTTCAGCTCTGTTAGATCAATCCAATGATCACTAAGAATTGTCTGTGAATGCTTCCGTTTGGTTTTTAGATGAAGTTATTTCCTTTACTACAGTAGGCCTCAAAGCAGTCCAAATCTCCAATCGCAGATTCTACAAAAACATTGTTTACAACCTGCTCTATCTATAGTAATGTTCAACTCTGTGAGTCGAATGCAATCATCACAAAGTAGTTTCTGAGAATGCTTCCATCTAGTTTTTATGTGAAGATTTTCCTTTTGCACCACAGGCCTCAAAGCCCTCCAAATGTCCACTTGCAGATTCTAGAAAAAGAGGGTTTCAGAGCTGCTCTGTCAAGAGGAAAGTTCAATTCTTGAAGTGGAACACAAACATCACAAAGCAGTTTCTGAGAATGCTTCTGTTTAGTTTTTCTCTGAAGATGAACCCGTTTCCAACGAAATCTTCACAGAGGTCCACATATCCACTTGCAGAATCCAAAGAAAGAGAGTTTCAAAACTGCTCCATCAACAGGATTGTTCACTTCTGTGAGTTGAATGCAGTCATCACAGGAAACATTCTGAGAATGCTTCTGTCTAGGTTTGATGTGAAGATATACCCGTTTCGAAGGAAGGCCACAAAGTGGTCCAAGTATCCACTTGCAGATTCTACAAAAAGAGTGTTTGAAAGCTGAACTATGAAAGCAAGGTTCAACTCTGTGAGTTGAATGCAAACATCACAAAGAAGTTTCTCAGAATGCTTCCGTGTAGTTCTGGGAAGTTTATCCCGTTTCCAACGAAATCCTCAGAGAAGTCCAAATATCCACTTGCAGATTCTACAGAAAGTGTGTTTGGAAACTGCTCCATCTAAAGGAATGTTCAGCTCTGTTAGTTCAATCCAATATCACTAAGAATTATCTGTGAATGCTTCCGTTTGGTTTTTAGATGAAGTTATTTCCTTTACTACAGTAGGCCTCAAAGCAGTCCAAATCTCCAATCGCAGATTCTACAAAAAGATTGTTTACAACCTGCTCTATCTATAGGAATGTTCAACTCTGTGAGTCGAATGCAATCATCACAAAGTAGTTTCTGAGAATGCTTCCATCTAGTTTTTATGTGAAGATTTTCCTTTTCCACCACAGGCCTCAAAGCCCTCCAAATGTCCACTTGCAGATTCTAGAATAAGAGGGTTTCAGAGCTGCTCTGTCAAGAGGAAAGTTCAATTCCTGAAGTGGAACACAAACATCACAAAGCAGTTTCTGAGAATGCTCCTGTTTAGTTTTTCTGTGAAGATGAACCCGTTTCCAACGAAATCTTCACAGAGGTCCACATATCCACTTGCAGAATCCAAAGAAAGAGAGTTTCAAAACTGCTCCATCAGCAGGATTGTTCACCTCTGTGAGTTGAATGCAGTCATCACAGGAAACATTCTGAGAATGCTTCTGTCTAGGTTTGATGTGAAGATATACCCGTTTCGAAGGAAGGCCACAAAGTGGTCCAAATATCCACTTGCAGATTCTACAAAAAGAGTGTTTGAAAGCTGAACTATGAAAGCAAGGTTCAACTCTGTGAGTTGAATGCAAACATCACAAAGAAGTTTCTCAGAATGCTTCCGTGTAGTTCTGGGAAGTTTATCCCGTTTCCAACGAAATCCTCAGAGCAAGTCCAAATATCCACTTGCAGATTCTACAGAAAGTGTGTTTGGAAACTGCTCCATCTAAAGGAATGTTCAGCTCTGTTAGTTCAATCCAATGATCACTAAGAATTGTCTGTGAATGCTTCCGTTTGGTTTTTAGATGAAGTTATTTCCTTTACTACAGTAGGCCTCAAAGCAGTCCAAATCTTCAATCGCAGATTCTACAAAAAGATTGTTTACAACCTGCTCTATCTATAGGAATGTTCAACTCTGTGAGTCGAATGCAATCATCACAAAGTAGTTTCTGAGAATGCTTCCACCTAGTTTTTATGTGAAGATTTTCCTTTTCCACCACAGGCCTCAAAGCCCTCCAAATGTCCACTTGCAGATTCTAGAAAAAGAGGGTTTCAGAGCTGCTCTGTCAAGAGGAAAGTTCAATTCTTGAAGTGGAACACAAACATCACAAAGCAGTTTCTGAGAATGATCCTGTTTAGTTTTTCCGTGAGGATGAACCCGTTTCCAACGAAATCTTCACAGCAGGTCCACATATCCACTTGCAGAATCCAAAGAAAGAGAGTTTCAAAACTGCTCCATCAGCAGGATTGTTCACCTCTGTGAGTTGAATGCAGTCATCACAGGAAACATTCTCAGAATGCTTCTGTCTAGGTTTGAAGTGAAGATATACCCGTTTCGAAGGAAGGCCACAAAGTGGTCCAAATATCCACTTGCAGATTCTACAAAAAGAGTGTTTGAAAGCTGAACTATGAAAGCAAGGTTCAACTCTGTGAGTTGAATGCAAACATCACAAAGAAGTTTCTCAGCATGCTTCCCTGTAGTTCTGGGAAGTTTATCCCGTTTCCAACGAAATCCTCAGAGAGGTCCAAATATCCACTTTCAGATTCTACAGAAAGTGTGTTTGGAAACTGCGCCATCTAAAGTAATGTTCAGCTCTGTTAGTTCAATGCAATGATCACTAAGAATTCTCTGTGAATGCTTCCGTTTGGTTTTTAGATGAAGTTATTTCCTTTACTACAGTAGGCCTCAAAGCAGTCCAAATCTCCAATCGCAGATTCTACAAAAAGATTGTTTACAACCTGCTCTATCTATAGGAATGTTCAACTCTGTGAGTCGAATGCAATCATCACAAAGTAGTTTCTGAGAATGCTTCCATCTAGTTTTTATGTGAAGATTTTCCTTTTCCACCACAGGCCTCAAAGCCCTCCAAATGTCCACTTGCAGATTCTAGAAAAAGAGGGTTTCAGAGCTGCTCTGTCAAGAAGAAAGTTCAATTCTTGAAGTGGAACACAAACATCACAAAGCAGTTTCTGAGAATGCTTCTGTTTAGTTTTTCTGTGAAGATAAACCCGTTTCCAACGAAATCTTCACAGAGGTCCACATATCCACATGCAGAATCCAAAGAAAGAGAGTTGCAAAACTGCTCCATCAACAGGATTGTTCACCTCTGTGTGTTGAATGCAGTCATCACAGGAAACATTCTGAGAATGCTTCTGTCTAGGTTTGATGTGAAGATATACCCGTTTCGAAGGAAGGCCACAAAGTGGTCCAAATATCCACTTGCAGATTCTACAAAAAGAGTGTTTGAAAGCTGAACTATGAAAGCAAGGTTCAACTCTCTGAGTTGAAAGCAAACATCACAAAGAAGTTTCTCAGAATGCTTCCGTGTAGTTCTGGGAAGTTTATCCCGTTTCCAACGAAATCCTCAGAGAGGTCCAAATATCCACTTGCAGATTCTACAGAAAGTGTGTTTGGAAACTGCGCCATCTAAAGGAATGTTCAGCTCTGTTAGTTCAATGCAATGATCACTAAGAATTGTCTGTGAATGCTTCCGTTTGGTTTTTAGGTGAAGTTATTTCCTTTACTACAGTAGGCCTCAAAGCAGTCCAAATCTCCAATCGCAGATTCTACAAAAAGATTGTGTACAACCTTCTCTATCTATAGGAATGTTCAACTCTGTGAGTCGAATGCAATCATCACAAAGTAGTTTCTGAGAATGCTTCCATCTAGTTTTTATGGGAACATTTTCCTTTTCCACCACAGGCCTCAAAGCCCTCCAAATGTCCACTTGCAGATTCTAGAAAAAGAGGGTTTCAGAGCTGCTCTGTCAAGAGGAAAGTTCAATTCTTGAAGTGGAACACAAACATCACAAAGCAGTTTCTGAGAATGCTCCTGTTTAGTTTTTCTGTGAAGATGAACCCGTTTCCAACGAAATCTTCACAGAGGTCCACATATCCACTTGCAGAATCCAAAGAAAGAGAGTTTCAAAACTGCTCCATCAGCAGGATTGTTCACCTCTGTGAGTTGAATGCAGTCATCACAGGAAACATTCTGAGAATGCTTCTGTCTAGGTTTCATGTGAAGATATACCCGTTTGGAAGGAAGGCCAAATGTGGTCCAAATATCCACTTGCAGATTCTACAAAAAGAGTGTTTGAAAGCTGAACTATGAAAGCAAGGTTCAACACTGTGAGTTGAATGCAAACATCACAAAGAAGTTTCTCACAATTCTTCCGTGTAGTTCTGGGAAGTTTATCCCGTTTCCAAAGAAATCCTCAGAGAGGTCCAAATATCCACTTGCAGATTCTAAAGAAAGTGTGTTTGGAAACTGCTCCATCTAAAGGAATGTTCAGCTCTGTTAGTTCAATCCAATGATCACTAAGAATTGTCTGTGAATGCTTCCGTTTGGTTTTTAGATGAAGTTATTTCCTTTACTACAGTAGGCCTCAAAGCAGTCCAAATCTCCAATCGCAGATTCCACAAAAAGATTGTTTTCAACCTGCTCTATCTATAGGAATGTTCAACTCTGTGAGTCGAATACAATCATCACAAAGTAGTTTCTGAGAATGCTTCCATCTAGTTTTTATGTGAAGATTTTCCTTTTCCACCACAGGCCTCAAAGCCCTCCAAATGTCCACTTGCAGATTCTAGAAAAAGAGGGTTTCAGAGCTGCTCTGTCAAGAGGAAAGTTCAATTCCTGAAGTGGAACACAAACATCACAAAGCAGTTTCTGAGAATGCTTCTGTTTAGTTTTTCTGTGAAGATGAACACGTTTCCAACGAAATCTTCACAGAGGTCCACATATCCACTTGCAGAATCCAAAGAAAGAGAGTTTCAAAACTGCTCCATCAACAGGATTCTTCACCTCTGTGAGTTGAATGCAGTCATCACAGGAAACATTCTGAGAATGCTTCTGTCTAGGTTTGATGTGAAGATATACCCGTTTCGAAGGAAGGCCACAAAGTGGTCCAAATATCCACTTGCAGATTCTACAAAAAGAGTGTTTGAAAGCTGAACTATGAAAGCAAGGTTCAACTCTGTGAGTTGAATGCAAACATCACAAAGAAGTTTCTCACAATGCTTCCGTGTAGTTCTGGGAAGTTTATCCCGTTTCCAACGAAATCCTCAGAGAAGTCCAAATATCCACTTGCAGATTCTACAGAAAGTGGGTTTGGAAACTGCTCCATCTAAAGGAATGTTCAGCTCTGTTAGTTCAATCCAATGATCACTAAGAATTGTCTGTGAATGCTTCCGTTTGGTTTTTAGATGAAGTAGTTTCCTTTACTACAGAAGGCCTCAAAGCAGTCCAAATCTCCAATCGCAGATTCTACAAAAAGATTGTTTACAACCTGCTCTATCTATAGGAATGTTCAACTCTGTGAGTCGAATGCAATCATCACAAAGAAGTTTCTGAGAATGCTTCCATCTAGTTTTTATGTGAAGGTTTTCCTTTTCCACCACAGGCCTCAAAGCCCTCCAAATGTCCACTTGCAGATTCTAGAATAACAGGGTTTCAGAGCTGCTCTGTCAAGAGGAAAGTTCAATTCCTGAAGTGGAACAAAAACATCACAAAGCAGTTTCTGAGAATGCTCCTGTTTAGTTTTTCTGTGAAGATGAACCCGTTTCCAACGAAATCTTCACAGAGGTTCACATATCCACTTGCAGAATCCAAAGAAAGAGAGTTTCAAAACTGCTCCAACAGCAGGATTGTTCACCTCTGTGAGTTGAATGCAGTCATCACAGGAAACATTCTGAGAATGCTTCTGTCTAGGTTTGATGTGAAGATATACCCGTTTCGAAGGAAGGCCACAAAGTGGTCCAAATATCCAGTTGCAGATTCTACAAAAAGAGTGTTTGAAAGCTGAAGTATGAAAGCAAGGTTCAACTCTGTGAGTTGAATGCAAACATCACAAAGAAGTTTCTCAGAATGCTTCCGTGTAGTTCTGGGAAGTATATCCCGTTTCCAACGAAATCCTCAGAGAGGTCCAAATATCCACTTGCAGATTCTACAGAAAGTGTGTTTGGAAACTGCTCCATCTAAAGGAATGTTCAACTCTGTTAGTTCAATCCAATGATCACTAAGAATTGTCTGTGAATGCTTCCGTTTGGTTTTTAGATGAAGTTATTTCCTTTACTACAGTAGGCCTCAAAGCAGTCCAAATCTCCAATCGCAGATTCTACAAAAACATTGTTTACAACCTGCTCTATCTATAGGAATGTTCAACTCTGTGAGTCGAATGCAATCATCACAAAGTAGTTTCTGAGAATGCTTCCATCTAGTTTTTATGTGAAGATTTTCCTTTTCCACCACAGGCCTCAAAGCCCTCCAAATGTCCACTTGCAGATTCTAGAAAAAGAGGGATTCAGAGCTGCTCTGTCAAGAGGAAAGTTCAATTCCTGAAGTGGAACGCAAACATCACAAAGCAGTTTCTGAGAATGCTTCTGTTTAGTTTTTCTGTGAAGATGAACCCGTTTCCAACGAAATCTTCACAGAGGTCCACATATCCACTTGCAGAATCCAAAGAAAGAGAGTTTCAAAACTGCTCCATCAGCAGGATTGTTCACCTCTGTGAGTTGAATGCAGTCATCACAGGAAACATTCTGAGAATGCTTCTGTCTAGGTTTGATGTGAAGATATACCCGTTTCGAAGGAAGGCCACAAAGTGGTCCAAATATCCACTTTCTGTAGATTCTACAAAAAGAGTGTTTGAAAGCTGAACTATGAAAGCAAGGTTCAACTCTGTGAGTTGAATGCAAACATCACAAAGAAGTTTCTCAGAATGCTTCCGTGTAGTTCTGGGAAGTTTATCCCGTTTCCAACGAAATCCTCAGAGAAGTCCAAATATCCACTTGCAGATTCTACAGAAAGTGGGTTTGGAAACTGCTCCATCTAAAGGAATGTTCAGCTCTGTTAGTTCAATCCAATGATCACTAAGAATTGTCTGTGAATGCTTCCGTTTGGTTTTTAGATGAAGTTATTTCCTTTACTACAGTAGGCCTCAAAGCAGTCCAAATCTCCAATCGCAGATTCTACAAAAAGATTGTTTACAACCTGCTCTATCTATAGGAATGTTCAACTCTGTGAGTCGAATGCAATCATCACAAAGTAGTTTCTGAGAATGCTTCCATCTAGTTTTTATGTGAAGATTTTCCTTTTCCACCACAGGCCTCAAAGCCCTCCAAATGTCCACTTGCAGATTCTAGAATAAGAGGGTTGCAGAGCTGCTCTGTCAAGAGGAAAGTTCAATTCCTGAAGTGGAACACAAACATCACAAAGCAGTTTCTGAGAATGCTTCTGTTTAGTTTTTCTGTGAAGATGAACCCGTTTCCAACGAAATCTTCACAGAGGTCCACATATCCACTTGCAGAATCCAAAGAAAGAGAGTTTCAAAACTGCTCCATCAGCAGGATTGTTCACCTCTGTGAGTTGAATGCAGTCATCACAGGAAACATTCTGAGAATGCTTCTGTCTAGGTTTGATGTGAAGATATACCCGTTTCGAAGGAAGGCCACAAAGTGGTCCAAATATCCACTTGCAGATTCTACAAAAAGAGTGTTTGAAAGCTGAACTATGAAAGCAAGGTTCAACTCTGTGAGTTGAATGCAAACATCACAAAGAAGTTTCTCAGAATGCTTCCGTGTAGTTCTGGGAAGTTTATCCCGTTTCCAAAGATATCCTTAGAGAGGTCCAAATATCCACTTGCAGATTCTACAGAAAGTGTGTTTGGAAACTGCGCCATATAAAGGAATGTTCAGCTCTGTTAGTTCAATGCAATGATCACTAAGAATTGTCTGTGAATGCTTCCGTTTGGTTTTTAGATGAAGTTATTTCCTTTACTACAGTAGGCCTCAAAGCAGTCCAAATCTCCAATCGCAGATTCTACAAAAAGATTGTTTACAACCTGCTCTATGTATAGGAATGTTCAACTCTGTGAGTCGAATGCAATCATCACAAAGTAGTTTCTGAGAATGCTTCCATCTAGTTTTTATGTGAAGATATTCCTTTTCCACCACAGGCCTCAAAGCCCTCCAAATGTCCACTTGCAGATTCTAGAAAAAGAGGGTTTCAGAGCTGCTCTGTCAAGAGGAAAGTTCAATTCCTGAAGTGGAACGCAAACATCACAAAGCAGTTTCTGAGAATGCTTCTGTTTAGTTTTTCTGTGAAGATGAACCCGTTTCCAACGAAATCTTCACAGAGGTCCACATATCCACTTGCAGAATCCAAAGAAAGAGAGTTTCAAAACTGCTCCATCAACAGGATTGTTCACCTCTGTGAGTTGAATGCAGTCATCACAGGAAACATTCTGAGAATGCTTCTGTCTAGGTTTGATGTGAAGATATACCCGTTTCGAAGGAAGGCCACAAAGTGGTCCAAATATCCACTTGCAGATTCTACAAAAAGAGTGTTTGAAAGCTGAACTATCAAAGCAAGGTTCAACTCTGTGAGTTGAATGCAAACATCACAAAGAAGTTTCTCAGAATGCTTCCGTGTAGTTCTGGGAAGTTTATCCCGTTTCCAACGAAATCCTCAGAGAGGTCCAAATATCCACTTGCAGATTCTACAGAAAGTGTGTTTGGAAACTGCTCCATCTAAAGGAATGTTCAGCTCTGTTAGTTCAATCCAATGATCACTAAGAATTGTCTGTGAATGCTTCCGTTTGGTTTTTAGATGAAGTTATTTCCTTTACTACAGTAGGCCTCAAAGCAGTCCAAATCTCCAATCGCAGATTCTACAAAAAGATTGTTTACAACCTGCTCTATCTATAGGAATGTTCAACTCTGTGAGTCGAAAGCCATCATCACAAAGTAGTTTCTGAGAATGCTTCCATCTAGTTTTTATGTGAAGAGTTTCCTTTTCCACCACAGGCCTCAAAGCCCTCCAAATGTCCACTTGCAGATTCTAGAAAAAGAGGGTTTCAGAGCTGCTCTGTCAAGAGGAAAGTTCAATCCCTGAAGTGGAACACAAACATCACAAAGCAGTTTCTGAGAATGCTCCTGTTTAGTTTTTCTGTGAAGATGAACCCGTTTCCAACGAAATCTTCACAGAGGTCCACATATCCACTTGCAGAATCCAAAGAAAGAGAGTTTCAAAACTGCTCCATCAGCAGGATGGTTCACCTCTGTGAGTTGAATGCAGTCATCACAGGAAACATTCTGAGAATGCTTCTGTCTAGGTTTGATGTGAAGATATACCCGTTTCGAAGGAAGGCCACAAAGTGGTCCAAATATCCACTTGCAGATTCTACAAAAAGAGTGTTTGAAAGCTGAACTATGAAAGCAAGGTTCAACTCTGTGAGTTGAATGCAAACATCACAAAGAAGTTTCTCAGAATGCTACCGTGTAGTTCTGGGAAGTTTATCCCGTTTCCAACGAAATCCTCAGAGAGGTCCAAATATCCACTTTCAGATTCTACAGAAAGTGTGTTTGGAAACTGCGCCATCTAAAGGAATGTTCAGCTTTGTTAGTTCAATGCAATGATCACTAAGAATTGTCTGTGAATGCTTCCGTTTGGTTTTTAGATGAAGTTATTTCCTTTACTACAGTAGGCCTCAAAGCAGTCCAAATCTCCAATCGCAGATTCTACAAAAAGATTGTTTACAACCTGCTCTATGTATAGGAATGTTCAACTCTGTGAGTCGAATGCAATCATCACAAAGTAGTTTCTGAGAATGCTTCCATCTAGTTTTTATGTGAAGATTTTCCTTTTCCACCACAGGCCTCAAAGCCCTCCAAATGTCCACTTGCAGATTCTAGAATAAGAGGGTTTTAGAGCTGCTCTGTCAAGAGGAAAGTTCAATTCCTGAAGTGGAACACAAACATCACAAAGCAGTTTCTGAGAATGCTTCTGTTTAGTTTTTCTGTGAAGATGAACCCGTTTCCAACGAAATCTTCACAGAGGTCCACATATCCACTTGCGGAATCCAAAGAAAGAGAGTTTCAAAACTGCTCCATCAGCAGGATTGTTCACCTCTGTGAGTTGAATGCAGTCATCACAGGAAACATTCTGAGAATGCTTCTGTCTAGGTTTGATGTGAAGATATACCCGTTTCGAAGGAAGGCCAGAAAGTGGTCCAAATATCCACTTGCAGATTCTACAAAAAGAGTGTTTGAAAGCTGAACTATGAAAGCAAGGTTCAACTCTGTGAGTTGAATGCAAACATCACAAAGAAGTTTCTCAGAATGCTTCCGTGTAGTTCTGGGAAGTTTATCCCGTTTCCAACGAAATCCTCAGAGAAGTCCAAATATCCACTTGCAGATTCTACAGAAAGTGGGTTTGGCAACTGCTCCATCTAAAGGAATGTTCAGCTCTGTTAGTTCAATCCAATGATCACTAAGAATTGTCTGTGAATGCTTCCGTTTGGTTTTTAGATGAAGTTATTTCCTTTACTACAGTAGGCCTCAAAGAAATCCAAATCTCCAATCGCAGATTCTACAAAAACATTGTTTACAACCTGCTCTATCTATAGGAATGTTCAACTCTGTGAGTCGAATGCAATCATCACAAAGTAGTTTCTGAGAATGCTTCCATCTAGTTTTTATGTGAAGATTTTCCTTTTCCACCACAGGCCTCAAAGCCCTCCAAATGTCCACTTGCAGATTCTAGAAAAAGAGGGTTTCAGAGCTGCTCTGTCAAGAAGAAAGTTCAATTCTTGAAGTGGAACACAAACATCACAAAGCAGTTTCTGGGAATGCTCCTGTTTAGTTTTTCTGTGAAGATGAACCCGTTTCCAACGAAATCTTCACAGAGGTCCACATATCCACCTGCAGAATCCAAAGAAAGAGAGTTTCAAAACTGCTCCATCAACAGGATTGTTCACCTCTGTGAGTTGAATGCAGTCATCACAGGAAACATTCTGAGAATGCTTCTGTCTATGTTTCATGTGAAGATATACCCGTTTCGAAGGAAGGCCACAAAGTGGTTCAAATATCCACTTGCAGATCCTACAAAAAGAGTGTTTGATAGCTGAACTATGAAAGCAAGGTTCAACTCTGTGAGTTGAATGCAAACATCACAAAGAAGTTTGCTCACAATGCTTCCGTGTAGTTCTGGGAAGTTTATCCCGTTTCCAACGAAATCCTCAGAGACGTCCAAATATCCACTTGCAGATTCTACAGAAAGTGTGTTTGGAAACTGTGACATCTAAGGGAATGTTCAGCTCTCTTAGTTCAATCCAATGATCACTAAGAATTGTCTGTGAATGCTTCCGTTTGGTTTTTAGATGAAGTTATTTCCTTTACTACAGTAGGCCTCAAAGCAGTCCAAATCTCCAATCGCAGATTCTACAAAAAGATTGTTTACAACCTGCTCTATCTATAGGAATGTTCAACTCTGTGAGTCGAATGCAATCATCACAAAGTAGTTTCTGAGAATGCTTCCATCTAGTTTTTATGTGAAGATTTTCCCTTTCCACCACAGGCCTCAAAGCCCTCCAAATGTCCACTTGCAGATTCTAGAATAAGAGGATTTCAGAGCTGCTCTGTCAAGAGGAAAGTTCAATTCCTGAAGTGGAACACAAACATCACAAAGCAGTTTCTGAGAATGCTCCTGTTTAGTTTTTCTGTGAAGATGAACCCGTTTCCAAAGAAATCTTCACAGAGGTCCACATATCCACCTGCAGAATCCAAAGAAAGAGAGTTTCAAAACTGCTCCATCAGCAGGATTGTTCACCTCTGTGAGTTGAATGCAGTCATCACAGGAAACATTCTGAGAATGCTTCTGTCTAGGTTTGATGTGAAGATATACCCGTTTCGAAGGAAGGCCACAAAGTGGTCCAAATATCCACTTGCAGATTCTACAAAAAGAGTGTTTGAAAGCTGAACTATGAAAGCAAGGTTCAACTCTGTGAGTTGAATGCAAACATCACAACGAAGTTTCTCACAATGCTTCCGTGTAGTTCTGGGAAGTTTATCCCCTTTCCAACGAAATCCTCAGAGAGGTCCAAATATCCACTTGCAGATTCTACAGAAAGTGTGTTTGGAAACTGCGCCATCTAAAGGAATGTTCAGCCCTGTTAGTTCAATCTAATGATCACTAAGAATTGTCTGTGAATGCTTCCGTTTGGTTTTTAGATGAAGTTATTTCCTTTACTACAGTAGGCCTCAAAGCAGTCCAAATCTCCAATCGCAGATTCTACAAAAAGATTGTTTACAACCTGCTCTATCTATAGGAATGTTCAACTCTGTGAGTCGAATGCAATCATCACAAAGTAGTTTCTGAGAATGCTTCCATCTAGTTTTTATGTGAAGATTTTCCTTTTGCACCACAGGCCTCAAAGCCCTCCAAATGTCCACTTGCAGATTCTAGAAAAGGAGGGTTTCAGAGCTGCTCTGTCAAGAGGAAAGTTCAATTCTTGATGTGGAACACAAACATCACAAAGCAGTTTCTGAGAATGCTCCTGTTTAGTTTTTCTGTGAAGATGAACCCGTTTCCAACGAAATCTTCTCAGAGGTCCACATATCCACTTGCAGAATCCAAAGAAAGAGAGTTTCAAAACTGCTCCATCAGCAGGATTGTTCACCTCTGTGAGTTGAATGCAGTCATCACAGGAAACATTCTGAGAATGCTTCTGTCTAGGTTTGATGTGAAGATATACCCGTTTCGAAGGAAGGCCACAAAGTGGTCCAAATATCCACTTGCAGATTCTACAAAAAGAGTGTTTGAAAGCTGAACTATGAAAGCAAGGTTCAACTCTGTGAGTTGAATGCAAACATCACAAAGAAGTTTCTCAGAATGCTTCCGTGTAGTTCTGGGAAGTTTATCCCGTTTCCAACGAAATCCTCAGAGAGGTCCAAATATCCACTTTCAGATTCTACAGAAAGTGTGTTTGGAAACTGCGCCATCTAAAGGAATGTTCAGCTCTGTTAGTTCAATGCAATGATCACTGAGAATTGTCTGTGAATGCTTCCGTTTGGTTTTTAGATGAAGTTATTTCCTTTACTACAGTAGGCCTCAAAGCAGTCCAAATCTCCAATCGCAGATTCTACAAAAAGATTGTTTACAACCTGCTCTATGTATAGGAATGTTCAACTCTGTGAGTCGAATGCAATCATCACAAAGTAGTTTCTGAGAATGCTTCCATCTAGTTTTTATGTGAAGATTTTCCTTTTCCACCACAGACCTCAAAGCCCTCCAAATGTCCACTTGCAGATTCTAGAAAAAGAGGGTTTCAGAGCTGCTCTGTCAAGAGGAAAGTTCAATTCTTGAAGTGGAACACAAACATCACAAAGCAGTTTCTGAGAATGCTCCTGTTTAGTTTTTCTGTGAAGATGAACCCGTTTCCAACGAAATCTTCACAGAGGTCCACATATCCACTTGCAGAATCCAAAGAAAGAGAGTTTCAAAACTGCTCCATCAGCAGGATTGTTCACCTCTGTGAGTTGAATGCAGTCATCACAGGAAACATTCTGAGAATGCTTCTGTCTAGGTTTGATGTGAAGATATACCCGTTTCGAAGGAAGGCCACAAAGTGGTCCAAATATCCACTTGCAGATTCTACAAAAAGAGTGTTTGAAAGCTGAACTATGAAACCAAGGTTCAACTCTGTGAGTTGAATGCAAACATCACAAAGAAGTTTCTCACAATGCTTCCCTGTAGTTCTGGGAAGTTTATCCCTTTTCCAACGAAATCCTCAGAGAAGTCCAAATATCCACTTGCAGATTCTACAGAAAGTGGGTTTGGAAACTGCTCCATCTAAAGGAATGTTCAGCTCTGTTAGTTCAATGCAATGATCACTAAGAATTGTCTGTGAATGCTTCCGTTTGGTTTTTAGATGAAGTTATTTCCTTTACTACAGTAGGCCTCAAAGCAATCCAAATCTCCAATCGCAGATTCTACAAAAACATTGTTTACAACCTGCTCTATCTATAGGAATGTTCAACTCTGTGAGTCGAATGCAATCATCACAAAGTAGTTTCTGAGAATGCTTCCATCTAGTTTTTATGTGAAGATTTTCCTTTTGCACCACAGGCCTCAAAGCCCTCCAAATGTCCACTTGCAAATTCTAGAAAAAGAGGGTTTCAGAGCTGCTCTGTCAAGAGGAAAGTTCAATTCTTGATGTGGAACACAAACATCACAAAGCACTTTCTGAGAATGCTTCTGTCTAGGTTTGATGTGAAGATATAACCGTTTCGAACGAAATCTTCACAGAGGTCCACATATCCACTTGCAGAATCCAAAGAAAGAGAGTTTCAAAACTGCTCCATCAACAGGATTGTTCACCTCTGTGAGTTGAATGCAGTCATCACAGGAAACATTCTGAGAGTGCTTCTGTCTAGGTTTGATGTGAAGATATACCCGTTTCGAAGGAAGGCCACAAAGTGGTCCAAATATCCACTTGCAGATTCTACAAAAAGAGTGTTTGAAAGCTGAACTATGAAAGCAAGGTTCAACTCTGTGAGTTGAATGCAAACATCACAAAGAAGTTTCTCACAATGCTTCCGTGTAGTTCTGTGAAGTTTATCCCGTTTCCAACGAAATCCTCAGAGAAGTCCAAATATCCACTTGCAGATTCTACAGAAAGTGTGTTTGGAAACTACTCCATCTAAAGGAATGTTCAGCTCTGTTAGTTCAATCCAGTGATCACTAAGAATTGTCTGTGAATGCTTCCGTTTGGTTTTTAGATGAAGTTATTTCCTTTACTACAGTAGGCCTCAAAGCAGTCCAAATCTCCAATCGCAGATTCTACAAAAAGATTGTTTACAACCTGCTCTATCTATAGGAATGTTCAACTCTGTGAGTCGAATGCAATCATCACAAAGTAGTTTCTGAGAATGCTTCCATCTAGTTTTTATGTGAAGATTTTCCTTTTCCACCACAGGCCTCAAAGCCCTCCAAATGTCCACTTGCAGATTCTAGAATAAGAGGGTTTTAGAGCTGCTCTGTCAAGAGGAAAGTTCAATTCCTGAAGTGGAACACAAACATCACAAAGCAGTTTCTGAGAATGCTCCTGTTTAGTTTTTCTGTGAAGATGAACCCGTTTCCAACGAAATCTTCACAGAGGTCCACATATCCACTTGCAGAATCCAAAGAAAGAGAGTTTCAAAACTGCTCCATCAGCAGGATTGTTCACCTCTGTGAGTTGAATGCAGTCATCACAGGAAACATTCTGAGAATGCTTCTGTCTAGGTTTGATGTGAAGATATACCCGTTTCGAAGGAAGGCCACAAAGTGGTCCAAATATCCACTTGCAGATTCTACAAAAAGAGTGTTTGAAAGCTGAACTATGAAAGCAAGGTTCAACTCTGTGAGTTGAATGCAAACATCACAAAGAAGTTTCTCACAATGCTTCCGTGTAGTTCTGGGAAGTTTATCCCGTTTCCAACGAAATCCTCAGAGAAGTCCAAATATCCACTTGCAGATTCTACAGAAAGTGTGTTTGGAAACTGCTCCATCTAAAGGAATGTTCAGCTCTGTTAGTTCAATGCAATGATCTCTAAGAATTGTCTGTGAATGCTTCCGTTTGGTTTTTAGATGAAGTTATTTCCTTCACTACAGTAGGCCTCAAAACAGTCCATATCTCCAGTCGCAGATTCTACAAAAAGATTGTTTACAACCTGCTCTATCTATAGGAATGTTCAACTCTATGAGTCGAATGCAATCATCACAAAGTAGTTTCTGAGAATGCTTCCATCCAGTTTTTATGGGAAGATTTTCCTTTTCCACCACAGGCCTCAAAGCCCTCCAAATGTCCACTTGCAGATTCTAGAAAAAGAGGGTTTCAGAGCTGCTCGGTCAAGAGGAAAGTTCAATTCTTGAAGTGGAACACAAACATCACAAAGCAGTTTCTGAGAATGCTTCTGTTTAGTTTTTCTGTGAAGATGAACCCGTTTCCAACGAAATCTTCACAGAGGTCCACATATCAACTTGCAGAATCCAAAGAAAGAGAGTTTCAAAAGTGCTCCATCAACAGGATTGTTCACCTCTGTGAGTTGAATGCAGTCATCACAGGAAACATTCTGAGAATGCTTCTGTCTAGGTTTGATGTGAAGATATACCCGTTTCGAAGGAAGGCCACAAAGTGGTCCAAATATCCACTTGCAGATTCTACAAAAAGAGTGTTTGAAAGCTGAACTATGAAAGCAAGGTTCAACTCTGTGAGTTGAATGCAAACATCACAAAGAATTTTCTCACAATGCTTCCATGTAGTTCTGGGAAGTTTATCCCGTTTCCAACGAAATCCTCAGAGAAGTCCAAATATCCACTTGCAGATTCTACAGAAAGTGTGTTTGGAAACTGCTCCATCTCAAGGAATGTTCAGCTCTGTTAGTTCAATCCAATGATCACTAAGAATTGTCTGTGAATGCTTCCGTTTGGTTTTTAGATGAAGTTATTTCCTTTACTACAGTAGGCCTCAAAGCAGTCCAAATCTCCAATCGCAGATTCTACAAAAACATTGTTTACAACCTGCTCTATCTATAGGAATGTTCAACTCTGTGAGTCGAATGCAATCATCACAAAGTAGTTTCTGAGAATGCTTCCATCTAGTTTTTATGTGAAGATTTTCCTTTTCCACCACAGGCCTCAAAGCCCTCCAAATGTCCACTTGCAGATTCTAGAAAAAGAGGGTTTCAGAGCTGCTCTGTCAAGAGGAAAGTTCAATTCTTGAAGTGGAACACAAACATCACAAAGTAGTTTCTGAGAATGCTTCTGTTTAGTTTTTCTGTGAAGATGAACCCGTTTCCAACGAAATCTTCACAGAGGTCCACATATCCACTTGCAGAATCCAAAGAAAGAGAGTTTCAAAACTGCTCCATCAGCAGGATTGTTCACCTCTGTGAGTTGAATGCAGTCATCACAGGAAACATTCTGAGAATGCTTCTGTCTAGGTTTGATGTGAAGATATACCCGTTTCGAAGGAAGGCCACAAAGTGGTCCAAATATCCACTTGCAGATTCTACAAAAAGAGTGTTTGAAAGCTGAACTATGAAAGCTGAACATCACAAAGAAGTTTCTCACAATGCTTCCCTGTAGTTCTGGGAAGTTTATCCCGTTTCCAACGAAATCCTCAGAGAAGTCCAAATATCCACTTGCAGATTCTACAGAAAGTGGGTTTGGAAACTGCGCCATCTAAAGGAATGTTCAGCTCTGTTAGTTCAATCCAATGATCACTAAGAATTGTCTGTGAATGCTTCCGTTTGGTTTTTAGATGAAGTTATTTCCTTTACTAAAGTAGGCCTCAAAGCAGTCCAAATCTCCAATCGCAGATTCTACAAAAAGTTTGTTTACAACCTGCTCTATCTATAGGAATGTTCAACTCTGTGAGTAGAATGCAATCATCACAAAGTAGTTTCTGAGAATGCTTCCATCTAGTTTTTATGGGAAGATTTTCCTTTTCCACCACAGGCCTCAAAGCCCTCCAAATGTCCACTTGCAGATTCTAGAAAAAGAGGGTTTCAGAGCTGCTCTGTCAAGAGGAAAGTTCAATTCTTGAAGTGGAACACAAACATCACAAAGCAGTTTCTGAGAATGCTCCTGTTTAGTTTTTCTGTGAAGATGAACCCGTTTCCAACGAAATCTTCACAGAGGTCCACATATCCACCTGCAGAATCCAAAGAAAGAGAGTTTCAAAACTGCTCCATCAGCAGGATTGTTCACCTCTGTGAGTTGAATGCAGTCATCACAGGAAACATTCTGAGAATGCTTCTGTCTAGGTTTGATGTGAAGATATACCCGTTTCGAAGGAAGGCCACAAAGTGGTCCAAATATCCACTTGCAGATTCTACAAAAAGAGTGTTTGAAAGCTGAACTATGAAAGCAAGGTTCAACTCTGTGAGTTGAATGCAAACATCACAAAGAAGTTTCTCAGAATGCTTCCGTGTAGTTCTGGGAAGTTTATCCCGTTTCCAACGAAATCCTCAGAGAGGTCCAAATATCCACTTGCAGATTCTACAGAAAGTGTGTTTGGAAACTGCTCCATCTAAAGGAATGTTCAGCTCTGTTAGTTCAATCCAATGATCACTAAGAATTGTACTGTGAATGCTTCCGTTTGGTTTTTAGATGAAGTTATTTCCTTTACTACAGTAGGCCTCAAAGCAGTCCAAATCTCCAATCGCAGATTCTACAAAAAGATTGTTTACAACCTGCTCTATCTATAGGAATGTTCAACTCTGTGAGTCGAATGCAATCATCACAAAGTAGTTTCTGAGAATGCTTCCATCTAGTTTTTATGTGAAGATTTTCCTTTTCCACCACAGGCCTCAAAGCCCTCCAAATGTCCACTTGCAGATTCTAGAAAAAGAGGGTTTCAGAGCTGCTCTGTCAAGAGGAAAGTTCAATTCTTGAAGTGGAACACAAACATCACAAAGCAGTTTCTGAGAATGCTTCTGTTTAGTTTTTCTGTGAAGATGAACCCGTTTCCAACGAAATCTTCACAGAGGTCCACATATCCACTTGCAGAATCCAAAGAAAGAGAGTTTCAAAACTGCTCCATCAGCAGGATTGTTCACCTCTGTGAGTTGAATGCAGTCATCACAGGAAACATTCTGAGAATGCTTCTGTCTAGGTTTGATGTGAAGATGTACCCGTTTCAAAGGAAGGCCACAAAGTGGTCCAAATATCCACTTGCAGATTCTACAAAAAGAGTGTTTGAAAGCTGAACTATGAAAGCAAGGTTCAACTCTGTGAGTTGAATGCAAACATCAGAAAGATGATTCTCACAATGCTTCCGTGTAGTTCTGGGAAGTTTATCCCGTTTCCAACGAAATCCTCCGAGAAGTCCAAATATCCACTTGCAGATTCTACAGAAAGTGGGTTTGGAAACTGCTCCATCTAAAGGAATGTTCAGCTCTGTTAGTTCAATCCAATGATCACTAAGAATTGTCTGTGAATGCTTCCGTTTGGTTTTTAGATGAAGTTATTTCCTTTACTACAGTAGGCCTCAAAGCAGTCCAAATCTCCAATCGCAGATTCTACAAAAAGATTGTTTACAACCTGCTCTATCTATAGGAATGTTCAACTCTGTGAGTCGAATGCAATCATCACAAAGTAGTTTCTGAGAATGCTTCCATCTAGTTTTTATGTGAAGATTTTCCTTTTCCACCACAGGCCTCAAAGCCCTCCAAATGTCCACTTGCAGGTTCTAGAATAAGAGGGTTTCAGAGCTGCTCTGTCAAGAGGAAAGTTCAATTCCTGAAGTGGAACACAAACTTCACAAAGCAGTTTCTGAGAATGTTTCTGTTTAGTTTTTCTGTGAAGATGAACCCGTTTCCAACGAAATCTTCACAGAGGTCCACATATCCACTTGCAGAATCCAAAGAAAGAGAGTTTCAAAACTGCTCCATCAGCAGGATTGTTCACCTCTGTGAGTTGAATGCAGTCATCACAGGAAACATTCTGAGAATGCTTCTGTCTAGGTTTGATGTGAAGATATACCCGTTTCGAAGGAAGGCCACAAAGTGGTCCAAATATCCACTTGCAGATTCTACAAAAAGAGTGTTTGAAAGCTGAACTATGAAAGCAAGGTTCAACTCTGTGAGTTGAATGCAAACATCACAAAGAAGTTTCTCACAATGCTTCCGTGTAGTTCTGGGAAGTTTATCCCGTTTCCAACGAAATCCTCAGAGAGGTCCAAATATCCACTTGCAGATTCTACAGAAAGTGTGTTTGGAAACTGCTCCATCTAAAGGAATGTTCAGCTCTGTTAGTTCAATCCAATGATCACTAAGAATTGTCTGTGAATGCTTCCGTTTGGTTTTTAGATGAAGTTATTTCCTTTACTACAGTAGGCCTCAAAGCAGTCCAAATCTCCAATCGCAGATTCTACAAAAAGATTGTTTACAACCTGCTCTATCTATAGGAATGTTCAACTCTGTGAGTCGAATGCAATCATCACAAAGTAGTTTCTGAGAATGCTTCCATCTAGTTTTTATGTGAAGATTTTCCTTTTCCACCACAGGCCTCAAAGCCCTCCAAATGTCCACTTGCGGATTCTAGAAAAAGAGGGTTTCAGAGCTGCTCTGTCAAGAGGAAAGTTCAATTCTTGAAGTGGAACACAAACATCACAAAGCAGTTTCTGAGAATGCTTCTGTTTAGTTTTTCTGTGAAGATGAACCCGTTTCCAACGAAATCTTCACAGAGGTCCACATATCCACTTGCAGAATCCAAAGAAAGAGAGTTTCAAAACTGCTCCATCAGCAGGATTGTTCACCTCTGTGAGTTGAATGCAGTCATCACAGGAAACATTCTGAGAATGCTTCTGTCTAGGTTTGATGTGAAGATATACCCGTTTCGAAGGAAGGCCACAAAGTGGTCCAAATATCCACTTGCAGATTCTACAAAAAGAGTGTTTGAAAGCTGAACTATGAAAGCAAGGTTCAACTCTGTGAGTTGAATGCAAACATCACAAAGAAGTTTCTCACAATGCTTCCGTGTAGTTCTGGGAAGTTTATCCCGTTTCCAACGAAATCCTCAGAGAGGTCCAAATATCCACTTGCAGATTCTACAGAAAGTGTGTTTGGAAACTGCGCCATCTAAAGGAATGTTCAGCTCTGTTAGTTCAATCCAATGATCACTAAGAATTGTCTGTGAATGCTTCCGTTTGGTTTTTAGATGAAGTTATTTCCTTTACTACAGTAGGCCTCAAAGCAGTCCAAATCTCCAATCGCAGATTCTACAGAAAGATTGTTTACAACCTGCTCTATCTATAGGAATGTTCAACTCTGTGAGTCGAATGCAATCATCACAAAGTAGTTTCTGAGAATGCTTCCATCTAGTTTTTATGTAAAGATTTTCCTTTTCCACCACAGGCCTCAAAGCCCTCCAAATGTCCACTTGCAGATTCTAGAATAAGAGGGTTTCAGAGCTGCTCTGTCAAGAGGAAAGTTCAATTCCTGAAGTGGAACACAAACATCACAAAGCAGTTTCTGAGAATGCTTCTGTTTAGTTTTTCTGTGAAGATGAACCCGTTTCCAACGAAATCTTCACAGAGGTCCACATATCCACTTGCAGAATCCAAAGAAAGAGAGTTTCAAAACTGCTCCATCAACAGGATTGTTCACCTCTGTGAGTTGAATGCAGTCATCACAGGAAACATTCTGAGAATGCTTCTGTCTAGGTTTGATGTGAAGATATACCCGTTTCGAAGGAAGGCCACAAAGTGGTCCAAATATCCACTTGCAGATTCTACAAAAAGAGTGTTTGAAAGCTGAACTATGAAAGCAAGGTTCAACTCTGTGAGTTGAATGCAAACATCACAAAGAAGTTTCTCAGAATGCTTCCGTGTAGTTCTGGGAAGTTTATCCCGTTTCCAACGAAATCCTCAGAGAAGTCCAAATATCCACTTGCAGATTCTACAGAAAGTGTGTTTGGAAACTGCGCCATCTAAAGGAATGTTCAGCTCTGTTAGTTCAATGCAATGATCACTAAGAATTGTCTGTGAATGCTTCCGTTTGGTTTTTAGATGAAGTTATTTCCTTTACTACAGTAGGCCTCAAAGCAGTCCAAATCTCCAATCGCAGATTCTACAAAAAGATTGTTTACAACCTGCTCTATCTATAGGAATGTTCAACTCTGTGAGTCGAAAGCCATCATCACAAAGTAGTTTCTGAGAATGCTTCCATCTAGTTTTTATGTGAAGATTTTCCTTTTCCACCACAGGCCTCAAAGCCCTCCAAATGTCCACTTGCAGATTCTAGAAAAAGAGGGTTTCAGAGCTGCTCTGTCAAGAGGAAAGTTCAATTCTTGAAGTGGAACACAAACAAACACAAAGTAGTTTCTGAGAATGCTCCTGTTTAGTTTTTCTGTGAAGATGAACCCGTTTCCAACGAAATCTTCACAGAGGTCCACATATCCACTTGCAGAATCCAAAGAAAGAGAGTTTCAAAACTGCTCCATCAGCAGGATTGTTCACCTCTGTGAGTTGAATGCAGTCATCACAGGAAACATGCTGAGAATGCTTCTGTCTAGGTTTGATGTGAAGATATACCCGTTTCGAAGGAAGGCCACAAAGTGGTCCAAATATCCACTTGCAGATTCTACAAAAAGAGTGTTTGAAAGCTGAACTATGAAAGCAAGGTTCAACTCTGTGAGTTGAATGCAAACATCACAAAGAAGTTTCTCACAATGCTTCCGTGTAGTTCTGGGAAGTTTATCCCGTTTCCAACGAAATCCTCAGAGAGGTCCAAATATCCACTTGCAGATTCTACAGAAAGTGTGTTTGGAAACTGCGCCATCTAAAGGAATGTTCAGCTCTGTTAGTTCAATGCAATGATCACTAAGGATTGTCTGTGAATGCTTCCGTTTGGTTTTTAGATGAAGTTATTTCCTTTACTACAGTAGGCCTCAAAGCAGTCCAAATCTCCAATCGCAGATTCTACAAAAAGATTGTTTACAACCTGCTCTATCTATAGGAATGTTCAACTCTGTGAGTCGAATGCAATCATCACAAAGTAGTTTCTGAGAATGCTTCCATCTAGTTTGTATGTGAAGATTTTCCTTTTCCACCACAGGCCTCAAAGCCCTCCAAATGTCCACTTGCAGATTCTAGAAAAAGAGGGTTTCAGAGCTGCTCTGTCAAGAGGAAAGTTCAATTCCTGAAGTGGAACACAAACATCACAAAGCAGTTTCTGAGAATGCTCCTGTTTAGTTTTTCTGTGAAGATGAACCCGTTTCCAAAGAAATCTTCACAGAGGTCCACATATCCACTTGCAGAATCCAAAGAAAGAGAGTTTCAAAACTGCTCCATCAGCAGGATTGTTCACCTCTGTGAGTTGAATGCAGTCATCACAGGAAACATTGTGAGAATGCTTCTGTCTAGGTTTGATGTGAAGATATACCCGTTTCGAAGGAAGGCCACAAAGTGGTCCAAATATCCTCTTGCAGATTCTACAAAAAGAGTGTTTCAAAGCTGAACTATGAAAGCAAGGTTCAACTCTGTGAGTTGAATGCAAACATCACAAAGAAGTTTCTCAGAATGCTTCCGTGTAGTTCTGGGAAGTTTATCCCGTTTCCAACGAAATCCTCAGAGAAGTCCAAATATCCACTTGCAGATTCTACAGAAAGTGGGTTTGGAAACTGCTCCATCTAAAGGAATGTTCAGCTCTGTTAGTTCAATGCAATGATCACTAAGAATTGTCTGTGAATGCTTCCGTTTGGTTTTTAGATGAAGTTATTTCCTTTACTACAGTAGGCCTCAAAGCAGTCCAAATCTCCAATCGCAGATTCTACAAAAAGATTGTTTACAACCTGCTCTATCTATAGGAATGTTCAACTCTGTGTGTCGAATGCAAACATCACAAAGTAGTTTCTGAGAATGTTTCCATCTAGTTTTTATGTGAAGATTTTCCTTTTCCACCACAGGCCTCAAAGCCCTCCAAATGTCCACTTGCAGATTCTAGAATAAGAGGGTTTTAGAGCTGCTCTGTCAAGAGGAAAGTTCAATTCCTGAAGTGGAACACAAACATCACAAAGCAGTTTCTGAGAATGCTCCTGTTTAGTTTTTCCGTGAAGATGAACCCGTTTCCAACGAAATCTTCACAGAGGTCCACATATCCACTTGCAGAATCCAAAGAAAGAGAGTTTCAAAACTGCTCCATCAGCAGGATTGTTCACCTCTGTGAGTTGAATGCAGTCATCACAGGAAAGATTCTGAGAATGCTTCTGTCTAGGTTTGATGTGAAGATATACCCGTTTCGAAGGAAGGCCACAAAGTGGTCCAAATATCCACTTGCAGATTCTACAAAAAGAGTGTTTGAAAGCTGAACTATGAAAGCAAGGTTCAACTCTGTGAGTTGAATGCAAACATCACAAAGAAGTTTCTCAGAATGCTTCCGTGTAGTTCTGGGAAGTTTATCCCGTTTCCAACGAAATCCTCAGAGAGGTCCAAATATCCACTTGCAGATTCTACAGAAAGTGTGTTTGGAAACTGCTCCATCTAAAGGAATGTTCAGCTCTGTTAGTTCAATCCAATGATCACTAAGAATTGTCTGTGAATGCTTCCGTTTGGTTTTTAGATGAAGTTATTTCCTTTACTACAGTAGGCCTCAAAGCAGTCCAAATCTCCAATCGCAGATTCTACAAAAAGATTGTTTACAACCTGCTCTATCTATAGGAATGTTCAACTCTGTGAGTCGAATGCAATCATCACAAAGTAGTTTCTGAGAATGCTTCCATCTAGTTTTTATGTGAAGATTTTCCTTTTCCACCACAGGCCTCAAAGCCCTCCAAATGTCCACTTGCAGATTCTAGAAAAAGAGGGTTTCAGAGCTGCTCTGTCAAGAGGAAAGTTCAATTCTTGAAGTGGAACACAAACATCACAAAGTAGTTTCTGAGAATGCTCCTGTTTAGTTTTTCTGTGAAGATGAACCCGTTTACAACGAAATCTTCACAGAGGTCCACATATCCACTTGCAGAATCCAAAGAAAGAGAGTTTCAAAACTGCTCCATCAGCAGGATTGTTCACCTCTGTGAGTTGAATGCAGTCATCACAGGAAACATTCTGAGAATGCTTCTGTCTAGGTTTGATGTGAAGATATACCCCTTTCGAAGGAAGGCCACAAAGTGGTCCAAATATCCACTTGCAGATTCTACAAAAAGAGTGTTTGAAAGCTGAACTATGAAAGCAAGGTTCAACTCTGTGAGTTGAATGCAAACATCACAAAGAAGTTTCTCAGAATACTTCCGTGTAGTTCTGGGAAGTTTATCCCGTTTCCAACGAAATCCTCAGAGAGGTCCAAATATCCACTTGCAGATTCTACAGAAAGTGTGTTTGGAAACTGCGCCATCTAAAGGAATGTTCAGCTCTGTTAGTTCAATGCAATGATCACTAAGAATTGTCTGTGAATGCTTCCGTTTGGTTTTTAGATGAAGTTATTTCCTTTTCTACAGTAGGCCTCAAAGCAGTCCAAATCTCCAATCGTAGATTCTACAAAAAGATTGTTTACAACCTGCTCTATCTATAGGAATGTTCAACTTTGTGAGTCGAATGCAATCATCACAAAGTAGTTTCTGAGAATGCTTCCATCTAGTTTTTATGTGAAGATTTTCCTTTTCCACCACAGTCCTCACAGCCCTCCAAATGTCCACTTGCAGATTCTAGAAAAAGAGGGTTTCAGAGCTGCTCTGTCAAGAGGAAAGTTCAATTCCTGAAGTGGAACACAAACATCACAAAGCAGTTTCTGAGAATGCTCCTGTTTAGTTTTTCTGTGAAGATGCACCCGTTTCCAACGAAATCTTCACAGAGGTCCACATATCCACTTGCAGAATCCAAAGAAAGAGAGTTTCAAAACTGCTCCATCAGCAGGATTGTTCACCTCTGTGAGTTGAATGCAGTCATCACAGGAAACATTCTGAGAATGCTTCTGTCTAGGTTTGATGTGAAGATATACCCGTTTCGAAGGAAGGCCACAAAGTGGTCCAAATATCCACTTGCAGATTCTACAAAAAGAGTGTTTGAAAGCTGAACTATGAAAGCAAGGTTCAACTCTGTGAGTTGAATGCAAACATCACAAAGAAGTTTCTCACAATGCTTCCGTGTAGTTCTGGGAAGTTTATCCCGTTTCCAACGAAATCCTCAGAGAAGTCCAAATATCCACTTGCAGATTCTACAGAAAGTGTGTTTGGAAACTGCGCCATCTAAAGGAATGTTCAGCTCTGTTAGTTCAATGCAATGATCACTAAGAATTGTCTGTGAATGCTTCCGTTTGGTTTTTAGATGAAGTTATTTCCTTTACTACAGTAGGCCTCAAAGCAGTCCAAATCTCCAATCGCAGATTCTACAAAAAGATTGTTTACAACCTGCTCTATCTATAGGAATGTTCAACTCTGTGAGTCGAATGCAATCATCACAAAGTAGTTTCTGAGAATGCTTCCATCTAGTTTTTATGTGAAGATTTTCCTTTTCCACCACAGGCCTCAAAGCCCTCCAAATGTCCACTTGCAGATTCTAGAATAAGAGGGTTTCAGAGCTGCTCTGTCAAGAGGAAAGTTCAATTCCTGAAGTGGAACACAAACATCACAAAGCAGTTTCTGAGAATGCTCCTGTTTAGTTTTTCTGTGAAGATGAACCCGTTTCCAACGAAATCTTCACAGAGGTCCACATATCCACTTGCAGAATCCAAAGAAAGAGAGTTTCAAAACTGCTCCATCAGCAGGATTGTTCACCTCTGTGAGTTGAATGTAGTCATCACAGGAAACATTCTGAGAATGCTTCTGTCTAGGTTTGATGTGAAGATATACCCGTTTCGAAGGAAGGCCACAAAGTGGTCCAAATATCCACTTGCAGATTCTACAAAAAGAGTGTTTGAAAGCTGAACTATGAAAGCAAGTTTCAACTCTGTGAGTTGAATGCAAACATCACAAAGAAGTTTCTCAGAATGCTTCCGTGTAGTTCTGGGAAATTTACCCGTTTCCAACGAAATCCTCAGAGAGGTCCAAATATCCACTTGCAGATTCTACAGAAAGTGTGTTTGGAAACTGCTCCATCTAAAGGAATGTTCAGCTCTGTTAGTTCAATCCAATGATCACTAAGAATTGTCTGTGAATGCTTCCGTTTGGTTTTTAGATGAAGTTATTTCCTTTACTACAGTAGGCCTCAAAGCAGTCCAAATCTCCAATCGCAGATTCTACAAAAGATTGTTTACAACCTGCTCTATCTATAGGAATGTTCAACTCTGTGAGTCGAATGCAATCATCACAAAGTAGTTTCTGAGAATGCTTCCATCTAGTTTTTATGTGAAGATTTTCCTTTTCCACCACAAGCCTCAAAGCCCTCCAAATGTCCACTTGCAGATTCTAGAATAAGAGGGTTTCAGGGCTGCTCTGTCAAGAGGAAAGTTCAATTCCTGAAGTGGAACACAAACATCACAAAGCAGTTTCTGAGAATGCTTCTGTTTAGTTTTTCTGTGAAAATGAACCCGTTTCCAACGAAATCTTCACAGAGGTCCACATATCCACTTGCAGAATCCAAAGAAAGAGAGTTTCAAAACTGCTCCATCAGCAGGATTGTTCACCTCTGTGAGTTGAATGCAGTCATCACAGGAAACATTCTGAGAATGCTTCTGTCTAGGTTTGATGTGAAGATATACCCGTTTCGAAGGAAGGCCACAAAGTGGTCCAAATATCCACTTGCAGATTCTACAAAAAGAGTGTTTGAAAGCTGAACTATGAAAGCAAGGTTCAACTCTGTGAGTTGAATGCAAACATCACAAAGAAGTTTCTCAGAATGCTTCCGTGTAGTTCTGGGAAGTTTATCCCGTTTCCAACGAAATCCTCAGAGAAGTCCAAATATCCACTTGCAGATTCTACAGAAAGTGTGTTTGGAAACTGCGCCATCTAAAGGAATGTTCAGCTCTGTTAGTTCAATGCAATGATCACTAAGAATTGTTTGTGAATGCTTCCGTTTGGTTTTTAGATGAAGTTATTTCCTTTACTACAGTAGGCCTCAAAGCAGTCAAAATCTCCAATCGCAGATTCTACAAAAAGATTGTTTACAACCTGCTCTATCTATAGGGATGTTCAACTCTGTGAGTCGAATGCAATCATCACAAAGTAGTTTCTGAGAATGCTTCCATCTAGTTTTTATGTGAAGATTTTCCTTTTGCACCACAGGCCTCAAAGCCCTCCAAATGTCCACTTGCAGATTCTAGAAAAAGAGGGTTTCAGAGCTGCTCTGTCAAGAGGAAAGTTCAATTCTTGAAGTGGAACACAAACATGACAATGCAGTTTCTGAGAATGCTCCTGTTTAGTTTTTCTGTGAAGATGAACCCGTTTCCAACGAAATCTTCACAGAGGTCCACATATCCACTTGCAGAATCCAAAGAAAGAGAGTTTCAAAACTGCTCCATCAGCAGGATTGTTCACCTCTGTGAGTTGAATGCAGTCATCACAGGAAACATTCTGAGAATGCTTCTGTCAAGGTTTGATGTGAAGATATACCCGTTTCGAAGGAAGGCCACAAAGTGGTCCAAATATCCACTTGCAGATTCTACAAAAAGAGTGTTTGAAAGCTGAACCATGAAAGCAAGGTTCAACTCTGTGAGTTGAATGCAAACATCACAAAGAAGTTTCTCAGAATGCTTCCGTGTAGTTCTGGGAAGTTTATCCCGTTTCCAACGAAATCCTCAGAGAAGTCCAAATATCCACTTGCAGATTCTACAGAAAGTGGGTTTGGCAACTGCTCCATCTAAAGGAATGTTCAGCTCTGTTAGTTCAATCCAATGATCACTAAGAATTGTCTGTGAATGCTTCCGTTTGGTTTTTAGATGAAGTTATTTCCTTTACTACAGTAGGACTCAAAGCAGTCCAAATCTCCAATCGCAGATTCTACAAAAAGATTGTTTACAACCTGCTCTATCTATAGGAATGTTCAAACCTGTGAGTCGAATGCAATCATCACAAAGTAGTTTCTGAGAATGCTTCCATCTAGTTTTTATGTGAAGATTTTCCTTTTCCACCACAGGCCTCAAAGCCCTCCAAATGTCCACTTGCAGATTCTAGAATAAGAGGGTTTCAGAGCTGCTCTGTCAAGAGGAAAGTTCAATTCCTGAAGTCGAACACAAACATCACAAAGCAGTTTCTGAGAATGCTCCTGTTTAGTTTTTCTGTGAAGATGAACCCGTTTCCAACGAAATCTTCACAGAGGTCCACATATCCACTTGCAGAATCCAAAGAAAGAGAGTTTCAAAACTGCTCCATCAGCAGGATTGTTCACCTCTGTGAGTTGAATGCAGTCATCACAGGAAACATTCTGAGAATGCTTCTGTCTAGGTTTGATGTGAAGATATACCCGTTTCGAAGGAAGGCCACAAAGTGGTCCAAATATCCACTTGCAGATTCTACATAAAGAGTGTTTGAAAGCTGAACTATGAAAGCAAGGTTCAACTCTGTGAGTTGAATGCAAACTTCCAAAGAAGTTACTCAGAATGCTTCCGTGTAGTTCTGGGAAGTTTATCCCGTTTCCAAAGATATCCTCAGAGAGGTCCAAATATCCACTTGCAGATTCTACAGAAAGTGTGTTTGGAAACTGCGCCATATAAAGGAATGTTCAGCGCTGTTAGTTCAATGCAATGATCACTAAGAATTGTCTGTGAATGCTTCCGTTTGGTTTTGAGGTGAAGTTATTTCCTTTACTACAGTAGGCCTCAAAGCAGTCCAAATCTCCAATCGCAGATTCTACAAAAAGATTGTTTACAACCTTCTCTATCTATAGGAATGTTCAACTCTGTGAGTCGAATGCAATCATCACAAAGTAGTTTCTGAGAATGCTTCCATCTAGTTTTTATGTGAAGATTTTCCATTTCCACCACAGGCCTCAAAGCCCTCCAAATGTCCACTTGCAGATTCTAGAAGAAGAGGGTTTCAGAGCTGCTCTGTCAAGAGGAAAGTTCAATTCTTGAAGTGGAACACAAACATCACAAAGCAGTTTCTGAGAATGCTTCTGTTTTGTTTTTCTGTGAAGATGAACCCGTTTCCAACGAAATCTTCACAGAGGTCCACATATGCACTTGCAGAATCCAAAGAAAGAGAGTTTCAAAACTGCTCCATCAACAGGATTGTTCACCTCTGTGAGTTGAATGCAGTCATCACAGGAAACATTCTGAGAATGCTTCTGTCTAGGTTTGATGTGAAGATATACCCGTTTCGAAGGAAGGCCACAAAGTGGTCCAAATATCCACTTGCAGATTCTACAAAAAGAGTGTTTGAAAGCTGAACTATGAAAGCAAGGTTCAACTCTGTGAGTTGAATGCAAACATCACAAAGAAGTTTCTCACAATGCCTCCCTGTAGTTCTGGGAAGTTTATCCCGTTTCCAACGAAATCCTCAGAGAAGTCCAAATATCCACTTGCAGATTCTACAGAAAGTGGGTTTGGAAACTGCTCCATTTAAAGGAATGTTCAGCTCTGTTAGTTCAATGCAATGATCACTAAGAATTGTCTGTGAATGCTACCGTTTGGTTTTTAGATGAAGTTATTTCCTTTACTACAGTAGGCCTCAAAGCAGTCCAAATCTCCAATCGCAGATTCTACAAAAAGATTGTTTACAACCTGCTCTATCTATAGGAATGTTCAACTCTGTGAGTCGAATGCAATCATCACAAAGTAGTTTCTGAGAATGCTTCCATCTAGTTTTTATGTGAAGATTTTCCTTTTCCACCACAGGCCTCAAAGCCCTCCAAATGTCCACTTGCAGATTCTAGAACAAGAGGGTTTCAGAGCTGCTCTGTCAAGAGGAAAGTTCAATTCTTGAAGTGGAACACAAACATCACAAAGCAGTTTCTGAGAATGCTTCTGTTTAGTTTTTCTGTGAAGATGAACCCGTTTCCAACGAAATCTTCACAGAGGTCCACATATCAACTTGCAGAATCCAAAGAAAGAGAGTTTCAAAAGTGCTCCATCAACAGGATTGTTCACCTCTGTGAGTTGAATGCAGTCATCACAGGAAACATTCTGAGAATGCTTCTGTCTAGGTTTGATGTGAAGATATACCCGTTTCGAAGGAAGGCCACAAAGTGGTCCAAATATCCACTTGCAGATTCTACAAAAAGAGTGCTTGAAAGCTGAACTATGAAAACAAGGTTCAACTCTGTGAGTTGAATGCAAACATCACAAAGAAGTTTCTCACAATGCTTCCGTGTAGTTCTGGGAAGTTTATCCCGTTTCCAACGAAATCCTCAGAGAGGTCCAAATATCCACTTGCAGATTCTACAGAAAGTGTGTATGGAAACTGCGCCATCTAAAGGAATGTTCAGCTCTGTTAGTTCAATCCAATGATCACTAAGAATTGTCTGTGAATGCTTCCGTTTGGTTTTTAGATGAAGTTATTTCCTTTACTACAGTAGGCCTCAAAGCAGTCGAAATCTCCAATCGCAGATTCTACAAAAAGATTGTTTACAACCTGCTCTATCTATAGGAATGTTCAACTCTGTGAGTCGAATGCAATCATCACAAAGTAGTTTCTGAGAATGCTTCCATCTAGTTTTTATGTGAAGATTTTCCTTTTCCACCACAGGCCTCAAAGCCCTCCAAATGTCCACTTGCAGATTCTAGAAAAAGAGGGTTTCAGAGCTGCTCTGTCAAGAGGAAAGTTCAATTCTTGAAGTGGAACACAAACATCACAAAGTAGTTTCTGAGAATGCTCCTGTTTAGTTTTTCTGTGAAGATGAACCCGTTTCCAACGAAATCTTCACAGAGGTCCACATATCCACTTGCAGAATCCAAAGAAAGAGAGTTTCAAAACTGCTCCATCAACAGGATTGTTCACCTCTGTGAGTTGAATGCAGTCATCACAGGAAACATTCTGAAAATGCTTCTGTCTAGGTTTGATGTGAAGATATACCCGTTTCGAAGGAAGGCCACAAAGTGGTCCAAATATCCACTTGCAGATTCTACAAAAAGAGTGTTTGAAAGCTGAACTATGAAAGCAAGGTTCAACTCTGTGAGTTGAATGCAAACATCACAAAGAAGTTTCTCAGAATGCTTCCGTGTAGTTCTGGGAAGTTTATCCCGTTTCCAACGAAATCCTCAGAGAAGTCCAAATATCCACTTGCAGATTCTACAGAAGTGGGTTTGGAAACTGCTCCATCTAAAGGAATGTTCAGCTCTGTTAGTTCAATCCAATGATCACTAAGAATTGTCTGTGAATGCTTCCGTTTAGTTTTTAGATGAAGTTATTTCCTTTACTACAGTAGGCCTCAAAGCAGTCCAAATCTCCAATCGCAGATTCTACAAAAAGATTGTTTACAACCTGCTCTATCTATAGGAATGTTCAACTCTGTGAGTCGAATGCAATCATCACAAAGTAGTTTCTGAGAATGCTTTCGTCTAGTTTTTATGTGAAGATTTTCCTTTTCCACCACAGGCCTCAAAGCCCTTCAAATGTCCACTTGCAGATTCTAGAATAAGAGGGTTTCAGAGCTGCTCTGTCAAGAGGAAAGTTCAATTCCTGAAGTGGAACACAAACATAACAAAGCAGTTTCTGAGAATGCTCCTGTTAATTTTTCTGTGAAGATGAACCCGTTTCCAACGAAATCTTCACAGAGGTCCACATATCCACTTGCAGAATCCAAAGAAAGAGAGTTTCAAAACTGCTCCATCAGCAGGATTGTTCACCTCTGTGAGTTGAATGCAGTCATCACAGGAAACATTCTGAGAATGCTTCTGTCTAGGTTTGATGTGAAGATATACCCGTTTCGAAGGAAGGCCACAAAGTGGTCCAAATATCCACTTGCAGATTCTACAAAAAGAGTGTTTGAAAGCTGAACTATGAAAGCAAGGTTCAACTCTGTGAGTTGAATGCAAACATCACAAAGAAGTTTCTCAGAATGCTTCCGTGTAGTTCTGGGAAGTTTATCCCGTTTCCAACGAAATCCTCAGAGAGGTCCAAATATCCACTTGCAGATTCTACAGAAAGTGTGTTTGGAAACTGCGCCATCTGAAGGAATGTTCAGCTCTGTTAGTTCAATGCAATGATCACTAAGAATTGTCTGTGAATGCTTCCGTTTGGTTTTTAGATGAAGTTATTTCCTTTACTACAGTAGGCCTCAAAGCAGTCCAAATCTCCAATCGCAGATTCTACAAAAAGATTGTTTACAACCTGCTCTATCTATAGGAATGTTCAACTCTGTGAGTCGAATGCAATCATCACAAAGTAGTTTCTGAGAATGCTTCCATCTAGTTTTTATGTGAAGATTTTCCTTTTCCACCACAGGCGTCAAAGCCCTCCAAATGTCCACTTGCAGATTCTAGAAAAAGAGGGTTTCAGAGCTGCTCTGTCAAGAGGAAAGTTGAATTGTTGAAGTGGAACACAAACATCACAAAGTAGTTTCTGAGAATGCTTCTGTTTAGTTTTTCTGTGAAGATGAACCCGTTTCCAACGAAATCTTCACAGAGGTCCACATATCAACTTGCAGAATCCAAAGAAAGAGAGTTTCAAAAGTGCCCCATCAACAGGATTGTTCACCTCTGTGAGTTGAATGCAGTCATTACAGGAAACATTCTGAGAATGCTTCTGTCTAGGTTTGATGTGAAGATATACCCGTTTCGAAGGAAGGCCACAAAGTGGTCCAAATATCCACTTGCAGATTCTACAAAAAGAGTGTTTGAAAGCTGAACTATGAAAGCAAGGTTCAACTCTGTGAGTTGAATGCAAACATCACAAAGAAGTTTCTCAGAATGCTTCCGTGTAGTTCTGGGAAGTTTATCCCGTTTCCAACGAAATCCTCAGAGAAGTCCAAATATCCACTTGCAGATTCTACAGAAAGTGTGTTTGGAAAATGCTCCATCTAAAGGAATGTTCAGCTCTGTTAGTTCAATCCAATGATCACTAAGAATTGTCTGTGAATGCTTCCGTTTGGTTTTTAGATGAAGTTATTTCCTTTACTACAGTAGGCCTCAAAGCAGTCCAAATCTCCAATCGCAGATTCTACAAAAAGATTGTTTACAACCTGCTCTATGTATAGGAATGTTCAACTCTGTGAGTCGAATGCAATCATCACAAAGTAGTTTCTGAGAATGCTTCCATCTAGTTTTTATGTGAAGATTTTCCTTTTCCACCACAGGCCTCAAAGCCCTCCAAATGTCCACTTGCAGATTCTAGAAAAAGAGGGTTTCAGAGCTGCTCTGTCAAGAGGAAAGTTCAATTCTTGAAGTGGAACACAAACATCACAAAGCAGTTTCTGAGAATGTTTCTGTTTAGTTTTTCTGTGAACATGAAACCGTTTCCAACGAAATCTTCACAGAGGTCCACATATCAACTTGCAGAATCCAAAGAAAGAGAGTTTCAAAACTGCTCCATCAACAGGATTGTTCACCTCTGTGAGTTGAATGCAGTCATCACAGGAAACATTCTGAGAATGCTTCTGTCTAGGTTTGATGTGAAGATATACCCGTTTCGAAGGAAGGCCACAAAGTGGTCCAAATATCCACTTGCAGATTCTACAAAAAGAGTGTTTGAAAGCTGAACTATGAAAGCAAGGTTCAACTCTGTGAGTTGAATGCAAACATCACAAAGAAGTTTCTCACAATGCTTCCGTGTAGTTCTGGGAAGTATATCCCGTTTCCAACGAAATCCTCAGAGAAGTCCAAATATCCACTTGCAGATTCTACAGAAAGTGTGTTTGGAAAATGCTCCATCTAAAGGAATGTTCAGCTCTGTTAGTTCAATGCAATGATCACTAAGAATTGTCTGTGAATGCTTCCGTTTGGTTTTTAGATGAAGTTATTTCCTTTACTACAGTAGGCCTCAAAGCAGTCCAAATCTCCAATCGCAGATTCTACAAAAAGATTGTTTACAACCTGCTCTATCTATAGGAATGTTCAACTCTGTGAGTCGAATGCAATCATCACAAAGTAGTTTCTGAGAATGCTTCCATCTAGTTTTTATGGGAAGATTTTCCTTTTCCACCACAGGCCTCAAAGCCCTCCAAATGTCCACTTGCAGATTCTAGAAAAAGAGGGTTTCAGAGCTGCTCTGTCAAGAGGAAAGTTCAATTGCTTGAAGTGGAACACAAACATCACAAAGCAGTTTCTGAGAATGCTCCTGTTTAGTTTTTCTGTGAAGATGAACCCGTTTCCAACGAAATCTTCACAGAGGTCCACATATCCACTTGTAGAATCCAAAGAAAGAGAGTTTCAAAACTGCTCCATCAGCAGGATTGTTCACCTCTGTGAGTTGAATGCAGTCATCACAGGAAACATTCTGAGAATGCTTCTGTCTAGGTTTGATGTGAAGATATACCCGTTTCGAAGGAAGGCCACAAAGTGGTCCAAATATCCACTTGCAGATTCTACAAAAAGAGTGTTTGAAAGCTGAACTATGAAAGCAAGGTTCAACTCTGTGAGTTGAATGCAAACATCACAAAGAAGTTTCTCACAATGCTTCCGTGTAGTTCTGGGAAGTTTATCCCGTTTCCAACGAAATCCTCACAGAGGTCCAAATATCCACTTGCAGATTCTACAGAAAGTGTGTTTGGAAACTGCTCCATCTAAAGGAATGTTCAGCTCTGTTAGTTCAATGCAATTATCACTAAGAATTGTCTGTGAATGCTTCCGTTTGGTTTTTAGATGAAGTTATTTCCTTTACTACAGTAGGCCTCAAAGCAGTCCAAATCTCCAATCGCAGATTCTACAAAAAGATTGTTTACAACCTGCTCTATCTATAGGAATGTTCAACTCTGTGAGTCGAATGCAATCATCACAAAGTAGTTTCTGAGAATGCTTCCATCTAGTTTTTATGTGAAGATTTTCCTTTTCCACCACAGGCCTCAAAGCCCTCCAAATGTCCACTTGCAGATTCTAGAAAAAGAGGGTTTCAGAGCTGCTCTATCAAGAGGAAAGTTCAATTCTTGAAGTGGAACACAAACATCACAAAGCAGTTTCTGAGAATGCTTCTGTTTAGTTTTTCTGTGAAGATGAACCCGTTTCCAACGAAATCTTCACAGAGGTCCACATATCAACTTGCAGAATCCAAAGAAAGAGAGTTTCAAAACTGCTCCATCAACAGGATTGTTCACCTCTGTGAGTTGAATGCAGTCATCACAGGAAACATTCTGAGAATGCTTCTGTCTAGGTTTGATGTGAAGATATACCCGTTTCGAAGGAAGGCCAGAAAGTGGTCCAAATATCCACTTGCAGATTCTACAAAAAGAGTGTTTGAAAGCTGAACTATGAAAGCAAGGTTCAACTCTGTGAGTTGAATGCAAACATCACAAAGAAGTTTCTCAGAATGCTTCCGTGTAGTTCTGGGAAGTTTATCCCGTTTCCAACGAAATCCTCAGAGAAGTCCAAATATCCACTTGCAGATTCTACAGAAAGTGTGTTTGGAAACTGCGCCATCTAAACTAATGTTCAGCTCTGTTAGTTCAATCCAATGATCACTAAGAATTGTCTTTGAATACCTCCGTTTGGTTTTTAGATGAAGTTATTTCCTTTACTACAGTAGGCCTCAAAGCAGTCCAAATCTCCAATCGCAGATTCTACAAAAAGATTGTTTACAACCTGCTCTATCTATAGGAATGTTCAACTCTGTGAGTCGAATGCAATCATCACAAAGTAGTTTCTGAGAATGCTTCCATCTAGTTTTTATGTGAAGATTTTCCTTTTCCACCACAGGCCTCAAAGCCCTTCAAATGTCCACTTGCAGATTTTAGAATAAGAGGGTTTCAGAGCTGCTCTGTCAAGAGGAAAGTTCAATTCCTGAAGTGGAACACAAACATCACAAAGCAGTTTCTGAGAATGTTTCTGTTTAGTTTTTCTGTGAAGATGAACCCGTTTCCAACGAAATCTTCACAGAGGGCCACATATCCACTTGCAGAATCCAAAGAAAGAGAGTTTCAAAACTGCTCCATCAGCAGGATTGTTCACCTCTGTGAGTTGAATGCAGTCATCACAGGAAACATTCTGAGAATGCTTCTGTCTACGTTTGATGTGAAGATATACCCGTTTCGAAGGAAGGCCACAAAGTGGTCCAAATATCCACTTGCAGATTCTACAAAAAGAGTGTTTGAAAGCTGAACTATGAAAGCAAGGTTCAACTCTGTGAGTTGAATGCAAACATCACAGAGAAGTTTCTCAGAATGCTTCCGTGTAGTTCTGGGAAGTTTATCCCGTTTCCAACGAAATCCTCAGAGAAGTCCAAATATCCACTTGCAGATTCTACAGAAAGTGTGTTTGGAAACTGCTCCATCTAAAGGAATGTTCAGCTCTGTTAGTTCAATGCAATGATCACTAAGAATTATCTGTGAATGCTTCCGTTTGGTTTTTAGATGAAGTTATTTCCTTTACTACAGTAGGCCTCAAAGCAGTCCAAATCTCCAATCGCAGATTCTACAAAAAGATTGTTTACAACCTGCTCTATCTATAGGAATGTTCAACTCTGTGAGTCGAATGCAATCATCACAAAGTAGTTTCTGAGAATGCTTCCATCTAGTTTTTATGTGAAGATTTTCCTTTTCCACCACAGGCCTCAAAGCCCTCCAAATGTCCACTTGCAGATTCTAGAAAAAGAGGGTTTCAGAGCTGCTCTGCCAAGAGGAAAGTTCAATTCCTGAAGTGGAACACAAACATCACAAAGCAGTTTCTGAGAATGCTCCTGTTTAGTTTTTCTGTGAAGATGAACCCGTTTCCAACGAAATCTTCACAGAGGTCCACATATCCACTTGCAGAATCCAAAGAAAGAGAGTTTCAAAACTGCTCCATCAGCAGGATTGTTCACCTCTGTGAGTTGAATGCAGTCATCACAGGAAACATTCTGAGAATGCTTCTGTCTAGGTTTGATGTGAAGATATACCCGTTTCGAAGGAAGGCCACAAAGTGGTCCAAATATCCACTTGCAGATTCTACAAAAAGAGTGTTTGAAAGCTGAACTATGAAAGCAAGGTTCAACTCTGTGAGTTGAATGCAAACATCACAAAGAAGTTTCTCAGAATACTTCCGTGTAGTTCTGGGAAGTTTATCCCGTTTCCAACGAAATCCTCAGAGAGGTCCAAATATCCACTTGCAGATTCTACAGAAAGTATGTTTGGAAACTGCTCCATCTAAAGGAATGTTCAGCTCTGTTAGTTCAATCCAATGATCACTAAGAATTGTCTGTGAATGCTTCCGTTTGGATTTTAGATAAAGTTATTTACCTTACTACAGTAGGCCTCAAATCAGTCAAAATCTCCAATCGCAGATTCTACAAAAAGATTGTTTACAACCTGCTCTATCTATAGGAATGTTCAACTCTGTGAGTCGAATGCGATCATCACAAAGTAGTTTCTGAGAATGCTTCCATCTAGTTTTTATGCGAAGATTTTCCTTTTCCACCACAGGCCTCAAAGCCCTCCAAATGTCCACTTGCAGATTCTAGAATAAGAGGGTTTCAGAGCTGCTCTGTCAAGAGGAAAGTTCAATTCCTGAAGTCGAACACAAACATCACAAAGCAGTTTCTGAGAATGCTCCTGTTTAGTTTTTCTGTGAAGATGAACCCGTTTCCAACGAAATCTTCACAGAGGTTCACATATGCACTTGCAGAATCCAAAGAAAGAGAGTTTCAAAACTGCTCCATCAGCAGGATTGTTCACCTCTGTGAGTTGAATGCAGTCATCACAGGAAACATTCTGAGAATGCTTCTGTCTAGGTTTGATGTGAAGATATACCCGTTTCGAAGGAAGGCCACAAAGTGGTCCAAATATCCACTTGCAGATTCTACAAAAAGAGTGTTTGAAAGCTGAACTATGAAAGCAAGGTTCAACTCTGTGAGTTGAATGCAAACATCACAAAGAAGTTTCTCAGAATGCTTCCGTGTAGTTCTGGGAAGTTTATCCCGTTTCCAACGAAATCCTCAGAGAAGTCCAAATATCCACTTGCAGATTCTACAGAAAGTGTGTTTGCAAACTGCTCCATCTAAAGGAATGTTCAGCTCTGTTAGTTCAATCCAATGATCACTAAGAATTGTCTGTGAATGCTTCCGTTTGGTTTTTAGATGAAGTTATTTCCTTTACTACAGTATGCCTCAAAGCAGTCCAAATCTCCAATCGCAGATTCTACAAAAAGATTGTTTACAACCTGCTCTATCTATAGGAATGTTCAAATCTGTGAGTCGAATGCAATCATCACAAAGTAGTTTCTGAGAATGCTCCATCTAGTTTTTATGTGAAGATTTTCCTTTTCCACCACAGGCCTCAAAGCCCTCCAAATGTCCACTTGCAGATTCTAGAAAAAGAGGGTTTCAGAGCTGCTCTGTCAAGAGGAAAGTTCAATTCTTGAAGTGGAACACAAACATCACAAAGCAGTTTCTGAGAATGCTCTGTGTTTAGTTTTTCTGTGAAGATGAACCCGTTTCCAACGAAATCTTCACAGAGGTCCACATATCCACTTGCAGAATCCAAAGAAGGAGAGTTTCAAAACTGCTCCATCAGCAGGATTGTTCACCTCTGTGAGTTGAATGCAGTCATCACAGGAAACATTCTGAGAATGCTTCTGTCTAGGTTTGATGTGAAGATATACCCGTTTCGAAGGAAGGCCACAAAGTGGTCCAAATATCCACTTGCAGATTCTACAAAAAGAGGGTTTGAAAGCTGAACTATGAAAGCAAGGTTCAACTCTGTGAGTTGAATGCAAACATCACAAAGAAGTTTCTCAGAATGCTTCCGTGTAGTTCTGGGAAGTTTATCCCGTTTCCAACGAAATCCTCAGAGAGGTCCAAATATCCACTTGCAGATTCTACAGAAAGTGTGTTTGGAAACTGCTCCATCTAAAGGAATGTTCAGCTCTGTTAGTTCAATCCAATGATCACTAAGAATTGTCTGTGAATGCTTCCGTTTGGTTTTTAGATGAAGTTATTTCCTTTACTACAGTAGGCCTCAAAGCAGTCCAAATCTCCAATCGCAGATTCTACAAAAAGATTGTTTACAACCTGCTCTATCTATAGGAATGTTCAACTCTGTGAGTCGAATGCAATCATCACAAAGTAGTTTCTGAGAATGCTTCCATCTAGTTTTTATGTGAAGATTTTCCTTTTCCACCACAGGCCTCAAAGCCCTCCAAATGTCCACTTGCAGATTCTAGAATAAGAGGGTTTCAGAGCTGCTCTGTCAAGAGGAAAGTTCAATTCCTGAAGTGGAACACAAACATCACAAAGCAGTTTCTGAGAATGCTTCTGTTTAGTTTTTCTGTGAAGATGAACCCGTTTCCAACGAAATCTTCACAGAGGTCCACATATCCACTTGCAGAATCCAAAGAAAGAGAGTTTCAAAACTGCTCCATCAGCAGGATTGTTCACCTCTGTGAGTTGAATGCAGTCATCACAGGAAACATTCTGAGAATGCTTCTGTCTAGGTTTGATGTGAAGATATACCCGTTTCGAAGGAAGGCCACAAAGTGGTCCAAATATCCACTTGCAGATTCTACAAAAAGAGTGTTTGAAAGCTGAACTATGAAAGCAAGGTTCAACTCTGTGAGTTGAATGCAAACATCACAAAGAAGTTTCTCAGAATGCTTCCGTGTAGTTCTGGGAAGTTTATCCCGTTTCCAACGAAATCCTCAGAGAAGTCCAAATATCCACTTGCAGATTCTACAGAAAGTGTGTTTGGAAACTGCGCCATCTAAAGGAATGTTCAGCTCTGTTAGTTCAATGCAATGATCACTAAGAATTGTCTGTGAATGCTTCCGTTTGGTTTTTAGATGAAGTTATTTCCTTTACTACAGTAGGCCTCAAAGCAGTCCAAATCTCCAATCGCAGATTCTACAAAAAGATTGTTTACAACCTGCTCTATCTATAGGAATGTTCAACTCTGTGAGTCGAATGCAATCATCACAAAGTAGTTTCTGAGAATGCTTCCATCTAGTTTTTATGTGAAGATTTTCCTTTTCCACCACAGGCCTCAAAGCCCTCCAAATGTCCACTTGCAGATTCTAGAATAAGAGGGTTTCAGAGCTGCTCTGTCAAGAGGAAAGTTCAATTCCTGAAGTGGAACACAAACATCACAAAGCAGTTTCTGAGAATGCTCCTGTATAGTTTTCCTGTGAAGATGAACCCGTTTCCAACGAAATCTTCACAGAGGTCCACATATCCACTTGCAGAATCCAAAGAAAGAGAGTTTCAAAACTGCTCCATCAACAGGATTGTTCACCTCTGTGAGTTGAATGCAGTCATCAAAGGAAACATTCTGAGAATGCTTCTGTCTAGGTTTGATGTGAAGATATACCCGTTTCGAAGGAAGGCCACAAAGTGGTCCAAATATCCACTTGCAGATTCTACAAAAAGAGTGTTTGAAAGCTGAACTATGAAAGCAAGGTTCAACTCTGTGAGTTGAATGCAAACATCACAAAGAAGTTTCTCAGAATACTTCCGTGTAGTTCTGGGAAGTTTATCCCGTTTCCAACGAAATCCTCAGAGAGGTCCAAATATCCACTTGCAGATTCTACAGAAAGTGTGTTTGGAAACTGCGCCATCTAAGGGAATGTTCAGCTCTGTTAGTTCAATCCAATGATCACTAAGAATTGTCTGTGAATGCCTCCGTTTGGTTTTTAGATGAAGTTATTTCCTTTACTACAGTAGGCCTCAAAGCAGTCCAAATTTCCAATCGCAGATTCTACAAAAAGATTGTTTACAACCTGCTCTATCTATAGGAATGTTCAACTCTGTGAGTCGAATGCAATCATCACAAAGTAGTTTCTGAGAATGCTTCCATCTAGTTTTTATGTGAAGATTTTCCTTTTCCACCACAGGCCTCAAAGCCCTCCAAATGTCCACTTGCAGATTCTAGAAAAAGAGGGTTTCAGAGCTGCTCTGTCAAGAGGAAAGTTCAATTCTTGAAGTGGAACACAAACATCACAAAGCAGTTTCTGAGAATGCTTCTGTTTAGTTTTTCTGTGAAGATGAACCCGTTTCCAACGAAATCTTCACAGAGGTCCACATATCAACTTGCAGAATCCAAAGAAAGAGAGTTTCAAAACTGCTCCATCAACAGGATTGTTCACCTCTGTGAGTTGAATGCAGTCATCACAGGAAACATTCTGAGAATGCTTCTGTCTAGGTTTGATGTGAAGATATACCCGTTTCGAAGGAAGGCCACAAAGTGGTCCAAATATCCACTTGCAGATTCTACAAAAAGAGTGTTTGAAAGCTGAACTATGAAAGCAAGGTTCAACTCTGTGATTTGAATGCAAACATCACAAAGAAGTTTCTCACAATGCTTCCGTGTAGTTCTGGGAAGTTTATCCCGTTTCCAACGAAATCCTCAGAGAAGTCCAAATATCCACTTGCAGATTCTACAGAAAGTGTGTTTGGAAACTGCTCCATCTAAAGGAATGTTCAGCTCTGTTAGTTCAATCCAATGATCACTAAGAATTGTCTGTGAATGTTTCCGTTTGGTTTTTAGATGAAGTTATTTCCTTTACTACAGTAGGCCTCAAAGCAGTCCAAATCTCCAATCGCAGATTCTACAAAAAGATTGTTTACAACCTGCTCTATCTATAGGAATGTTCAACTCTGTGAGTCGAATGCAATCATCACAAAGTAGTTTCTGAGAATGCTTCCATCTAGTTTTTATGTGAAGATTTTCCTTTTCCACCACAGGCCTCAAAGCCCTCCAAATGTCCACTTGCAGATTCTAGAATAAGAGGGTTTCAGAGCTGCTCTGTCAAGAGGAAAGTTCAATTCCTGAAGTGGAACACAAACATCACAAAGCAGTTTCTGAGAATGCTTCTGTTTAGTTTTTCTGTGAAGATGAACCCGTTTCCAACGAAATCTTCACAGAGGTCCACATATCAACTTGCAGAATCCAAAGAAAGAGAGTTTCAAAACTGCTCCATCAGCAGGATTGTTCACCTCTGTGAGTTGAATGCAGTCATCACAGGAAACATTCTGAGAATGCTTCTGTCTAGGTTTGATGTGAAGATATACCCGTTTCGAAGGAAGGCCACAAAGTGGTCCAAATATCCACTTGCAGATTCTACAAAAAGAGTGTTTGAAAGCTGAACTATGAAAGCAAGGTTCAACTCTGTGAGTTGAATGCAAACATCACAAAGAAGTTTCTCAGAATGCTTCCGTGTAGTTCTGGGAAGTTTATCCCGTTTCCAACGAAATCCTCAGAGAAGTCCAAATATCCACTTGCAGATTCTACAGAAAGTGTGTTTGGAAACTGCTCCATCTAAAGGAATGTTCAGCTCTGTTAGTTCAATGCAATGATCACTAAGAATTGTCTGTGAATGCTTCCGTTTGGTTTTTAGATGAAGTTATTTCCTTTACTACAGTAGGCCTCAAAGCAGTCCAAATCTCCAATCGCAGATTCTACAAAAAGATTGTTTACAACCTGCTCTATGTATAGGAATGTTCAACTCTGTGAGTCGAATGCAATCATCACAAAGTAGTTTCTGAGAATGCTTCCATCTAGTTTTTATGTGAAGATTTTCCTTTTCCACCACAGGCCTCAAAGCCCTCCAAATGTCCACTTGCAGATTCTAGAAAAAGAGGGTTTCAGAGCTGCTCTGTCAAGAGGAAAGTTCAATTCTTGAAGTGGAACACAAACATCACAAAGCAGTTTCTGAGAATGCTCCTGTTTAGTTTTTCTGTGAAGATGAACCCGTTTCCAACGAAATCTTCACAGAGGTCCACATATCCACTTGCAGAATCCAAAGAAAGAGAGTTTCAAAACTGCTCCATCAGCAGGATTGTTCACCTCTGTGAGTTGAATGCAGTCATCACAGGAAACATTCTGAGAATGCTTCTGTCTAGGTTTGATGTGAAGATATACCCGTTTCGAAGGAAGGCCACAAAGTGGTCCAAATATCCACTTGCAGATTCTACAAAAAGAGTGTTTGAAAGCTGAACTATGAAAGCAAGGTTCAACTCTGTGAGTTGAATGCAAACATCACAAAGAAATTTCTCACAATGCTTCCGTGTAGTTCTGGGAAGTTTATCCCGTTTCCAACGAAATCCTCAGAGAGGTCCAAATATCCACTTGCAGATTCTACAGAAAGTGTGTTTGGAAACTGCGCCATCTAAAGGAATGTTCAGCTCTGTTAGTTCAATGCAATGATCACTAAGAATTGTCTGTGAATGCTTCCGTTTGGTTTTTAGATGAAGTTATTTCCTTTACTACAGTAGGCCTCAAAGCAGTCCAAATTTCCAATCGCAGATTCTACAAAAAGATTGTTTACAACCTGCTCTATCTATAGGAATGTTCAACTCTGTGAGTCGAATGCAATCATCACAAAGTAGTTTCTGAGAATGCTTCCATCTAGTTTTTATGTGAAGATTTTCCTTTTCCACCACAGGCCTCAAAGCCCTCCAAATGTCCACTTGCAGATTCTAGAAAAAGAGGGTTTCAGAGCTGCTCTGTCAAGAGGAAAGTTCAATTCTTGAAGTGGAACACAAACATCACAAAGCAGTTTCTGAGAATGCTCCTGTTTAGTTTTTCTGTGAAGATGAACCCGTTTCCAACGAAATCTTCACAGAGGTCCACATATCCACTTGCAGAATCCAAAGAAAGAGAGTTTCAAAACTGCTCCATCAGCAGGATTGTTCACCTCTGTGAGTTGAATGCAGTCATCACAGGAAACATTCTGAGAATGCTTCTGTCTAGGTTTGATGTGAAGATATACCCGTTTCGAAGGAAGGCCACAAAGTGGTCCAAATATCCACTTGCAGATTCCACAAAAAGAGTGTTTGAAAGCTGAACTATGAAAGCAAGGTTCAACTCTGTGAGTTGAATGCAAACATCACAAAGAAGTTTCTCAGAATGCTTCCGTGTAGTTCTGGGAAGTTTATCCCGTTTCCAACGAAATCCTCAGAGAAGTCCAAATATCCACTTGCAGATTCTACAGAAAGTGTGTTTGGAAACTGCGCGATCTAAAGGAATGTTCAGCTCTGTTAGTTCAATCCAATGATCACTAAGAATTGTCTGTGAATGCTTCCGTTTGGTTTTTAGATGAAGTTATTTCCTTTACTACAGTAGGCCTCAAAGCAGTCCAAATCTCCAATCGCAGATTCTACCAAAAGGTTGTTTACAACCTGCTCTATCTATAGGAATGTTCAACTCTGTGAGTCGAATGCAATCATCACAAAGTAGTTTCTGAGAATGCTTCCATCTAGTTTTTATGTGAAGATTTTTCTTTTCCACCACAGGCCTCAAATCCCTCCAAATGTCCACTTGCAGATTCTAGAAAAAGAGGGTTTCAGAGCTGCTCTGTCAAGAGGAAAGTTCAATTCTTGGAGTGGAACACAAACATCACAAAGCAGTTTCTGAGAATGCTTCTTTTTAGTTTTTCTGTGAAGATGAACCCGTTTCCAACGAAATCTTCACAGAGGTCCACATATCCACTTGCAGAATCCAAAGAAAGAGAGTTTCAAAACTACTCCATCAGCAGGATTGTTCACCTCTGTGAGTTGAATGCAGTCATCACAGGAAACATTCTGAGAATGCTTCTGTCTAGGTTTGATGTGAAGATATACCCGTTTCGAAGGAAGGCCAGAAAGTGGTCCAAATATCCACTTGCAGATTCTACAAAAAGAGTGTTTGAAAGCTGAACTATGAAAGCAAGGTTCAACTCTGTGAGTTGAATGCAAACATCACAAAGAAGTTTCTCAGAATGCTTCCGTGTAGTTCTGGGAAGTTTATCCCGTTTCCAACGAAATCCTCAGAGAAGTCCAAATATCCACTTGCAGATTCTACAGAAAGTGGGTTTGGAAACTACTCCATCTAAAGGAATGTTCAGCTCTGTTAGTTCAATCCAATGATCACTAAGAATTGTCTGTGAATGCTTCCGTTTGGTTTTTAGATGAAGTTATTTCCTTTACTACAGTAGGCCTCAAAGCAGTCCAAATCTCCAATCGCAGATTCTACAAAAAGATTGTTTACAACCTGCTCTATCTATAGGAATGTTCAACTCTGTGAGTCGAATGCAATAATCACAAAATAGTTTCTGAGAATGCTTCCATCTAGTTTTTATGTGAAGATTTTCCTTTTCCACCACAGGCCTCAAAGCCCTCCAAATGTCCACTTGCAGATTCTAGAAAAAGAGGGTTTCAGAGCTGCTCTGTCAAGAGGAAAGTTCAATTCTTGAAGTGGAACACAAACATCACAAAGCAGTTTCTGAGAATGCTCCTGTTTAGTTTTTCTGTGAAGATGAACCCGTTTCCAACGATATCTTCACAGAGGTCCACATATCCAGCTGCAGAATCCAAAGAAAGAGAGTTTCAAAACTGCTCCATCAGCAGGATTGTTCACCTCTGTGAGTTGAATGTAGTCATCACAGGAAACATTCTGAGAATGCTTCTGTCTAGGTTTGATGTGAAGATATACCCGTTTCGAAGGAAGGCCACAAAGTGGTCCAAATATCCACTTGCAGATTCTATAAAAAGAGTGTTTGAAAGCTGAACTATGAAAGCAAGGTTCAACTCTGTGTGTTGAATGCAAACATCACAAAGAAGTTTCTCACAATGCTTCCGTGTAGTTCTGGGAAGTTTATCCCGTTTCCAACGAAATCCTCAGAGAGGTCCAAATATCCACTTGCAGATTCTACAGAAAGTGTGTTTGGAAACTGCGCCATCTAAAGGAATGTTCAGCTCGGTTAGTTCAATCCAATGATCACTAAGGATTGTCTGTGAATGCTTCCGTTTGGTTTTTAGATGAAGTTATTTCCTTTACTACAGTAGGCCTCAAAGCAGTCCAAATCTCCAATCGCAGATTCTACAAGAAGATTGTTTACAACCTGCTCTATCTATAGGAATGTTCAACTCTGTGAGTCGAATGCAATCATCACAAAGTAGTTTCTGAGAATGCTTCCATCTAGTTTTTATGTGAAGATTTTCATTTTCCACCACAGGCCTCAAAGCCCTCCAAATGTCCACTTGCAGATTCTAGAAAACGAGGGTTTCAGAGCTGCTCTGTCAAGAGGAAAGTTCAATTCCTGAAGTGGAACACAAACATCACAAAGCAGTTTCTGAGAATGCTTCTGTTTAGTTTTTCTGTGAAGATAAACCCGTTTCCAATGAAATCTTCACAGAGGTCCACATATCCACTTGCAGAATCCAAAGAAAGAGAGTTTCAAAACTGCTCCATCAGCAGGATTGTTCACCTCTGTGAGTTGAATGCAGTCATCACAGGAAACATTCTGAGAATGCTTCTGTCTAGGTTTGATGTGAAGATATACCCGTTTCGAAGGAAGGCCACAAAGTGGTCCAAATATCCACTTGCAGATTCTACAAAAAGAGTGTTTGAAAGCTGAACTATGAAAGCAAGGTTCAACTCTGTGAGTTGAATGCAAACATCACAAAGAAGTTTCTCAGAATGCTTCCGTGTAGTTCTGGGAAGTTTATCCCGTTTCCAACGAAATCCTCAGAGAGGTCCAAATATCCACTTGCAGATTCTACAGAAAGTGTGTTTGGAAACTGCGCCATCTAAGGGAATGTTCAGCTCTGTTAGTTCAATCCAATGATCACTAAGAATTGTCTGTGAATGCTTCCGTTTGGTTTTTAGATGAAGTTATTTCGTTTACTACAGTAGGCCTCAAAGCAGTCCAAATCTCCAATCGCAGATTCTACAAAAAGATTGTTTACAACCTGCTCTATCTATAGGAATGTTCAACTCTGTGAGTCGAATGCAATCATCACAAAGTAGTTTCTGAGAATGCTTCCATCTAGTTTTTATGTGAAGATTTTCCTTTTCCACCACAGGCCTCAAAGCCCTCCAAATGTCCACTTGCAGATTCTAGAATAAGAGGGTTTCAGAGCTGCTCTGTCAAGAGGAAAGTACAATTCCTGAAGTGGAACACAAACATCACAAAGCAGTTTCTGAGAATGCTTCTGTTTAGTTTTTCTGTGAAGATGAACCCGTTTCCAACGAAATCTTCACAGAGGTCCACATATCCACTTGCAGAATCCAAAGAAAGAGAGTTTCAAAACTGCTCCATCAGCAGGATTGTTCACCTCTGTGAGTTGAATGCAGTCATCACAGGAAACATTCTGAGAATGCTTCTGTCTAGGTTTGATGTGAAGATATACCCGTTTCGAAGGAAGGCCTCAAAGTGGTCCAAATATCCACTTGCAGATTCTACAAAAAGAGTGTTTGAAAGCTGAACTATGAAAGCAAGGTTCAACTCTGTGAGTTGAATGCAAACATCACAAAGAAGTTTCTCAGAATGCTTCCGTGTAGTTCTGGGAAGTTTATCCCGTTTCCAACGAAATCCTCAGAGAAGTCCAAATATCCACTTGCAGATTCTACAGAAAGTGTGTTTGGAAACTGCGCCGTCTAAAGCAATGTTCAGCTCTGTTAGTTCAATGCAATGATCACTAAGAATTGTCTGTGAATGCTTCCGTTTGGTTTTTAGATGAAGTTATTTCCTTTACTACAGTAGGCCTCAAAGCAGTCCAAATCTCCAATCGCAGATTCTACAAAAAGATTGTTTACAACCTGCTCTATCTATAGGAATGTTCAACTCTGTGAGTCGAATGCAATCATCACAAAGTAGTTTCTGAGAATGCTTCCATCTAGTTTTTATGTGAAGATTTTCCTTTTCCACCACAGGCCTCAAAGCCCTCCAAATGTCCACTTGCAGATTCTAGAAAAAGAGGGTTTCAGAGCTGCTCTGTCAAGAGGAAAGTTCAATTCTTGAAGTGGAACACAAACATCACAAAGCAGTTTCTGAGAATGTTTCTGTTTAGTTTTTCTGTGAAAATGAACCCGTTTCCAACGAAATCTTCACAGAGGTCCACACATCCACTTGCAGAATCCAAAGGAAGAGAGATTCAAAACTGCTCCATCAACAGGATTGTTCACCTCTGTGAGTTGAATGCAGTCATCACAGGAAACATTCTGAGAATGCTTCTGTCTAGGTTTGATGTGAAGATATACCCGTTTCGAAGGAAGGCCACAAAGTGGTCCAAATATCCACTTGCAGATTCTACAAAAAGAGTGTTTGAAAGCTGAACTATGAAAGCAAGGTTCAACTCTGTGAGTTGAATGCAAACATCACAAAGAAGTTTCTCACAATGCTTCCGTGTAGTTCTGGGAAGTTTATCCCGTTTCCAACGAAATCCTCAGAGAGGTCCAAATATCCACTTGCAGATTCTACAGAAAGTGTGTTTGGAAACTGCGCCATCTAACGGAATGTTCAGCTCTGTTAGTTCAATGCAATGATCACTAAGAATTGTCTGTGAATGCTTCCGTTTGGTTTTTAGATGAAGTTATTTCCTTTACTACAGTAGGCCTCAAAGCAGTCCAAATCTCCAATCGCAGATTCTACAAAAAGATTGTTTACAACCTGCTCTATCTATAGGAATGTTCAACTCTGTGAGTCGAATGCAATCATCACAAAGTAGTTTCTGAGAATGCTTCCATCTAGTTTTTATGTGAAGATTTTCCTTTTCCACCACAGGCCTCAAAGCCCTCCAAATGTCCACTTGCAGATTCTAGAAAAAGAGGGTTTCAGAGCTGCTCTGTCAAGAGGAAAGTTCAATTCTTGAAGTGGAACACAAACATCACAAAGTAGTTTCTGAGAATGCTCCTGTTTAGTTTTTCTGTGAAGATGAACCCGTTTCCAACGAAATCTTCACAGAGGTCCACATATCCACTTACAGAATCCAAAGAAAGAGAGTTTCAAAACTGCTCCATCAGCAGGATTGTTCACCTCTGTGAGTTGAATGCAGTCATCACAGGAAACATTCTGAGAAGGCTTCTGTCTAGGTTTGATGTGAAGATATACCCGTTTCGAAGGAAGGCCACAAAGTGGTCCAAATATCCACTTGCAGATTCTACAAAAAGAGTGTTTGAAAGCTGAACTATGAAAGCAAGGTTCAACTCTGTGAGTTGAGTGCAAACATCACAAAGAAGATTCTCACAATGCTTCCGTGTAGTTCTGGGAAGTTTATCCCGTTTCCAACGAAATCCTCAGAGGGGTCCAAATATCCAGTTGCAGATTCTACAGAAAGTGTGTTTGGAAACTGCGCCATCTAAAGGAATGTTCAGCTCTGTTAGTTCAATCCAATGATCACTAAGAATTGTCTGTGAATGCTTCCGTTTGGTTTTTAGATGACGTTATTTCCTTTACTACAGTAGGCCTCAAAGCAGTCCAAATTTCCAATCGCAGATTCTACAAAAAGATTGTTTACAACCTGCTCTATCTATAGGAATGTTCAACTCTGTGAGTCGAATGCAATCATCACAAAGTAGTTTCTGAGAATGCTTCCATCTAGTTTTTATGTGAAGATTTTCCTTTTCCACCACAGGCCTCAAAGCCCTCCAAATGTCAACTTGCAGATTCTAGAATAAGAGTGTTGCAGAGCTGCTCTGTCAAGAGGAAAGTTCAATTCCTGAAGTGGAACACAAACATGACAAAGCAGTTTCTGAGAATGCTCCTGTTTAGTTTTTCTGTGAAGATGAACCCGTTTCCAACGAAATCTTCACAGAGGTCCACATATCCACTTGCAGAATCCAAAGAAAGAGAGTTTCAAAACTGCTCCATCAGCAGGATTGTTCACCTCTGTGAGTTGAATGCAGTCATCACAGGAAACATTCTGAGAATGCTTCTGTCTAGGTTTGATGTGAAGATATACCCGTTTCGAAGGAAGGCCACAAAGTGGTCCAAATATCCACTTGCAGATTCTACAAAAAGAGTGTTTGAAAGCTGAACTATGAAAGCAAGGTTCAACTCTGTGAGTTGAATGCAAACATCACAAAGAAGTTTCTCACAATGCTTCCGTGTAGTTCTGGGAAGTATATCCCGTTTCCAACGAAATCCTCAGAGAGGTCCAAATATCCACTTGCAGATTCTACAGAAAGTGGGTTTGGAAACTGCTCCATCTAAAGGAATGTTCAGCTCTGTTAGTTCAATCCAATGATCACTAAGAATTGTCTGTGAATGCTTCCGTTTGGTTTTTAGATGAAGTTATTTCCTTTACTACAGTAGGCCTCAAAGCAGTCCAAATCTCCAATCGCAGATTCTACAAAAAGATTGTTTACAACCTGCTCTATCTATAGGAATGTTCAACTCTGTGAGTCGAATGCAATCATCACAAAGTAGTTTCTGAGAATGCTTCCATCTAGTTATTATGTGAAGATTTTCCTTTTCCACCACAGGCCTCAAAGCCCTCCAAATGTCCACTTGCAGATTCTAGAATAAGAGGGTTTCAGAGCTGCTCTGTCAAGAGGAAAGTTCAATTCCTGAAGTGGAACACAAACATCACAAAGCAGTTTCTGAGAATGCTTCTGTTAAGTTTTTCTGTGAAGATGAACCCGTTTCCAACGAAATCTTCACAGAGGTCCACATATCCACTTGCAGAATCCAAAGAAGGAGAGTTTCAAAACTGCTCCATCAGCAGGATTGTTCACCTCTGTGAGTTGAATGCAGTCATCACAGGAAACATTCTGAGAATGCTTCTGTCTAGGTTTGATGTGAAGATATACCCGTTTCGAAGGAAGGCCACAAAGTGGTCCAAATATCCACTTGCAGATTCTACAAAAAGAGTGTTTGAAAGCTGAACTATGAAAGCAAGGTTCAATTGCTGTGAGTTGAATGCAAACATCACAAAGAAGTTTCTCAGAATGCTTCCGTGTAGTTCTGGGAAGTTTATCCCGTTTCCAACGAAATCCTCAGAGAAGTCCAAATATCCACTTGCAGATTCTACAGAAAGTGTGTTTGGAAACTGCTCCATCTAAAGGAATGTTCAGCTCTGTTAGTTCAATCCAATGATCACTAAGAATTGTCTGTGAATGCTTCCGTTTGGTTTTTAGATGAAGTTATTTCCTTTACTACAGTAGGCCTCAAAGCAATCCAAATCTCCAATCGCAGATTCTACAAAAACATTGTTTACAACCTGCTCTATCTATAGGAATGTTCAACTGCTGTGAGTCGAATGCAATCATCACAAAGTAGTTTGCTGAGAATGCTTCCATCTAGTTTTTATGTGAAGATTTTCCTTTTCCACCACAGGCCTCTAAGCCCTCCAAATGTCCACTTGCAGTTTCTAGAAAAAGAGGGTTTCAGAGCTGCTCTGTCAAGAGGAAAGTTCAATTCTTGAAGTGGAACACAAACATCACAAAGCAGTTTCTGAGAATGCTCCTGTTTAGTTTTTCTGTGAAGATGATCCCGTTTCCAACGAAATCTTCACAGAGGTCCACATATCCACTTGCAGAATCCAAAGAAAGGGAGTTTCAAAACTGCTCCATCAGCAGGATTGTTCACCTCTGTGAGTTGAATGCAGTCATCACAGGAAACATTCTGAGAATGCTTCTGTCTAGGTTTGATGTGAAGATATACCCGTTTCGAAGGAAGGCCACAAAGTGCTCCAAATATCCACTTGCAGATTCTACAAAAAGAGTGTTTGAAAGCTGAACTATGAAAGCAAGGTTCAACTCTGTGAGTTGAATGCAAACATCACAAAGAAGTTTCTCAGAATGCTTCCGTGTAGTTCTGGGAAGTTTATCCCGTTTCCAACGAAATCCTCAGAGAAGTCCAAATATCCACTTGCAGATTCTACAGAAAGTGTGTTTGGAAACTGCTCCATCTAAAGGAATGTTCAGCTCTGTTAGTTCAATCCAATGATCACTAAGAATTGTTCTGTGAATGCTTCCGTTTGGTTTTTAGATGAAGTTATTTCCTTTACTACAGTAGGCCTCAAAGCAGTCCAAATCTCCAATCGCAGATTCTACAAAAAGATTGTTTACAACCTGCTCTATCTATAGGAATGTTCAACTCTGTGAGTCGAATGCAATCATCACAAAGTAGTTTCTGAGAATGCTTCCATCTAGTTTTTATGTGAAGATTTTCCTTTTCCACCACAGGCCTCAAAGCCCTCCAAATGTCCACTTGCAGATTCTAGAATAAGAGGGTTTCAGAGCTGCTCTGTCAAGAGGAAAGTTCAATTCCTGAAGTGGAACACAAACATCACAAAGCAGTTTCTGAGAATGCTTCTGTTTAGTTTTTCTGTGAAGATGAACCCGTTTCCAACGAAATCTTCACAGAGGTCCACATATCCACTTGCAGAATCCAAAGAAAGAGAGTTTCAAAACTGCTCCATCAACAGGATTGTTCACCTCTGTGAGTTGAATGCAGTCATCACAGGAAACATTCTGAGAATGCTTCTGTCTAGGTTTGATGTGAAGATATACACGTTTCGAAGGAAGGCCACAAAGTGGTCCAAATATCCACTTGCAGATTCTACAAAAAGAGTGTTTGAAAGCTGAACTATGAAAGCAAGTTTCAACTCTGTGAGTTGAATGCAAACATCACAAAGAAGTTTCTCACAATGCTTCCGTGTAGTTCTGAGAAGTTTATCCCGTTTCCAACGAAATCCTCAGAGAAGTCCAAATATCCACTTTCAGATTCTACAGAAAGTGTGTTTGGAAACTGCTCCATCTAAAGGAATGTTCAGCTCTGTTAGTTCAATGCAATGATCACTAAGAATTGTCTGTGAATGCTTCCGTTTGGTTTTTAGATGAAGTTATTTCCTTTACTACAGTAGGCCTCAAAACAGTCCAAATCTCCAATCGCAGATTCTACAAAAAGATTGTTTACAACCTGCTCTATCTATAGGAATGTTCAACTCTGTGAGTCGAATGCAATCATCACAAAGTAGTTTCTGAGAATGCTTCCATCTAGTTTTTATGGGAAGATTTTCCTTTTCCACCACAGGCCTCAAAGCCCTCCAAATGTCCACTTGCAGATTCTAGAAAAAGAGGGTTTCAGAGCTGCTCTGTCAAGAGGAAAGTTCAATTGCTTGAAGTGGAACACAAACATCACAAAGCAGTTTCTGAGAATGCTTCTGTTTAGTTTTTCTGTGAAGATGAACCCGTTTCCAACGAAAATCTTCACAGAGGTCCACATATCCACTTGCAGAATCCAAAGAAGGAGAGTTTCAAAACTGCTCCATCAGCAGGATTGTTCACCTCTGTGAGTTGAATGCAGTCATCACAGGAAACATTCTGAGAATGCTTCTGTCTAGGTTTGATGTGAAGATATACCCGTTTCGAACGAAGGCCACAAAGTGGTCCAAATATCCACTTGCAGATTCTACAAAAAGAGTGTTTGAAAGCTGAACTATGAAAGCAAGGTTCAACTCTGTGAGTTGAATGCAAACATCACAAAGAAGTTTCTCACAATGCTTCCGTGTAGTTCTGGGAAGTTTATCCCGTTTCCAACGAAATCCTCAGAGAGGTCCAAATATCCACTTGCAGATTCTACAGAAAGTGTGTTTGGAAACTGCTCCATCTAAAGGAATGTTCAGCTCTGTTAGTTCAATCCAATGATCACTAAGAATTGTCTGTGAATGCTTCCGTTTGGTTTTTAGATGAAGTTATTTCCTTTACTACAGTAGGCCTCAAAGCAGTCCAAATCTCCAATCGCAGATTCTACAAAAAGATTGTTTACAACCTGCTCTATGTATAGGAATGTTCAACTCTGTGAGTCGAATGCAATCATCACAAAGTAGTTTCTGAGAATGCTTCCATCTAGTTTTTATGTGAAGATTTTCCTTTTCCACCACAGGCCTCAAAGCCCTCCAAATGTCCACTTGCAGATTCTAGAATAAGAGGGTTTCAGAGCTGCTCTGTCAAGAGGAAAGTTCAATTCCTGAAGTGGAACACAAACATCACAAAGCAGTTTCTGAGAATGCTTCTGTTAATTTTTCTGTGAAGATGAACCCGTTTCCAACGAAATCTTCACAGAGGTCCACATATCCACTTCCAGAATCCAAAGAAGGAGAGTTTCAAAACTGCTCCATCAGCAGGATTGTTCACCTCTGTGAGTTGAATGCAGTCATCACAGGAAACATTCTGAGAATGCTTCTGTCTAGGTTTGATGTGAAGATATACCCGTTTCGAAGGAAGGCCACAAAGTGGTCCAAATATCCACTTGCAGATTCTACAAAAAGAGTGTTTGAAAGCTGAACTATGAAAGCAAGGTTCAACTCTGTGAGTTGAATGCAAACATCACAAAGAAGTTTCTCACAATGCTTCCGTGTAGTTCTGGGAAGTTTATCCCGTTTCCAACGAAATCCTCAGAGAAGTCCAAATATCCACTTGCAGATTCTACAGAAAGTGGGTTTGGAAACTGCTCCATCTAAAGGAATGTTCAGCTCTGTTAGTTCAATCCAATGATCACTAAGAATTGTCTGTGAATGCTTCCGTTTGATTTTTAGATGAAGTTATTTCCTTTACTACAGTAGGCCTCAAAGCAGTCCAAATCTCCAATCGCAGATTCTACAAAAAGATTGTTTACAACCTGCTCTATCTATAGGAATGTTCAACTCTGTGAGCCGAATGTAATCATCACAAAGTAGTTTCTGAGAATTCTTCCATCTAGTTTTTATGTGAAGATTTTCCTTTTCCACCACAGGCCTCAAAGCCCTCCAAATGTCCACTTGCAGATTCTAGAAAAAGAGGGTTTCAGAGCTGCTCTGTCAAGAGGAAAGTTCAATTCTTGAAGTGGAACACAAACATCACAAAGCAGTTTCTGAGAATGCTTCTGTTTAGATTTTCTGTGAAGATGAACCCGTTTCCAACGAAATCTTCACAGAGGTCCACATATCAACTTGCAGAATCCAAAGAAAGAGAGTTTCAAAAGTGCTCCATCAACAGGATTGTTCACCTCTGTGAGTTGAATGCAGTCATCACAGGAAACATTCTGAGAATGCTTCTGTCTAGGTTTGATGTGAAGATATACCCGTTTCGAAGGAAGGCCACAAAGTGGTCCAAATATCCACTTGCAGATTCTACAAAAAGAGTGTTTGAAAGCTGAACTATGAAAGCAAGGTTCAACTCTGTGAGTTGAATGCAAACATCACAAAGAAGTTTCTCAGCATGCTTCCGTGTAGTTCTGGGAAGTTTATCCCGTTTCCAACGAAATCCTCAGAGAGGTCCAAATATCCACTTGCAGATTCTACAGAAAGTGTGTTTGGAAACTGCGCCATCTAAAGGAATGTTCAGCTCTGTTAGTTCAATGCAATGATCACTAAAAATTGTCTGTGAATGCTTCCGTTTGGTTTTTAGATGAAGTTATTTCCTTTACTACAGTAGGCCTCAAAGCAGTCCAAATCTCCAATCGCAGATTCTACAAAAAGATTGTTTACAACCTGCTCTATCTATAGGAATGTTCAACTCTGTGAGTCGAATGCAATCATCACAAAGTAGTTTCTGAGAATGCTTCCATCTAGTTTTTATGTGAAGATTTTCCTTTTCCACCACTGGCCTCAAAGCCCTCCAAATGTCCACTTGCAGATTCTAGAAAAAGAGGGTTTCAGAGCTGCTCTGTCAAGAGGAAAGTTCAATTCTTTAAGTGGAACACAAACATCACAAAGCAGTTTCTGAGAATGCTTCTGTTTAGTTTTTCTGTGAAGATGAACCCGTTTCCAACGAAATCTTCACAGAGGTCCACATATCCACTTGCAGAATCCAAAGAAAGAGAGTTTCAAAACTGCTCCATCAACAGGATTGTTCACCTCTGTGAGTTGAATGCAGTCATCACAGGAAACATTCTGAGAATGCTTCTGTCTAGGTTTGATGTGAAGATATACCCGTTTCGAAGGAAGGCCTCAAAGTGGTCCAAATATCGACTTGCAGATTCTACAAAAAGAGTGTTTGAAAGCTGAACTATGAAAGCAAGGTTCAACTCTGTGAGTTGAATGCAAACATCACAAAGAAGTTTCTCAGAATGCTTCCGTGTAGTTCTGGGAAGTTTATCCCGTTTCCAACGAAATCCTCAGAGAAGTCCAAATATCCACTTGCAGATTCTACAGAAAGTGTGTTTGGAAACTGCTCCATCTAAAGGAATGTTCAGCTCTTTTAGTTCAATCCAATGATCACTAAGAATTGTCTGTGAATGCTTCCGTTTGGTTTTTAGATGAAGTTATTTCCTTTACTACAGTAGGCCTCAAAGCAGTCCAAATCTGCAATCACAGATTCTGCAAAAAGATTGTTTACAACCTGCTCTATCTATAGGAATGTTCAACTCTTTGAGTCGAATGCAATCATCACAAAGTAGTTTCTGAGAATGCTTCTATCTAGTTTTTATATGCAGATATTTACGTTTCCGCCACAGGCCTCAAATCTCTCCAAATGTCCACTTGCAGATTCAAGAAAAGCAATGTTTCATGGCTGCTCTGTCAAGAGGAAAGTTCAACTCTGCAAGTTGAACACAAACATCACAAAGTAGTTTCTGAGAATGCTCCTGTTTAGTTTTTCTGTGAAGATGAACCCGTTTCCAACGAAATCTTCACAGAGGTCCACATATCCACTTGCAGAATCCAAAGAAAGAGAGTTTCAAAACTGCTCCATCAGCAGGATTGTTCACCTCTGTGAGTTGAATGCAGTCATCACAGGAAACATTCTGAGAATGCTTCTGTCTAGGTTTGATGTGAAGATATACCCGTTTCGAAGGAAGGCCACAAAGTGGTCCAAATATCCACTTGCAGATTCTACAAAAAGAGTGTTTGAAAGCTGAACTATGAAAGCAACGTTCAACTCTGTGAGTTGAATGCAAACATCACAAAGAAGTTTCTCACAATGCTTCCCTGTAGTTCTGGGAAGTTTATCCCGTTTCCAACGAAATCCTCAGAGAAGTCCAAATATCCACTTGCAGATTCTACAGAAAGTGTGTTTGGAAACTGCTCCATCTAAAGGAATGTTCAGCTCTGTTAGTTCAATCCAATGATCACTAAGAATTGTCTGTGAATGCTTCCGTTTGGTTTTTAGATGAAGTTATTTCCTTTACTACAGTAGGCCTCAAAGCAGTCCAAATCTCCAATCGCAGATTCTACAAAAAGATTGTTTACAACCTGCTCTATCTATAGGAATGTTCAACTCTGTGAGTCGAATGCAATCATCACAAAGTAGTTTCTGAGAATGCTTCCATCTAGTTTTTATGTGAAGATTTTCCTTTTCCACCACAGGCCTCAAAGCCCTCCAAATGTCCACTTGCAGATTCTAGAAAAAGAGGGTTTCAGAGCTGCTCTGTCAAGAGGAAAGTTCAATTCTTGAAGTGGAACACAAACATCACAAAGTAGTTTCTGAGAATGCTTCTGTTTAGTTTTTCTGTGAAGATGAACCCGTTTCCAACGAAATCTTCTCAGAGGTCCACATATCAACTTGCAGAATCCAAAGAAAGAGAGTTTCAAAAGTGCCCCATCAACAGGATTGTTCACCTCTGTGAGTTGAATGCAGTCATCACAGGAAACATTCTGAGAATGCTTCTGTCTAGGTTTGATGTGAAGATATACCCGTTTCGAAGGAAGGCCACAAAGTGGTCCAAATATCCACTTGCAGATTCTACAAAAAGAGTGTTTGAAAGCTGAACTATGAAAGCAAGGTTCAACTCTGTGAGTTGAATGCAAACATCACAAAGAAGTTTCTCAGAATGCTTCCCTGTAGTTCTGGGAAGCATATCCCGTTTCCAACGAAATCCTCAGAGAAGTCCAAATATCCACTTGCAGATTCTACATAAAGTGGGTTTGGAAACTGCTCCATCTAAAGGAATGTTCAGCTCTGTTAGTTCAATCCAATGATCACTAAGAATTGTCTGTGAATGCTTCCGTTTGGTTTTTAGATGAAGTTATTTCCTTTACTACAGTAGGCCTCAAAGCAGTCCAAATCTCCAATCGCATATTCTACAAAAAGATTGTTTACAACCTGCTCTATCTATAGGAATGTTCAACCCTGTGAGTCGAATGCAATCATCACAAAGTAGTTTCTGAGAATGCTTCCATCTAGTTTTTATGTGAAGATTTTCCTTTTCCACCACAGGCCTCAAAGCCCTCCAAATGTCCACTTGCAGATTCTATAAAAAGAGGGTTTCAGAGCTGCTCTGTCAAGAGGAAAGTTCAATTCTTGAAGTGGAACACAAACATCACAAAGCAGTTTCTGAGAATGCTTCTGTTTAGTTTTTCTGTGAAGATGAACCCGTTTCCAACGAAATCTTCACAGAGGTCCACATATCCACTTGCAGAATCCAAAGAAAGAGAGTTTCAAAACTGCTCCATCAGCAGGATTGTTCACCTCTGTGAGTTGAATGCAGTCATCACAGGAAACATTCTGAGAATGCTTCTGTCTAGGTTTGATGTGAAGATATACCCGTTTCGAAGGAAGGCCACAAAGTGGTCCAAATATCCACTTGCAGATTCTACAAAAAGAGTGTTTGAAAGCTGAACTATAAAAGCAAGGTTCAACTCTGTGAGTTGAATGCAAACATCACAAAGAAGTTTCTCAGAATGCTTCCGTGTAGTTCTGGGAAGTTTAGCCCGTTTCCAACGAAATCCTCAGAGAAGTCCAAATATCCACTTGCAGATTCTACAGAAAGTGTGTTTGGAAACTGCTCCATCTAATGGAATGTTCAGCTCTGTTAGTTCAATCCAATGATCACTAAGAATTGTCTGTGAATGCTTCCGTTTGGTTTTTAGATGAAGTTATTTCCTTTACTACAGTAGGCCTCAAAGCAGTCCAAATCTCCAATCGCAGATTCTACAAAAAGATTGTTTACAACCTGCTCTATCTATAGGAATGTTCAACTCTGTGAGTCGAATGCAATCATCACAAAGTAGTTTCTGAGAATGCTTCCATCTAGTTTTTATGTGAAGATTTTCCTTTTCCACCACAGGCCTCAAAGCCCTCCAAATGTCCACTTGCAGATTCTAGAAAAAGAGGGTTTCAGAGCTGCTCTGTCAAGAGGAAAGTTCAATTCTTGAAGTGGAACACAAACATCACAAAGTAGTTTCTGAGAATGCTTCTGTTTAGTTTTTCTGTGAAGATGAACCCGTTTCCAACGAAATCTTCACAGAGGTCCACATATCAACTTGCAGAATCCAAAGAAAGAGAGTTTCAAAACTGCTCCATCAACAGGATTGTTCACCTCTGTGAGTTGAATGCAGTCATCACAGGAAACATTCTGAGAATGCTTCTGTCTAAGTTTGATGTGAAGATATACCCGTTTCGAAGGAAGGCCACAAAGTGGTCCAAATATCCACTTGCAGATTCTACAAAAAGAGTGTTTGAAAGCTGAACTATGAAAGCAAGGTTCAACTCTGTGAGTTGAATGCAAACACACAAAGAAGTTTCTCACAATGCTTCCGTGTAGTTCTGGGAAGTTTATCCCGTATCCAACGAAATCCTCAGAGAAGTCCAAATATCCACTTGCAGATTCTACAGAAAGTGTGTTTGGAAACTGCTCCATCTAAAGGAATGTTCAGCTCTGTTAGTTCAATGCAATGATCACTAAGAATTGTCTGTGAATGCTTCCGTTTGGTTTTTAGATGAAGTTATTTCCTTTACTACAGTAGGCCTCAAAGGAGTCCAAATCTCCAATCGCAGATTCTACAAAAAGATTGTTTACAACCTGCTCTATCTATAGGAATGTTCAACTCTGTGGGTCGAATGCAATCATCACAAAGTAGTTTCTGAGAATGCTTTCCATCTAGTTTTTATGTGAAGATTTTCCTTTTCCACCACAGGCCTCAAAGCCCTCCAAATGTCCACTTGCAGATTCTAGAAAAAGAGGGTTTCAGAGCTGCTCTGTCAAGAGGAAAGTTCAATTGTTGAAGTGGAACACAAACATCACAAAGCAGTTTCTGAGAATGCTCCTGTTTAGTTTTCCTGTGAAGATGAACCCGTTTCCAACGAAATCTTCACAGAGGTCCACATATCCACTTGCAGAATCCAAAGAAAAAGAGTTTCAAAACTTCTCCATCAACAGGATTGTTCACCTCTATGAGTTGAATGCAGTCATCACAGGAAACATTCTGAGAATGCTTCTGTCTAGCTTTGATGTGAAGATATACCCGTTTCGAAGGAAGGCCACAAAGTGGTCCAAATATCCACTTGCAGATTCTACAAAAAGAGTGTTTGAAAGCTGAACTATGAAAGCAAGGTTCAACTCTGTGAGTTGAATGCAAACATCACAAAGAAGTTTCTCAGAATGCTTCCGTGTAGTTCTGGGAAGTTTATCCCGTTTCCAACGAAATCCTCAGAGAGGTCCAAATATCCACTTGCAGATTCTACAGAAAGTGTGTTTGGAAACTGCGCCATCGAAAGGAATGTTCAGCTCTGTTAGTTCAATCCAATGATCACTAAGAATTGTCTGTGAATGCTTCCGTTTGGTTTTTAGATGAAGTTATTTCCTTTACTACAGTAGGCCTCAAAGCAGTCCAAATCTCCAATCGCAGATTCTACAAAAAGATTGTTTACAACCTGCTCTATCTATAGGAATGTTCAACTCTGTGAGTCGAATGCAATCATCACAAAGTAGTTTCTGAGAATGCTTCCATCTAGTTTTTATGTGAAGATTTTCCTTTTCCACCACAGGCCTCAAAGCCCTCCAAATGTCCACTTGCAGATTCTAGAAAAAGAGGGTTTCAGAGCTACTCTGTCAAGAGGAAAGTTCAATTCCTGAAGTGGAACACAAACATCACAAAGCAGTTTCTGAGAATGCTTCTGTTTAGTTTTTCTGTGAAGATGAACCCGTTTCCAACGAAATCTTCACAGATGTCCACATATCCACTTGCAGAATCCAAAGAAAGAGAGTTTCAAAACTGCTCCATCAACAGGATTGTTCACCTCTGTGAGTTGAATGCAGTCATCACAGGAAACATTCTGAGAATGCTTCGGTCTAGGTTTGATGTGAAGATATACCCGTTTCGAAGGAAGAACACAAAGTGGTCCAAATATCCACTTGCAGATTCTACAAAAAGAGTGATTGAAAGCTGAACTATGAAAGCAAGGTTCAACTCTGTGAGTTGAATGCAAACATCACAAAGAAGTTTCTCAGAATGTTTCCGTGTAGTTCTGGGAAGTTTATCCGGTTTCCAACCGAAATCCTCAGAGAAGTCCAAATATCCACTTGCAGATTCTACAGAAAGTGTGTTTGGAAACTGCTCCATCTAAAGGAATGTTCAGCTCTGTTAGTTCAATCCAATGATCACTAAGAATTGTCTGTGAATGCTTCCGTTTGATTTTTAGATGAAGTTCTTTCCTCTACTACAGTAGGCCTCAAAGCAGTCCAAATCTCCAATCGCAGATTCTACAAAAAGATTGTTTACAGCCTGCTCTATTTATAGGAATGTTCAACTCTGTGAGTCGAATGCAGTCATCACAAAGTAGTTTCTGAGAATGCTTCCATCTAGTTTTTATGTGAAGATTTCCCTTTTCCACCACAGGCCTCAAAGCCCTCCAAATGTCCACTTGCAGATTCTAGAAAAAGAGGGTTTCAGAGCTGCTCTGTCAAGAGGAAAGTTCAATTCTTGAAGTGGAACACAAACATCACAAAGCAGTTTCAGAGAATGCTCCTGTTTAGTTTTTCTGTGAAGATGAACCCGTTTCCAACGAAATCTTCAAAGGAGTTCCACATATCCACTTGCAGAATCCAAAGAAAGGGAGTTTCAAAACTGCTCCATCAACAGGATTGTTCACCTCTGTGAGTTGAATGCAGTCATCACAGGAAACATTCTGAGAATGCTTCTGTCTAGGTTTGATGTGAAGATATACCCGTTTCGAAGGAATGCCACAAAGTGGTCCAAATATCCACTTGCAGATTCCACAAAAAGAGTGTTTGAAAGCTGAACTATGAAAGCAAGGTTCAACTCTGTGAGTTGAATGCAAACATCACAAAGAAGTTTCTCACAATGCTTCCGTGTAGTTCTGGGAAGTTTATCCCTTTTCCAACGAAATCCTCAGAGAGGTCCAAATATCCACTTGCAGAATCTACAGAAAGTGTGTTTGGAAACTGCTCCATCTAAAGGAATGTTCAGCTCTGTTAGTTCAATCCAATGATCACTAAGAATTGTCTGTGCATGCTTCCGTTTGGTTTTTAGATGAAGTTATTTCCTTTACTACAGTAGGCCTCAAAGCAGTCCAAATCTCCAATCGCAGATTCTACAAAAACATTGTTTACAACCTGCTCTATCTATAGGAATGTTCAACTCTGTGAGTCGAATGCAATCATCAGAAAGTAGTTTCTGAGAATGCTTCCATCTAGTTTTTATGTGAAGATTTTCCTTTTCCACCACAGGCCTCAAAGCCCTCCAAATGTCCACTTGCAGATTCTAGAAAAAGAGGGTTTCAGAGCTGCTCTATCAAGAGGAAAGTTCAATTCCTGAAGTGGAACACAAACATCACAAAGCAGTTTCTGAGAATGCTCCTGTTTATTTTTTCTGTGAAGATGAACCCGTTTCCAACGAAATCTTCACAGAGGTCCTCATATCCACTTGCAGAATCCAAAGAAAGAGAGTTTCAAAACTGCTCCATCAACAGGATTGTTCACCTCTGTTAGTTGAATGCAGTCATCACAGGAAACATTCTGAGAATGCTTCTGTGTAGGTTTGATGTGAAGATATACCCGTTTCGAAGGAAGGCCACAAAGTGTCCAAATATCCACTTGCAGATTCTACAAAAAGAGTGTTTGAAAGCTGAACTATGAAAGCAAGGTTCAACTCTGTGAGTTGAATGCAAACATCACAAAGAAGTTTCTCAGAATGCTTCCGTGTAGTTCTGGGAAGTTTATCCCGTTTCCAACGAAATCCTCAGAGAGGTCCAAATATCCACTTGCAGATTCTACAGAAAGTGTGTTTGGAAACTGCTCCATCTAAAGGAATGTTCAGCTCTGTTAGTTCAATCCAATGATCACTAAGAATTGTCTGTGAATGCTTCCGTTTGATTTTTAGATGAAGTTATTTCCTTTACTACAGTAGGCCTCAAAGCAGTCCAAATCTCCAATCGCAGATTCTACAAAAAGATTGTTTACAACCTGCTCTATCTATAGGAATGTTCAACTCTGTGAGTCGAATGCAATCATCACAAAGTAGTTTCTGAGAATGCTTCCATCTAGTTTTTATGTGAAGATTTTCCTTTTCCACCACAGGCCTCAAAGCCCTCCAAATGTCCACTTGCAGATTCTAGAATAAGAGGGTTTCAGAGCTGCTCTGTCAAGAGGAAAGTTCAATTCCTGAAGTGGAACACAAACATCACAAAGCAGTTTCTGAGAATGCTTCTATTTAGTTTTTCTGTGAAGATGAACCCGTTTCCAACGAAATCTTCACAGAGGTCCACATATCCACTTGCAGAATCCAAAGAAAGAGAGTTTCAAAACTGCTCCATCAGCAGGATTGTTCACCTCTGTGAGTTGAATGCAGTCATCACAGGAAACATTCTGAGAATGCTTCTGTCTAGGTTTGATGTGAAGATATACCCGTTTCGAAGGAAGGCCACAAAGTGGTCCAAATATCCACTTGCAGATTCTACAAAAAGAGTGTTTGAAAGCTGAACTATGAAAGCAAGGTTCAACTCTGTGAGTTGAATGCAAACATCACAAAGAAGTTTCTCCCAATGCTTCCGTGTAGTTCTGGGAAGTTTATCCCGTTTCCAACGAAATCCTCAGAGAAGTCCAAATATCCACTTGCAGATTCTACAGAAAGTGTGTTTGGAAACTGCTCCATCTAAAGGAATGTTCAGCTCTGTTAGTTCAATCCAATGATCACTAAGAATTGTCTGTGAATGCTTCCGTATGGTTTTTAGATGAAGTTATTTCCTTTACTACAGTAGGCCTCAAAGCAGTCCAAATCTCCAATCTCAGATTCTACAAAAAGATTGTTTACAACCTGCTCTATCTTTAGGAATGTTCAACTCTGTGAGTCGAATGCAATCATCACAAAGTAGTTTCTGAGAATGCTTCCATCTAGTTTTTATGTGAAGATTTTCCTTTTCCACCACAGGCCTCAAAGCCCTCCAAATGTCCACTTGCAGACTCTAGAAAAAGAGGGTTTCAGAGCTGCTCTGTCAAGAGGAAAGTTCAATTCCTGAAGTGGAACACAAACATCACAAAGCAGTTTCTGAGAATGCTCCTGTTTAGATTTTCTGTGAAGATGAACCCGTTTCCAACGAAATCTTCACAGAGGTCCACATATCCACTTGCAGAATCCAAAGAAAGAGAGTTTCAAAACTGCTCCATCAGCAGGATTGTTCACCTCTGTGAGTTGAATGCAGTCATCACAGGAAATATTCCGAGAATGCTTCTGTCGAGGTTTGATGTGAAGATATACCCGTTTCGAAGGAAGGCCACAAAGTGGTCCAAATATCCACTTGCAGATTCTACAAAAAGAGTGTTTGAAAGCTGAACTATGAAAGCAAGGTTCAACTCTGTGTGTTGAATGCAAACATCACAAAGAAGTTTCTCAGAATGCTTCCGTGTAGTTCTGGGAAGTTTATCCCGTTTCCAACGAAATCCTCAGAGAGGTCCAAATATCCACTTGCAGATTCTACAGAAAGTGTGTTTGGAAACTGCGCCATCTAAAGGAATGTTCAGCTCTGTTAGTTCAATGCACTGATCACTAAGAATTGTCTGTGAATGCTTCCGTTTGGTTTTTAGATGAAGTTATTTCCTTTACTACAGTAGGCCTCAAAGCAGTCCAAATCTCCAATCGCACATTCTACAAAAAGATTGTTTACAACCTGCTCTATCTATAGGAATGTTCAACTCTGTGAGTCGAATGCAATCATCCCAAAGTAGTTTCTGAGAATGCTTCCATCTAGTTTTTATGTGAAGATTTTCCTTTTCCACCACAGGCATCAAAGCCCTCCAAATGTCCACTTGCAGATTCTAGAAAAAGAGGGTTTCAGAGCTGCTCTGTCAAGAGGAAAGTTCAATTCTTGAAGTGGAACACAAACATCACAAAGCAGTTTCTGAGAATGCTCCTGTTTAGTTTTCCTGTGAAGATGAACCCGTTTCCAACGAAATCTTCACAGAGGTCCACATATCCACTTGCAGAATCCAAAGAAAAAGAGTTTCAAAACTTCTCCATCAACAGGATTGTTCACCTCTATGAGTTGAATGCAGTCATCACAGGAAACATTCTGAGAATGCTTCTGTCTAGGTTTGATGTGAAGATATACCCGTTTCGAAGGAAGGCCACAAAGTGGTCCAAATATCCACTTGCAGATTCTACAAAAAGAGTGTTTGAAAGCTGAACTACGAAAGCAAGGTTCAACTCTGTGAGTTGAATGCAAACATCACAAAGAAGTTTCTCAGAATGCTTCCCTGTAGTTCTGGGAAGTTTATCCAGTTTCCAACGAAATCCTCAGAGAAGTCCAAATATCCACTTGCAGTTTCTTCAGAAAGTGGGTTTGGAAACTGCTCCATCTAAAGGAATGTTCAGCTCTGTTAGTTCAATGCAATGATCACTAAGAATTGTCTGTGAATGCTTCCGTTTGGTTTTTAGATGAAGTTATTTCCTTTACTACACTAGGCCTCAAAGCAGTCCAAATCTCCAATCGCAGATTCTACAAAAAGATTGTTTACAACCTGCTCTATCTATAGGAATGTTCAACTCTGTGAGTCGAATGCAATCATCACAAAGTAGTTTCTGAGAATGCTTCCATCTAGTTTTTATGTGAAGATTTTCCTTTTCCACCACAGGCCTCAAAGCCCTCCAAATGTCCACTTGCAGATTCTAGAATAAGAGGGTTTCAGAGCTGCTCTGTCAAGAGGAAAGTTCAATTCCTGAAGTGGAACACAAACATCACAAAGCAGTTTCTGAGAATGCTCCTGTTTAGTTTTTCTGTGAAGATGAACCCGTTTCCAACGAAATCTTCACAGAGGTCCACATATCCACTTGCAGAATCCAAAGAAAGAGAGTTTCAAAACTGCTCCATCAGCAGGATTGTTCACCTCTGTGAGTTGAATGCAGTCATCACAGGAAACATTCTGAGAATGCTTCTGTCTAGGTTTGATGTGAAGATATACCCGTTTCGAAGGAAGGCCACAAAGTGGTCCAAATATCCACTTGCAGATTCTACAAAAAGAGTGTTTAAAAGCTGAACTATGAAAGCAAGGTTCAACTCTGTGAGTTGAATGCAAACATCACAAAGAAGTTTCTCAGCATGCTTCCGTGTAGTTCTGGGAAGTTTATCCCGTTTCCAACGAAATCCTCAGAGAGGTCCAAATATCCACTTGCAGATTCTACAGAAAGTGTGTTTGGAAACTGCTCCATCTAAAGGAATGTTCAGCTCTGTTAGTTCAATCCAATGATCACTAAGAATTGTCTGTGAATGCTTCCGTTTGGTTTTTAGATGAAGTTATTTCCTTTACTACAGTAGGCCTCAAAGCAGTCCAAATCTCCAATCGCGGATTCTACAAAAAGATTGTTTACAACCTGCTCTATCTATAGGAATGTTCAACTCTGTGAGTCGAATGCAATCATCACAAAGTAGTTTCTGAGAATGCTTCCATCTAGTTTTTATGTGAAGATTTTCCTTTTCCACCACAGGCCTCAAAGCCCTCCTAATGTCCACTTGCAGATTCTAGAAAAAGAGGGTTTCAGAGCTGCTCTGTCAAGAGGAAAGTTCAATTCTTGAAGTGGAACACAAACATCACAAAGCAGTTTCTGAGAATGCTCCTGTTTAGTTTTTCTGTGAAGATGAACCCGTTTCCAACGAAATCTTCACAGAGGTCCACATATCCACTTGCAGAATCCAAAGAAAGAGAGTTTCAAAACTGCTCCATAAGCAGGATTGTTCACCTCTGTGAGTTGAATGCAGTCATCACAGGAAACATTCTGAGAATGCTTCTGTCTAGGTTTGATGTGAAGATATACCCGTTTCGAAGGAAGGCCACAAAGTGGTCCAAATATCCACTTGCAGATTCTACAAAAAGAGTGTTTGAAAGCTGAACTATGAAAGCAAGGTTCAACTCTGTGAGTTGAATGCAAACATCACAAAGAAGTTTCTCAGCATGCTTCCGTGTAGTTCTGGGAAGTTTATCCCGTTTCCAACGAAATCCTCAGAGAGGTCCAAATATCCACTTGCAGATTCTACAGAAAGTGTGTTTGGAAACTGCGCCATCTACAGGAATGTTCAGCTCTGTTAGTTCAATGCAATGATCAGTAAGAATTGTCTGTGAATGCTTCCGTTTGGTTTTTAGATGAAGTTATTTCCTTTACTACAGTAGGCCTCAAAGCAGTCCAAATCTCCAATCGCAGATTCTACAAAAAGATTGTTTACAACCTGCTCTATCTATGGGAATGTTCAACTCTGTGAGTCGAATGCAATTATCACAAAGTAGTTTCTGAGAATGCTTCCATCTAGTTTTTATGTGAAGATTTTCCTTTTCCACCACAGGCCTCAAAGCCCTCCAAATATCCACTTGCAGATTCTAGAAAAAGAGGGTTTCAGAGCTGCTCTGTCAAGAGGAAAGTTCAATTCTTGAAGTGGAACACAAACATCACAAAGTAGTTTCTGAGAATGCTCCTGTTTAGTTTTTCTGTGAAGATGAACCCGTTTCCAACGAAATCTTCACAGAGGTCCACATATCCACTTGCAGAATCCAAAGAAAGAGAGTTTCAAAACTGCTCCATCAGCAGGATTGTTCACCTCTGTGAGTTGAATGCAGTCATCACAGGAAACATTCTGAGAATGCTTCTGTCTAGGTTTGATGTGAAGATATACCCGTTTCGAAGGAAGGCCACAAAGTGGTCCAAATATCCACTTGCAGATTCCACAAAAAGAGTGTTTGAAAGCTGAACTAGGAAAGCAAGGTTCAACTCTGTGAGTTGAATGCAAACATCACAAAGAAGTTTCTCACAATGCTTCCGTGTAGTTCTGGGAAGTTTATCCCGTTTCCAACGAAATCCTCAGAGAAGTCCAAATATCCACTTGCAGATTCTACAGAAAGTGTGTTTGGAAACTGCTCCATCTAAAGGAATGTTCAGCTCTGTTAGTTCAATCCAATGATCACTAAGAATTGTCTGTGAATGCTTCCGTTTGGTTTTTAGATGAAGTTATTTCCTTTACTACAGTAGGCCTCAAAGCAGTCCAAATCTCCAATCGCAGATTCTACAAAAGATTGTTTACAACCTGCTCTATCTATAGGAATGTTCAACTCTGTGGGTCGAATGCAATCATCACAAAGGAGTTTCTGAGAATGTTTCCATCTAGTTTTTATGTGAAGATTTTCCTTTTCCACCACAGGCCTCAAAGCCCTCCAAATGTCCACTTGCAGATTCTAGAAAAAGAGGGTTTCAGAGCTGCTCTGTCAAGAGGAAAGTTCAATTCTTGAAGTGGAACACAAACATCACAAAGCAGTTTCTGAGAATGCTTCTGTTTAGTTTTTCTGTGAAGATGAACCCGTTTCCAACGAAATCTTCACAGAGGTCCACATATCCACTTGCAGAATCCAAAGAAAGAGAGTTTCAAAACTGCTCCATCAGAAGGATTGTTCACCTCTGTGAGTTGAATGCAGTCATCACAGGAAACTTTCTGAGAATGCTTCTGTCTAGGTTTGATGTGAAGATATACCCGTTTCGAAGGAAGGCCACAAAGTGGTCCAAATATCCACTTGCAGATTCTACAAAAAGAGTGTTTGAAAGCTGAACTATGAAAGCAAGGTTCAACTCTGTGAGTTGAATGCAAACATCACAAAGAAGTTTCTCACAATTCTTCCGTGTAGTTCTGGGAAGTTTATCCCGTTTCCAAAGAAATCCTCAGAGAGGTCCAAATATCCACTTGCAGATTCTACAGAAAGTGTGTTTGGAAACTGCTCCATCTAAAGGAATGTTCAGCTCTGTTAGTTCAATCCAATGATCACTAAGAATTGTCTGTGAATGCTTCCGTTTGGTTTTCAGATGAAGTTATTTCCTTTACTACAGTAGGCCTCAAAGCAGTCCAAATCTCCAATCGCAGATTCTACAAAAAGATTGTTTACAACCTGCTCTATCTATAGGAATGTTCAACTCTGTGAGTCGAATGCAATCATCACAAAGTAGTTTCTGAGAATGCTTCTATCTAGGTTGTATGTGAAGATATTTCCTTTTCCACCACAGGCCTCAAAGCCCTCCAAATGTCCACTTGCGGATTCTAGACAAAGAGGGTTTCAGAGCTGCTCTGTCAAGAGGAAAGTTCAATTCTTGAAGTGGAACACAAACATCACAAAGCAGTTTCTGAGAATGCTTCTGTTTAGTTTTTCTGTGAAGATGAACCCGTTTCCAACGAAATCTTCACAGAGGTCCACATATCCACTTGCAGAATCCAAAGAAAGAGAGTTTCAAAACTGCTCCATCAGCAGGATTGTTCACCTCTGTGAGTTGAATGCAGTCATCACAGGAAACATTCTGAGAATGCTTCTGTCTAGGTTTGATGTGAAGATATACCCGTTTCGAAGGAAGGCCACAAAGTGGTCCAAATATCCACTTGCAGATTCTACAAAAAGAGTGTTTGAAAGCTGAACTATGAAAGCAAGGTTCAACTCTGTGAGTTGAATGCAAACATCACAAAGAAGTTTCTCAGCATGCTTCCGTGTAGTTCTGGGAAGTTTATCCCGTTTCCAACGAAATCCTCAGAGAGGTCCAAATATCCACTTGCAGATTCTACAGAAAGTGTGCTTGGAAACTGCGCCATCTAAAGGAATGTTCAGCTCTGTTAGTTCAATCCAATGATCACTAAGAATTGTCTGTGAATGCTTCCGTTTGGTTTTTAGATGAAGTTATTTCCTTTACTACAGTAGGCCTCAAAGCAGTCCAAATCTCCAATCGCAGATTCTACAAAAAGATTGTTTACAACCTGCTCTATCTATAGGAATGTTCAACTCTGTGAGTCGAATGCAATCATCACAAAGTAGTTTCTGAGAATGCTTCCATCTAGTTTTTATGTGAAGATTTTCCTTTTCCACCACAGGCCTCAAAGCCCTCCAAATGTCCACTTGCAGATTCTAGAATAAGAGGGTTTCAGAGCTGCTCTGTCAAGAGGAAAGTTCAATTCCTGAAGTGGAACACAAACATCACAAAGCAGTTTCTGAGAATGCTCCTGTTTAGTTTTTCTGTGAAGATGAACCCGTTTCCAACGAAATCTTCACAGAGGTCCACATATCCACTTGCAGAATTCAAAGAAAGAGAGTTTCAAAACTGCTCCATCAGCAGGATTGTTCACCTCTGTGAGTTGAATGCAGTCATCACAGGAAACATTCTGAGAATGCTTCTGTCTAGGTTTGATGTGAAGATATACCCGTTTCGAAGGAAGGCCACAAAGTGGTCCAAATATCCACTTGCAGATTCTACAAAAAGAGTGTTTGAAAGCTGAACTATGAAAGCAAGGTTCAACTCTGTGAGTTGAATGCAAACATCACAAAGAAGTTTCTCACAATGCTTCCGTGTAGTTCTGGGAAGTTTATCCCGTTTCCAACGAAATCCTCAGAGAGGTCCAAATATCCACTTGCAGATTCTACAGAAAGTGTGTTTGGAAACTGCTTCATCTAAAGGAATGTTCAGCTCTGTTAGTTCAATGCAATGATCACTAAGAATTGTCTGTGAATGCTTCCGTTTGGTTTTTAGATGAAGTTCTTTCCTTTACTACAGTAGGCCTCAAAGCAGTCCAAATCTCCAATCGCAGATTCTACAAAAAGATTGTTTACAACCTGCTCTATCGATAGGAATGTTCAACTCTGTGAGTCGAATGCAATCATCACAAAGTAGTTTCTGAGAATGCTTCCATCTAGTTTTTATGTGAAGATTTTCCTTTTCCACCACAGGCCTCAAAGCCCTCCAAATGTCCACTTGCAGATTCTAGAAAACGAGGGTTTCAGAGCTGCTCTATCAAGAGGAAAGTTCAATTCCTGAAGTGGAACACAAACATCACAAAGCCGTTTCTGAGAATGCTTCTGTTTATTTTTTCTGTGAAGATGAACCAGTTTCCAACGAAATCTTCACAGAGGTCCACATATCAACTTGCAGAATCCAAAGAAAGAGAGTTACAAAACTGCTCCATCAACAGGATTGTTCACCTCTGTGAGTTGAATGCAGTCATCACAGGAAACATTCTGAGAATGCTTCTGTCTAGGTTTGATGTGAAGATATACCCGTTTCAAAGGAAGGCCACAAAGTGGTCCAAATATCCACTTGCAGATTCTACAAAAAGAGTGTTTGAAAGCTGAACTATGAAAGCAAGGTTCAACTCTGTGAGTTGAATGCAAACATCACAAAGAAGTTTCTCACAATGCTTCCGTGTAGTTTGGGGAAGTTTATCCCGTTTCCAACGAAATCCTCACAGAGGTCCAAATATCCACTTGCAGATTCTACAGAAAGTGTGTTTGGAAACTGCGCCATCTAAAGGAATGTTCAGCTCTGTTAGTTCAATGCAATGATCACTAAGAATTGTCTGTGAATGCTTCCGTTTGGTTTTTAGATGAAGTTATTTCCTTTACTACAGTAGGCCTCAAAGCAGTCCAAATCTCCAATCGCAGATTCTACAAAAAGATTGTTTACAACCTGCTCTATCTATAGGAATATTCAACTCTGTGAGTCGAATGCAATCATCACAGAGTAGTTTCTGAGAATGCTTCCATCTAGTTTTTATGTGAAGATTTTCCTTTTCCACCACAGGCCTCAAAGCCCTCCAAATGTCCACTTGCAGATTCTAGAAAAAGAGGGTTTCAGAGCTGCTCTGTCAAGAGGAAAGTTCAATTCTTGAAGTGGAACACAAACATCACAAAGTAGTTTCTGAGAATGCTTCTGTTTAGTTTTTCTGTGAAGATGAACCCGTTTCCAACGAAATCTTCACAGAGGTCCACATATCCACTTGCAGAATCCAAAGAAAGAGAGTTTCAAAACTGCTCCATCAGCAGGATTGTTCACCTCTGTGAGTTGAATGCAGTCATCACAGGAAACATTCTGAGAATGCCTCTGTCTAGGTTTGATGTGAAGATATACCCGTTTCGAAGGAAGGCCACAAAGTGGTCCAAATATCCACTTGCAGATTCTACAAAAAGAGTGTTTGAAAGCTGAACTATGAAAGCAAGGTTCAACTCTGTGAGTTGAATGCAAACATCACAAAGAAGTTTCTCAGAATGCTTCCGTGTAGTTCTGGGAAGATTAGCCCGTTTCCAACGAAATCCTCAGAGAGGTCCAAATATCCACTTCCAGATTCTACAGAAAGTGTGTTTGGAAACTGCTCCATCTAAAGGAATGTTCAGCTCTGTTAGTTCAATCCAATGATCACTAAGAATTGTCTGTGAATGCTTCCGTTTGGTTTTTAGATGAAGTTATTTCCTTTACTACAGTAGGCCTCAAAGCAGTCCAAATCTCCAATCGCAGATTCTACAAAAAGATTGTTTACAACCTGCTCTATCTATAGGAATGTTCAACTCTGTGAGTCGAATGCAACCATCACAAAGTAGTTTCTGAGAATGCTTCCATCTAGTTTTTATGTGAAGATTTTCCTTTTCCACCACAGGCCTCAAAGCCCTCCAAATGTCCACTTGCAGATTCTAGAAAAAGAGGGTTTCAGAGCTGCTCTGTCAAGAGGAAAGTTCAATTCTTGAAGTGGAACACAAACATCACAAAGCAGTTTCTGAGAATGCTCCTGTTAATTTTTCTGTGAAGATGAACCCGTTTCCAACGAAATCTTCACAGAGTTCCACATATCCACTGGCAGAATCCAAAGAAAGGGAGTTTCAAAACTGCTCCATCAGCAGGATTGTTCACCTCTGTGAGTTGAATGCAGTCATCACAGGAAACATTCTGAGAATGCTTCTGTCTAGGTTTGATGTGAAGATATACCCGTTTCGAAGGAAGGCCACAAAGTGGTCCAAATATCCACTTGCAGATTCTACAAAAAGAGTGTTTGAAAGCTGAACTATGAAAGCAAGGTTCAACTCTGTGAGTTGAATGCAAACATCACAAAGAAGTTTCTCAGAATGCTTCCGTGTAGTTCTGGGAAGTTTAACCCATTTCCAACGAAATCCTCAGAGAAGTCCAAATATCCAGTTGCAGATTCCACAGAAAGTGTGTTTGGAAACTGCTCCATCTAAAGGAATGTTCAGCTCTGTTAGTTCAATCCAATGATCACTAAGAATTGTCTGTGAATGCTTCCGTTTGGTTTTTAGATGAAGTTATTTCCTTTACTACAGTAGGCCTCAAAGCAGTCCAAATCTCCAATCGCAGATTCTACAAAAAGATTGTTTACAAACTGCTCTATCTATAGGAATGTTCAACTCTGTGAGTCGAATGCAATCATCACAAAGTAGTTTCTGAGAATGCTTCCATCTAGTTTTTATGTGAAGATTTTCCTTTTCCACCACAGGCCTCAAAGCCCTCCAAATGTCCACTTGCAGATTCTAAGAAAAGAGGGTTTCAGAGCTGCTCTGTCAAGAGGAAAGTTCAATTCTTGAAGTGGAACACAAACATCACAAAGCAGTTTCTGAGAATGCTTCTGTTTAGTTTTTCTGTGAAGATGAACCCGTTTCCAACGAAATCTTCACAGAGGTCCACATATCAACTTGCAGAATCCAAAGAAAGAGAGTTTCAAAAGTGCTTCATCAACAGGATTGTTCACCTCTGTGAGTTGAATGCAGTCATCACAGGAAACATTCTGAGAATGCTTCTGTCTAGGTTTGATGTGAAGATATACCCGTTTCGAAGGAAGGCCACAAAGTGGTCCAAATATCCACTTGCAGATTCTACAAAAAGAGTGTTTGAAAGCTGAACTATGAAAGCAAGGTTCAACTCTGTGAGTTGAATGCAAACATCACAAAGAAGTTTCTCACAATGCTTCCGTGTAGTTCTGGGAAGTTTATCCCGTTTCCAACGAAATCCTCAGAGAAGTCCAAATATCCACTTGCAGATTCTACAGAAAGTGGGTTTGGAAACTGCTCCATCTAAAGGAATGTTCAGCTCTGTTAGTTCAATCCAATGATCACTAAGAATTGTCTGTGAATGCTTCCGTTTGGTTTTTAGATGAAGTTATTTCCTTTACTACAGTAGGCCTCAAAGCAGTCCAAATCTCCAATCGCAGATTCTACAAAAAGATTGTTTACAACCTGCTCTATCTATAGGAATGTTCAACTCTGTGAGTCGAATGCAATCATCACAAAGTAGTTTCTGAGAATGCTTCCATCTAGTTTTTATGTGAAGATTTTCCTTTTCCACCACAGGCCTCAAAGCCCTCCAAATGTCCACTTGCAGATTCTAGAAAAAGAGGGTTTCAGAGCTGCTCTGTCAAGAGGAAAGTTCAATTCTTGAAGTGGAACACAAACATCACAAAGTAGTTTCTGAGAATGCTTCTGTTTAGTTTTTCTGTGAAGATGAACCCGTTTCCAACGAAATCTTCTCAGAGGTCCACATATCAACTTGCAGAATCCAAAGAAAGAGAGTTTCAAAAGTGCTCCATCAACAGGATTGTTCACCTCTGTGAGTTGAATGCAGTCATCACAGGAAACATTCTGAGAATGCTTCTGTCTAGGTTTGATGTGAAGATATACCCGTTTCGAAGGAAGGCCAGAAAGTGGTCCAAATATCCACTTGCAGATTCTACAAAAAGAGTGTTTGAAAGCTGAACTATGAAAGCAAGGTTCAACTCTGTGAGTTGAATGCAAACATCACAAAGAAGTTTCTCAGAATGCTACCGTGTAGTTCTGGGAAGTTTATCCCGTTTCCAACGAAATCCTCAGAGAGGTCCAAATATCCACTTGCAGATTCTACAGAAAGTGTGTTTGGAATCTGCTCCATCTAAAGGAATGTTCAGCTCTGTTAGTTCAATCCAATGATCACTAAGAATTGTCTGTGAATGCTTCCGTTTGGTTTTTAGATGAAGTTATTTCCTTTACTACAGTAGGCCTCAAAGCAGTCCAAATCTCCAATCGCAGATTCTACAAAAAGATTGTTTACAACCTGCTCTATCTATAGGAATGTTCAACTCTGTGAGTCGAATGCAATCATCACAAAGTAGTTTCTGAGAATGCTTCCATCTAGTTTTTATGTGAAGATTTTCCTTTTCCACCACAGGCCTCAAAGCCCTCCAAATGTCCACTTGCAGATTCTAGAAAAAGAGGGTTTCAGAGCTGCTCTGTCAAGAGGAAAGTTCAATTCTTGAAGTGGAACACAAACATCACAAAGTAGTTTCTGAGAATGCTTCTGTTTAGTTTTTCTGTGAAGATGAACCCATTTCCAACGAAATCTTCACAGAGGTCCACATATCAACTTGCAGAATCCAAAGAAAGAGAGTTTCAAAACTGCTCCATCAACAGGATTGTTCACCTCTGTGAGTTGAATGCAGTCATCACAGGAAACATTCTGAGAATTCTTCTGTCTAGGTTTGATGTGAAGATATACCCGTTTCGAAGGAAGGCCACAAAGTGGTCCAAATATCCACTTGCAGATTCTACAAAAAGAGTGTTTGAAAGCTGAACTATGAAAGCAAGGTTCAACTCTGTGAGTTGAATGCAAACATCACAAAGAAGTTTCTCAGCATGCTTCCGTGTAGTTCTGGGAAGTTTATCCCGTTTCCAACGAAATCCTCAGAGAGGTCCAAATATCCACTTGCAGATTCTACAGAAAGTGTGTTTGGAAACTGCTCCATCTAAAGGAATGTTCAGCTCTGTTAGTTCAATCCAATGATCACTAAGAATTGTCTGTGAATGCTTCCGTTTGGTTTTTAGATGAAGTTATTTCCTTTACTACAGTAGGCCTCAAAGCAGTCCAAATCTCCAATCGCAGATTCTACAAAAAGATTGTTTACAACCTGCTCTATCTATAGGAATGTTCAACTATGTGAGTCGAATGCAATCATCACAAAGTAGTTTCTGAGAATGCTTCCATCTAGTTTTTATGTGAAGATTTTCCTTTTCCACCACAGGCCTCAAAGCCCTCCAAATGTCCACTTGCAGATTCTAGAAAAAGAGGGTTTCAGAGCTGCTCTGTCAAGAGGAAAGTTCAATTCTTGAAGTGGAACACAAACATCACAAAGCAGTTTCTGGGAATGCTCCTGTTTAGTTTTTCTGTGAAGATGAACCCGTTTCCAACGAAATCTTCACAGAGGTCCACATATCCACTTGCAGAATCCAAAGAAAGAGAGTTTCAAAACTGCTCCATCAGCAGGATTGTTCACCTCTGTGAGTTGAATGCAGTCATCACAGGAAACATTCTGAGAATGCTTCTGTCTAGGTTTGATGTGAAGATATACCCGTTTCGAAGGAAGGCCACAAAGTGGTCCAAATATCCACTTGCAGATTCTATAAAAAGAGTGTTTGAAAGCTGAACTATGAAAGCAAGGTTCAACTCTGTGAGTTGAATGCAAACATCACAAAGAAGTTTCTCACAATGCTTCCGTGTAGTTCTGGGAAGTTTATCCCGTTTCCAACGAAATCCTCAGAGAAGTCCAAATATCCACTTACAGATTCTACAGAAAGTGGGTTTGGAAACTACTCCATCTAAAGGAATGTTCAGCTCTGTTAGTTCAATCCAATGATCACTAAGTATTGTCTGTGAATGCTTCCGTTTGGTTTTTAGATGAAGTTATTTCCTTTACTACAGTAGGCCTCAAAGCAGTCCAAATCTCCAATCGCAGATTCTACAAAAAGATTGTTTACAACCTGCTCTATCTATAGGAATGTTCAACTCTGTGAGTCGAATGCAATCATCACAAAATAGTTTCTGAGAATGCTTCCATCTAGTTTTTATGTGAAGATTTTCCTTTTCCACCACAGGCCTCAAAGCCCTCCAAATGTCCACTTGCAGATTATAGAATAAGAGGATTTCAGAGCTGCTCTGTCAAGAGGAAAGTTCAATTCCTGAAGTGGAACACAAACATCACAAAGCAGTTTCTGAGAATGCTTCTGTTTAGTTTTTCTGTGAAGATGAACCCGTTTCCAACGAAATCTTCACAGAGGTCCACATATCCACTTGCAGAATCCAAAGAAAGAGAGTTTCAAAACTGCTCCATCAGCAGGATTGTTCACCTCTGTGAGTTGAATGCAGTCATCACAGGAAACATTCTGAGAATGCTTCGGTCTAGGTTTGATGTGAAGATATACCCGTTTCGAAGGAAGGCCACAAAGTGGTCCAAATATCCACTTGCAGATTCTACAAAAAGAGTGTTTGAAAGCTGAACTATGAAAGCATGGTTCAACTCTGTGAGTTGAATGCAAACATCACAAAGAAGTTTCTCAGCATGCTTCCGTGTAGTTCTGGGAAGTTTATCCCGTTTCCAACGAAATCCTCAGAGAAGTCCAAATATCCACTTGCAGATTCTACAGAAAGTGTGTTTGGAAACTGCGCCATCTAAAGGAATGTTCAGCTCTGTTAGTTCAATGCAATGATCACTAAGAATTGTCTGTGAATGCTTCCGTTTGGTTTTTAGATGAAGTTATTTCCTTTACTACAGTAGGCCTCAAAGCAGTCCAAATCTCCAATCGCAGATTCTACAAAAAGATTGTTTACAACCTGCTCTATCTATAGGAATGTTCAACTCTGTGAGTCGAATGCAATCATCACAAAGTAGTTTCTGAGAATGCTTCCATCTAGTTTTTATGTGAAGATTTTCCTTTTCCACCACAGGCCTCAAAGCCCTCCAAATGTCCACTTGCAGATTCTAGAATAAGAGGGTTTCAGAGCTGCTCTGTCAAGAGGAAAGTTCAATTCCTGAAGTGGAACACAAACATCACAAAGCAGTTTCTGAGAATGCTCCTGTTTAGTTTTTCTGTGAAGATGAACCCGTTTCCAACGAAATCTTCACAGAGGTCCACATATCAACTTGCAGAATCCAAAGAAAGAGAGTTTCAAAACTGCTCCATTGACAGGATTGTTCACCTCTGTGAGTTGAATGCAGTCATCACAGGAAACATTCTGAGAATGCTTCTGTCTAGGTTTGATGTGAAGATATACCCGTTTCGAAGGAAGGCCACAAAGTGGTCCAAATATCCACTTGCAGATTCTACAAAAAGAGTGTTTGAAAGCTGAACTATGAAAGCAAGGTTCAACTCTGTGAGTTGAATGCAAACATCACAAAGAAGTTTCTCAGAATGCTTCCCTGTAGTTCTGGGAAGTTTATCCCGTTTCCAACGAAATCCTCAGAGAAGTCCAAATATCCACTTGCAGATTCTACAGAAAGTGGGTTTGGAAACTGCGCCATCTAAAGGAATGTTCAGCTCTGTTAGTTCAATCCAATGATCACTAAGAATTGTCTGTGAATGCTTCCGTTTGGTTTTTAGATGAAGTTATTTCCTTTACTACAGTAGGCCTCAAAGCAGTCCAAATCTCCAATCGCAGATTCTACAAAAAGATTGTTTACAACCTGCTCTATCTATAGGAATGTTGAACTCTGTGAGTCGAATGCAATCATCACAAAGTAGTTTCTGAGAATGCTTCCATCTAGTTTTTATGTGAAGAGTTTCCTTTTCCACCACAGGCCTCAAAGCCCTCCAAATGTCCACTTGCAGATTCTAGAAAAAGAGGGTTTCAGAGCTGCTCTGTCAAGAGGAAAGTTCAATTCCTGAAGTGGAACACAAACATCACAAAGCAGTTTCTGAGAATGCTCCTGTTTAGTTTTTCTGTGAAGATGAACCCGTTTCCAACGAAATCTTCACAGAGGTCCACATATCCACTTGCAGAATCCAAAGAAAGAGAGTTTCAAAACTGCTCCATCAGCAGGATTGTTCACCTCTGTGAGTTGAATGCAGTCATCACAGGAAACATTCTGAGAATGCTTCTGTCTAGGTTTGATGTGAAGATATAGCCGTTTCGAAGGAAGGCCACAAAGTGGTCCAAATATCCACTTGCAGATTCTACAAAAAGAGTGTTTGAAAGCTGAACTATGAAAGCAAGGTTCAACTCTGTGAGTTGAATGCAAACATCACAAAGAAGTTTCTCACAATGCTTCCGTGTAGTTCTGGGAAGTTTATCCCGTTTCCAACGAAATCCTCAGACAAGTCCAAATATCCACTTGCAGATTCTACAGAAAGTGTGTTTGGAAACTGCTCCATCTAAAGGAATGTTCAGCTCTGTTAGTTCAATGCAATGATCACTAAGAATTGTCTGTGAATGCTTCCGTTTGGTTTTTAGATGAAGTTATTTCCTTTACTACAGTAGGCCTCAAAGCAGTCCAAATCTCCAATCGCAGATTCTACAAAAAGATTGTTTACAACCTGCTCTATCTATAGGAATGTTCAACTCTGTGAGTCGAATGCAATCATCACAAAGTAGTTTCTGAGAATGCTTCCATCTAGTTTTTATGTGAAGAGTTTCCTTTTCCACCACAGTCCTCAAAGCCCTCCAAATGTCCACTTGCAGATTCTAGAAAAAGAGGGTTTCAGAGCTGCTCTGTCAAGAGGAAAGTTCAATTCCTGAAGTGGAACACAAACATCACAAAGCAGTTTCTGAGAATGCTCCTGTTAATTTTTCTGTGAAGATGAACCCGTTTCCAACGAAATCTTCACAGAGTTCCACATATCCACTTGCAGAATCAAAAGAAAGGGAGTTTCAAAACGGCTCCATCAACAGGATTGTTCACCTCTGTGAGTTGAATGCAGTCATCACAGGAAACATTCTGAGAATGCTTCTGTCTAGGTTTGATGTGAAGATATACCCGTTTCGAAGGAAGGCCACAAAGTGGTCCAAATATCCACTTGCAGATTCTACAAAAAGAGTGTTTGAGAGCTGAACTATGAAATCAAGGTTCAACTCTGTGTGTTGAATGCAAACATCACAAAGAAGTTTCTCAGAATGCTTCCGTGTAGTTCTGGGAAGTTTATCCCGTTTCCAACGAAATCCTCAGAGAAGTCCAAATATCCACTTGCAGATTCTACAGAAAGTGTGTTTGGAAACTGCGCCATCTAAAGGAATGTTCAGCTCTGTTAGTTCAATGCAATGATCACTAAGAATTGTCTGTGAATGCTTCGGTTTGGTTTTTAGCTGAAGTTATTTCCTTTACTACAGTAGGCCTCAAAGCAGTCCAAATCTCCAATCGCAGATTCTACAAAAAGATTGTTTACAACCTGCTCTATCTATAGGAATGTTCAACTCTGTGAGTCGAATGCAATCATCACAAAGTAGTTTCTGAGAATGCTTCCATCTAGTTTTTATGTGAAGATTTTCCTTTTCCACCACAGGCCTCAAAGCCCTCCAAATGTCCACTTGCAGATTCTAGAATAAGAGGGTTTCAGAGCTGCTCTGTCAAGAGGAAAGTTCAATTCCTGAAGTGGAACACAAACATCACAAAGCAGTTTCTGAGAATGCTTCTGTTTAGTTTTTCTGTGAAGATGAACCCGTTTCCAACGAAATCTTCACAGAGGTCCACATATCCACTTGCAGAATCCAAAGAAAGAGAGTTTCAAAACTGCTCCATCAGCAGGATTGTTCACCTCTGTGAGTTGAATGCAGTCATCACAGGAAACATTCTGAGAATGCTTCTGTCTAGGTTTGATGTGAAGATATACCCGTTTCGAAGGAAGGCCACAAATTGGTCCAAATATCCACTTGCAGATTCTACAAAAAGAGTGTTTGAAAGCTGAACTATGAAAGCAAGGTTCAACTCTGTGAGTTGAATGCAAACATCACAAAGAAGTTTCTCAGAATACTTCCGTGTAGTTCTGGGAAGTTTATCCCGTTTCCAACGAAATCCTCAGAGAGGTCCAAATATCCACTTGCAGATTCTACAGAAAGTGTGTTTGGAAACTGCGCCATCTAAAGGAATGTTCAGCTCTGTTAGTTCAATGCAATGATCACTAAGAATTGTCTGTGAATGCTTCCGTTTGGTTTTTAGATGAAGTTATTTCCTTTACTACAGTAGGCCTCAAAGCAGTCCAAATCTCCAATCGCAGATTCTACAAAAAGATTGTTTACAACCTGCTCTATGTATAGGAATGTTCAACTCTGTGAGTCGAATGCAATCATCACAAAGTAGTTTCTGAGAATGCTTCCATCTAGTTTTTATGTGAAGATTTTCCTTTTCCACCACAGGCCTCAAAGCCCTCCAAATGTCCACTTGCAGATTCTGGAAAAAGAGGGTTTCAGAGCTGCTCTGTCAAGAGGAAAGTTCAATTCTTGAAGGTGGAACACAAACATCACAAAGTAGTTTCTGAGAATGCTTCTGTTTAGTTTTTCTGTGAAGATGAACCCGTTTCCAACGAAATCTTCACAGAGGTCCACATATCCACTTGTAGAATCCAAAGAAAGAGAGTTTCAAAACTGCTCCATCAGCAGGATTGTTCACCTCTGTGAGTTGAATGCAGTCATCACAGGAAACATTCTGAGAATGCTTCTGTCTAGGTTTGATGTGAAGATATACCCGTTTCGAAGGAAGGCCAGAAAGTGGTCCAAATATCCACTTGCAGATTCTACAAAAAGAGTGTTTGAAAGCTGAACTATGAAAGCAAGGTTCAACTCTGTGAGTTGAATGCAAACATCACAAAGAAGTTTCTCAGAATGCTTCCGTGTAGTTCTGGGAAATTTATCCCATTTCCAACGAAATCCTCAGAGAGGTCCAAATATCCACTTGCAGATTCTACAGAAAGTGTGTTTGGAAACTGCGCCATCTAAAGGAATGTTCAGCTCTGTTAGTTCAATCCAATGATCACTAAGAATTGTCTGTGAATGCTTCCGTTTGGTTTTTAGATGAAGTTATTTCCTTTACTACAGTAGGCCTCAAAGCAGTCCAAATCTCCAATCGCAGATTCTACAAAAAGATTGTTTACAACCTGCTCTATCTATAGGAATGTTCAACTCTGTGAGTCGAATGCAATCATCACAAAGTAGTTTCTGAGAATGCTTCCATCTAGTTTTTATGTGAAGATTTTCCTTTTCCACCACAGGCCTCAAAGCCCTCCAAATGTCCACTTGCAGATTCTAGAATAAGAGGGTTTCAGAGCTGCTCTGTCAAGAGGAAAGTTCAATTCCTGAAGTGGAACACAAACATCACAAAGCAGTTTCTGAGAATGCTTCTGTTTAGTTTTTCTGTGAAGATGAACCCGTTTCCAACGAAATCTTCACAGAGGTCCACATATCCACTTGCAGAATCCAAAGAAAGCGAGTTTCAAAACTGCTCCATCAGCAGGATTGTTCACCTTCTGTGAGTTGAATGCAGTCATCACAGGAAACATTCTGAGAATGCTTCTGTCTAGGTTTGATGTGAAGATATACCCGTTTCGAAGGAAGGCCACAAAGTGGTCCAAATATCCACTTGCAGATTCTACAAAAAGAGTGTTTGAAAGCTGAACTAAGAAATTCAACTCTGTGAGTTGAATGCAAACATCACAAAGAAGTTTCTCAGAATGCTTCCGTGTAGTTCTGGGAAGTTTATCCCGTTTCCAACGAAATCCTCAGAGAGGTCCAAATATCCACTTGCAGATTCTACAGAAAGTGTGTTTGGAAACTGCTCCATCTAAAGGAATGTTCAGCTCTGTTAGTTCAATCCAATGATCACTAAGAATTGTCTGTGAATGCTTCCGTTTGGTTTTTAGATGAAGTTATTTCCTTTACTACAGTAGGCCTCAAAGCAGTCCAAATCTCCAATCTCAGATTCTACAAAAAGATTGTTTACAACCTGCTCTATCTATAGGAATGTTCAACTCTGTGAGTCGAATGCAATCATCACAAAGTAGTTTGCTGAGAATGCTTCCATCTAGTTTTTATGTGAAGATTTTCCTTTTCCACCACAGGCCTCAAAGCCCTCCAAATGTCCACTTGCAGATTCTAGAAAAAGAGGGTTTCAGAGCTGCTCTGTCAAGAGGAAAGTTCAATTCTTGAAGTGGAACACAAACATCACAAAGCAGTTTCTGAGAATGCTTCTGTTTAGTTTTTCTGTGAAGATGAACCCGTTTCCAACGAAATCTTCACAGAGGACCACATATTCACTTGCAGAATCCAAAGAAGGAGAGTTTCAAAAGTGCTCCATCAGCAGGATTGTTCACCTCTGTGAGTTGAATGCAGTCATCACAGGAAACATTCTGAGAATGCTTCTGTCTAGGTTTGATGTGAAGATATACCCGTTTCGAAGGAAGGCCACAAAGTGGTCCAAATATCCACTTGCAGATTCTACAAAAAGAGTGTTTGAAAGCTGAACTATGAAAGCAAGGTTCAACTCTGTGAGTTGAATGCAAACATCACAAAGAAGTTTCTCAGAATGCTTCCGTGTAGTTCTGGGAAGTTTATCCCGTTTCCAACGAAATCCTCAGAGAGGTCCAAATATCCACTTGCAGATTCTACAGAAAGTGTGTTTGGAAACTGCGCCATCTAAAGGAATGTTCAGCTCTGTTAGTTCAATCCAATAATCACTAAGAATTGTGCTGTGAATGCTTCCGTTTGGTTTTTAGATGAAGTTATTTCCTTTACTACAGTAGGCCTCAAAGCAGTCCAAATCTCCAATCGCAGATTCTACAAAAAGATTGTTTACAACCTGCTCTATCTATAGGAATGTTCAACTCTGTGAGTCGAATGCAATCATCACAAAGTAGTTTCTGAGAATGCTTCCATCTAGTTTTTATGTGAAGATTTTCCTTTTCCACCACAGGCCTCAAAGCCCTCCAAATGTCCACTTGCAGAGTCTAGAAAAAGAGGGTTTCAGAGCTGCTCTGTCAAGAGGAAAGTTCAATTCCTGAAGTGGAACACAAACATCACAAAGCAGTTTCTGAGAATGCTTCTGTTTAGTTTTTCTGTGAAGATGAACCCGTTTCCAACGAAATCTTCACAGAGGTCCACATATCCACTTGCAGAATCCAAAGAAAGAGAGTTTCAAAACTGCTCCATCAACAGGATTGTTCACCTCTGTGAGTTGAATGCAGTCATCACAGGAAACATTCTGAGAATGCTTCTGTCTAGGTTTGATGTGAAGATATACCCGTTTCGAAGGAAGGCCACAAAGTGGTCCAAATATCCACTTGCAGATTCTACAAAAAGAGTGTTTGAAAGCTGAACTATGAAAGCAAGGTTCAACTCTGTGAGTTGAATGCAAACATCACAAAGAAGTTTCTCACAATGCTTCCGTGTAGTTCTGGGAAGTTTATCCCGTTTCCAACGAAATCCTCAGAGAAGTCCAAATATCCACTTGCAGATTCTACAGAAAGTGTGTTTGGAAACTGCTCCATCTAAAGGAATGTTCAGCTCTGTTAGTTCAATCCAATGATCACTAAGAATTGTCTGTGAATGCTTCCGTTTGGTTTTTAGATGAAGTTATTTCCTTTACTACAGTAGGCCTCAAAGCAGTCCAAATCTCCAATCGCAGATTCTACAAAAAGATTGTTTACAACCTGCTCTATCTATAGGAATGTTCAACTCTGTGAGTCGAATGCAATCATCACAAAGTAGTTTCTGAGAATGCTTCCATCTAGTTTTTATGTGAAGATTTTCCTTTTCCACCACAGGCCTCAAAGCCCTCCAAATGTCCACTTGCAGATTCTAGAAAAAGAGGGTTTCAGAGCTGCTCTGTCAAGAGGAAAGTTCAATTCTTGAAGTGGAACACAAACATCACAAAGCAGTTTCTGAGAATGCTTCTGTTTAGTTTTTCTGTGAAGATGAACCCGTTTCCATCGAAATCTTCACAGAGGTCCACATATCCACTTGCAGAATCCAAAGAAAGAGAGTTTCAAAACTGCTCCATCAGCAGGATTGTTCACCTCTGTGAGTTGAATGCAGTCATCACAGGAAACATTCTGAGAATGCTTCTGTCTAGGTTTGATGTGAAGATATACCCGTTTCGAAGGAAGGCCACAAAGTGGTCCAAATATCCACTTGCAGATTCTACAAAAAGAGTGTTTGAAAGCTGAACTATGAAAGCATGGTTCAACTCTGTGAGTTGAATGCAAACATCACAAAGAAGTTTCTCAGCATGCTTCCGTGTAGTTCTGGGAAGTTTATCCCGTTTCCAACGAAATCCTCAGAGAAGTCCAAATATCCACTTGCAGATTCTACAGAAAGTGTGTTTGGAAACTGCGCCATCTAAAGGAATGTTCAGCTCTGTTAGTTCAATGCAATGATCACTAAGAATTGTCTGTGAATGCTTCCGTTTGGTTTTTAGATGAAGTTATTTCCTTTACTACAGTAGGCCTCAAAGCAGTCCAAATCTCCAATCGCAGATTCTACAAAAAGATTGTTTACAACCTGCTCTATCTATAGGAATGTTCAACTCTGTGAGTCGAATGCAATCATCACAAAGTAGTTTCTGAGAATGCTTCCATCTAGTTTTCATGTGAAGATTTTCCTTTTCCACCACAGGCCTCAAAGCCCTCCAAATGTCCACTTGCAGATTCTAGATAAAGAGGGTTTCAGAGCTGCTCTGTCAAGAGGAAAGTTCAATTCCTGAAGTGGAACACAAACATCACAAAGCAGTTTCTGAGAATGCTCCTGTTTAGTTTTTCTGTGAAGATGAACCCGTTTCCAACGAAATCTTCACAGAGGTCCACATATCCACTTGCAGAATCCAAAGAAAGAGAGTTTCAAAACTGCTCCATCAACAGGATTGTTCACCTCTGTGAGTTGAATGCAGTCATCACAGGAAACATTCTGAGAATGCTTCTGTCTAGGTTTGATGTGAAGATATACCCGTTTCGAAGGAAGGCCACAAAGTGGTCCAAATATCCACTTGCAGATTCTACAAAAAGAGTGTTTGAAAGCTGAACTATGAAAGCAAGGTTCAACTCTGTGAGTTGAATGCAAACATCACAAAGAAGTTTCTCAGAATACTTCCGTGTAGTTCTGGGAAGTTTATCCCGTTTCCAACGAAATCCTCAGAGAGGTCCAAATATCCACTTGCAGATTCTACAGAAAGTGTGTTTGGAAACTGCGCCATCTAAAGGAATGTTCAGCTCTGTTAGTTCAATGCAATGATCACTAAGAATTGTCTGTGAATGCTTCCGTTTGGTTTTTAGATGAAGTTATTTCCTTTACTACAGTAGGCCTCAAAGCAGTCCAAATGTCCAATCGCAGATTCTACAAAAAGATTGTTTACAACCTGCTCTATCTATAGGAATGTTCAACTCTGTGAGTCGAATGCAATCATCACAAAGTAGTTTCTGAGAATGCTTCCATCTAGTTTTTATGTGAAGATTTTCCTTTTCCACCACAGGCCTCAAAGCCCTCCAAATGTCCACTTGCAGATTCTAGAATAAGAGGGTTTCAGAGCTGCTCTGTCAAGAGGAAAGTTCAATTCCTGAAGTGGAACACAAACATCACAAAGCAGTTTCTGAGAATGCTCCTGTTTAGTTTTTCTGTGAAGATGAACCCGTTTCCAACGAAATCTTCACAGAGGTCCACATATCCACTTGCAGAATCCAAAGAAAGAGAGTTTCAAAACTGCTCCATCAGCAGGATTGTTCACCTCTGTGAGTTGAATGCAGTCATCACAGGAAACATTCTGAGAATGCTTCTGTCTAGGTTTGATGTGAAGATATACCCGTTTCGAAGGAAGGCCACAAAGTGGTCCAAATATCCACTTGCAGATTCTACAAAAAGAGTGTTTGAAAGCTGAACTATGAAAGCAAGGTTCAACTCTGTGAGTTGAATGCAAACATCACAAAGAAGTTTCTCACAATGCTTCCGTGTAGTTCTGGGAAGTTTATCCCGTTTCCAACGAAATCCTCAGAGAAGTCCAAATATCCACTTGCAGATTCTACAGAAAGTGTGTTTGGAAACTGCGCCATCTAAAGGAATGTTCAGCTCTGTTAGTTCAATGCAATGATCACTAAGAATTGTCTGTGAATGCTTCCGTTTGGTTTTTAGGTGAAGTTATCTCCTTTACTACAGTAGGCCTCAAAGCAGTCCAAATCTCCAATCGCAGATTCTACAAAAAGATTGTTTACAACCTTCTCTATCTATAGGAATGTTCAACTCTGTGAGTCGAATGCAATCATCACAAAGTAGTTTCTGAGAATGCTTCCATCTAGTTTTTATGTGAAGATTTTCCTTTTCCTCCACAGGCCTCAAAGCCCTCCAAATGTCCACTTGCAGATTCTAGAAAAAGAGGGTTTCAGAGCTGCTCTCTCAAGAGGAATGTTCAATTCCTGAAGTGGAACACAAACATCACAAAGCAGTTTCTGAGAATGCTCCTGTTTAGTTTTTCTGTGAAGATGAACCCGTTTCCAACGAAATCTTCACAGAGGTCCACATATCCACTTGCAGAATCCAAAGAAAGAGAGTTTCAAAACTGCTCCATCAGCAGGATTGTTCACCTCTGTGAGTTGAATGCAGTCATCACAGGAAACATTCTGAGAATGCTTCTGTCTAGGTTTGATGTGAAGATATACCCGTTTCGAAGGAAGGCCACAAAGTGGTCCAAATATCCACTTGCAGATTTTACAAAAAGAGTGTTTGAAAGCTGAACTATGAAAGCAAGGTTCAACTCTGTGAGTTGAATGCAAACATCACAAAGAAGTTTCTCAGAATGCTTCCGTGTAGTTCTGGGAAGTTTATCCCTTTTCCAACGAAATCCTCAGAGAGGTCCAAATATCCACTTGCAGATTCTACAGAAAGTGTGTTTGGAAACTGCTCCATCTAAAGGAATGTTCAGCTCTGTTAGTTCAATCCAATGATCACTAAGAATTGTCTGTGAATGCTTCCGTTTGGTTTTTAGATGAAGTTATTTCCTTTACTACAGTAGGCCTCAAAGCAGTCCAAATCTCCAATCGCAGATTCTACATAAAGATTGTTTACAACCAGCTCTATCTATAGGAATGTTCAACTCTGTGAGTCGAACGCAATCATCACAAAGTAGTTTCTGAGAATGCTTCCATCTAGTTTTCATGTGAAGATTTTCCTTTTCCACCACAGGCCTCAAAGCCCTCCAAATGTCCACTTGCAGATTCTAGAAAAAGAGGGTTTCAGAGCTGCTCTGTCAAGAGGAAAGTTCAATTCTTGAAGTGGAACACAAACATCACAAAGCAGTTTCTGAGAATGCTCCTGTTTAGTTTTTCTGTGAAGATGAACCCGTTTCCAACGAAATCTTCACAGAGGTCCACATATCCACTTGCAGAATCCAAAGAAAGAGAGTTTCAAAACTGCTCCATCAACAGGATTGTTCATCTCTGTGAGTTGAATGCAGTCATCACAGGAAACATTCTGAGAATGCTTCTGTCTAGGTTTGATGTGAGGATATACCCGTTTCGAAGGAAGGCCACAAAGTGGTCCAAATATCCACTTGCAGATTCTACAAAAAGAGTGTTTGAAAGCTGAACTATGAAAGCAAGGTTCAACTCTGTGAGTTGAATGCAAACATCACAAAGAAGTTTCTCAGAATGCTTCCGTGTAGTTCTGGGAAGTTTATCCCGTTTCCAACGAAATCCTCAGAGAAGTCCAAATATCCACTTGCAGATTCTACAGAAAGTGGGTTTGGAAACTGCTCCATCTAAAGGAATGTTCAGCTCTGTTAGTTCAATGCAATGATCACTAAGAATTGTCTGTGAATGCTTCCGTTTGGTTTTTAGATGAAGTTATTTCCTTTACTACAGTAGGCCTCAAAGCAGTCCAAATCTCCAATCGCAGATTCTACAAAAAGATTGTTTTCAACCTGCTCTATCTATAGGAATGTTCAACTCTGTGAGTCGAATGCAATCATCACAAAGTAGTTTCTGAGAATGCTTCCATCTAGTTTTTATGTGAAGATTTTCCTTTTCCACCACAGGCCTCAAAGCCCTCCAAATGTCAACTTGCAGATTCTAGAATAAGAGGGTTTCAGAGCTGCTCTGTCAAGAGGAAAGTTCAATTCCTGAAGTGGAACACAAACATGACAAAGCAGTTTCTGAGAATGCTTCTGTTTAGTTTTTCTGTGAAGATGAACCCGTTTCCAACGAAATCTTCACAGAGGTCCACATATCCACTTGCAGAATCCAAAGAAAGAGAGTTTCAAAACTGCTCCATCAGCAGGATTGTTCACCTCTGTGAGTTGAATGCAGTCATCACAGGAAACATTCTGAGAATGCTTCTGTCTAGGTTTGATGTGAAGATATAGCCGTTTCGAAGGAAGGCCACAAAGTGGTCCAAATATCCACTTGCAGATTCTACAAAAAGAGTGTTTGAAAGCTGAACTATGAAAGCAAGGTTCAACTCTGTGAGTTGAATGCAAACATCACAAAGAAGTTTCTCAGCATGCTTCCGTGTAGTTCTGGGAAGTTTATCCCGTTTCCAACGAAATCCTCAGAGAGGTCCAAATATCCACTTGCAGATTCTACAGAAAGTGTGTTTGGAAACTGCGCCATCTAAAGCAATGTTCAGCTCTGTTAGTTCAATGCAATGATCACTAAGAATTGTCTGTGAATGCTTCCGTTTGGTTTTTAGATGAAGTTATTTCCTTTACTACAGTAGGCCTCAAAGCAGTCCAAATCTCCAATCGCAGATTCTACAAAAAGATTGTTTACAACCTGCTCTATCTATAGGAATGTTCAACTCTGTGAGTCGAATGCAATCATCACAAAGTAGTTTCTGAGAATGCTTCCATCTAGTTTTTATGTGAAGATTTTCCTTTTCCACCACAGGCCTCAAAGCCCTCCAAATGTCCACTTGCAGATTCTAGAAAAAGAGGGTTTCAGAGCTGCTCTGTCAAGAGGAAAGTTCAATTCTTGAAGTGGAACACAAACATCACAAAGCAGTTTCTGAGAATGCTCCTGTAATTTTTTCTGTGAAGATGAACCCGTTTCCAACGAAATCTTCACAGAGGTCCACATATCCACCTGCAGAATCCAAAGAAAGAGAGTTTCAAAACTGCTCCATCAGCAGGATTGTTCACCTCGTGAGTTGAATGCAGTCATCACAGGAAACATTCTGAGAATGCTTCTGTCTAGGTTTGATGTGAAGATATAACCGTTTCGAAGGAAGGCCACAATGTGGTCCAAATATCCACTTGCAGATTCTACAAAAAGAGTGTTTGAAAGCTGAACTATGAAAGCAAGGTTCAACTCTGTGAGTTGAATGCAAACATCACAAAGAAGTTTCTCAGAATACTTCCGTGTAGTTCTGGGAAGTTTATCCCGTTTCCAACGAAATCCTCAGAGAGGTCCAAATATCCACTTGCAGATTCTACAGAAAGTGTGTTTGGAAACTGCGCCATCTAAAGGAATGTTCAGCTCTGTTAGTTCAATCCAATGATCACTGAGAATTGTCTGTGAATGCTTCCGTTTGGTTTTTAGATGAAGTTATTTCCTTTACTACAGTAGGCCTCAAAGCAGTCCAAATCTCCAATCGCAGATTCTACAAAAAGATTGTTTACAACCTGCTCTATCTATAGGAATGTTCAACTCTGTGTGTCGAATGCAATCATCACAAAGTAGTTTCTGAGAATGCTTCAATCTAGTTTTTATGTGAAGATTTTCCTTTTCCACCACAGGCCCCAAAGCCCTCGAAATGTCCACTTGCAGATTCTAGAAAAAGAGGGTTTCAGAGCTGCTCTGTCAAGAGGAAAGTTCAATTCTTGAAGTGGAACACAAACGTCACAAAGCAGTTTCTGAGAATGCTTCTGTTTAGTTTTTCTGTGAAGATGAACCCGTTTCCAACGAAATCTTCACAGAGGTCCACATATCCACTTGCAGAATCCAAAGAAAGAGAGTTTCAAAACTGCTCCATCAACAGGATTGTTCACCTCTGTGAGTTGAATGCAGTCATCACAGGAAACATTCTGAGAATGCTTCTGTCTAGGTTTGATGTGAAGATATACCCGTTTCGAAGGAAGGCCACAAAGTGGTCCAAATATCCACTTGCAGATTCTACAAAAAGAGTGTTTGAAAGCTGAACTATGAAAGCAAGGTTCAACTCTGTGAGTTGAATGCAAACATCACAAAGAAGTTTCTCAGAATGCTTCCGTGTAGTTCTGGGAAGTTTATCCCTTTTCCAACGAAATCCTCAGAGAGGTCCAAATATCCACTTGCAGATTCTACAGAAAGTGTGTTTGGAAACTGCGCCATCTAAAGGAATGTTCAGCTCTGTTAGTTCAATCCAATGATCACTAAGAATTGTCTGAGAATGCTTCCGTTTGGTTTTTAGATGAAGTTATTTCCTTTACTACAGTAGGCCTCAAAGCAGTCCAAATCTCCAATCGCAGATTCTACAAAAACATTGTTTACAACCTGCTCTATCTATAGGAATGTTCAACTCTGTGAGTCGAATGCAATCATCACAAAGTAGTTTCTGAGAATGCTTCCATCTAGTTTTTATGTGAAGATTTTCCTTTTCCACCACAGGCCTCAACGCCCTCCTAATATCCACTTGCAGATTCTAGAATAAGAGGGTTTCAGAGCTGCTCTGTCAAGAGGAAAGTTCAATTCCTGAAGTGGAACACAAACATCACAAAGCAGTTTCTGAGAATGCTTCTGTTTAGTTTTTCTGTGAAGATGAACCCGTTTCCAACGAAATCTTCACAGAGGTCCACATATCCACTTGCAGAATCCAAAGAAAGAGAGTTTCAAAACTGCTCCATCAGCAGGATTGTTCACCTCTGTGAGTTGAATGCAGTCATCACAGGAAACATTCTGAGAATGCTTCTGTCTAGGTTTGATGTGAAGATATACCCGTTTCAAAGGAAGGCCACAAAGTGGTCCAAATATCCACTTGCAGATTCTACAAAAAGAGTGTTTGAAAGCTGAACTATGAAAGCAAGGTTCAACTCTGTGAGTTGAATGCAAACATCACAAAGAAGTTTCTCACAATGCTTCCGTGTAGTTCTGGGAAGTTTATCCCGTTTCCAACGAAATCCTCAGAGAAGTCCAAATATCCACTTGCAGATTCTACAGAAAGTGGGTTTGGAAACTGCTCCATCTAAAGGAATGTTCAGCTCTGTTAGTTCAATCCAATGATCACTAAGAATTGTCTGTGAATGCTTCCGTTTGGTTTTTAGATGAAGTTATTTCCTTTACTACAGTAGGCCTCAAAGCAGTCCAAATCTCCAATCGCAGATTCTACAAAAACATTGTTTACAACCTGCTCTATCTATAGGAATGTTCAACTCTGTGAGTCGAATGCAATCATCACAAAGTAGTTTCTGAGAATGCTTCCATCTAGTTTTTATGTGAAGATTTTCCTTTTCCACCACAGGCCTCAAAGCCCTCCAAATGTCCACTTGCAGATTCTAGAATAAGAGGGTTTCAGAGCTGCTCTGTCAAGAGGAAAGTTCAATTCCTGAAGTGGAACACAAACATCACAAAGCAGTTTCTGAGAATGCTTCTGTTTAGTTTTTCTGTGAAGATGAACCCGTTTCCAACGAAATCTTCACAGAGGTCCACATATCCACTTGCAGAATCCAAAGAAAGAGAGTTTCAAAACTGCTCCATCAGCAGGATTGTTCACCTCTGTGAGTTGAATGCAGTCATCACAGGAAACATTCTGAGAATGCTTCTGTCTAGGTTTGATGTGAAGATATACCCGTTTCGAAGGAAGGCCACAAAGTGGTCCAAATATCCACTTGCAGATTCTACAAAAAGAGGGTTTGAAAGCTGAACTATGAAAGCAAGGTTCAACTCTGTGAGTTGAATGCAAACATCACAAAGAAGTTTCTCAGAATGCTTCCGTGTAGTTCTGGGAAGTTTATCCCGATTCCAAAGAAATCCTCAGAGAAGTCCAAATATCCACTTGCAGATTCTACAGAAAGTGTGTTTGGAAACTGCTCCATCTAAAGGAATATTCAGCTCTGTTAGTTCAATCCAATGATCACTAAGAATTGTCTGTGAATGCTTCCGTTTGGTTTTTAGATGGAGTTATTTCCTTTACTACAGTAGGCCTCAAAGCAGTCCAAATCTCCAATCGCAGATTCTACAAAAAGATTGTTTACAACCTGCTCTATCTATAGGAATGTTCAACTCTGTGAGTCGAATGCAATTCTCACAAAGTAGTTTCTGAGAATGCTTCCATCTAGTTTTTATGTGAAGAGTTTCCTTTTCCACCACAGGCCTCAAAGCCATCCAAATGTATACTTGCAGATTCTAGAAAAAGAGGGTTTCAGAGCTGCTCTGTCAAGAGGAAAGTTCAATTCTTGAAGTGGAACACAAACATCACAAAGCAGTTTCTGAGAATGCTCCTGTTTAGTTTTTCTGTGAAGATGAACCCGTTTCCAACGAAATCTTCACAGAGGTCCACATATCCACTTGCAGAATCCAAAGAAAGAGAGTTTCAAAACTGCTCCATCATCAGGATTGTTCACCTCTGTGAGTTGAATGCAGTCATCACAGGAAACATTCTGAGAATGCTTCTGTCTAGGTTTGATGTGAAGATATACCCGTTTCGAAGGAAGGCCTCAAAGTGGTCCAAATATCCACTTGCAGATTCTACAAAAAGAGTGTTTGAAAGCTGAACTATGAAAGCAAGGTTCAACTCGTGTGAGTTGAATGCAAACATCACTAAGAAGTTTCTCAGAATACTTCCGTGTAGTTCTGGGAAGTTTAGCCCGTTTCCAAAGAAATCCTCAGAGAGGTCCAAATATCCACTTGCAGATTCTACAGACAGTGTGTTTGGAAACTGCTCCATCTAAAAGAATGTTCAGCTCTGTTAGTTCAATCCAATGATCACTAAGAATTGTCTGTGAATGCTTCCGTTTGGTTTTTAGATGAAGTTATTTCCTTTACTACAGTAGGCCTCAAAGCAGTCCAAATCTCCAATCGCAGATTCTACAAAAAGATTGTTTACAACCTGCTCTATCTATAGGAATGTTCAACTCTGTGAGTCGAATGCAATCATCACAAAGTAGTTTCTGAGAATGCTTCCATCTAGTTTTTATGTGAAGATTTTCCTTTTCCACCACAGGCCTCAAAGCCCTCCAAATGTCCACTTGCAGATTCTAGAAAAAGAGGGTTTCAGAGCTGCTCTGTCAAGAGGAAAGTTCAATTCTTGAAGTGGAACACAAACATCACAAAGCAGTTTCTGAGAATGCTCCTGTTTAGTTTTTCTGTGAAGATGAACCCGTTTCCAACGAAATCTTCACAGAGGTCCACATATCCACTTGCAGAATCCAAAGAAAGAGAGTTTCAAAACTGCTCCATCAGCAGGATTGTTCACCTCTGTGAGTTGAATGCAGTCATCACAGGAAACATTCTGAGAATGCTTCTGTCTAGGTTTGATGTGAAGATATACCCGTTTCGAAGGAAGGCCACAAAGTGGTCCAAATATCCACTTGCAGATTCTACAAAAAGAGTGTTTGAAAGCTGAACTATGAAAGCAAGGTTCAACCCTGTGAGTTGAATGCAACCATCACAAAGAAGTTTCTCAGAATGCTTCCGTGTAGTTCTGGGAAGTTTATCCCGTTTCCAACGAAATCCTCAGAGAAGTCCAAATATCCACTTGCAGATTCAACAGAAAGTGTGTTTGGAAACTGCTCCATCTAAAGGAATGTTCAGCTCTGTTAGTTCAATCCAATGATCACTAAGAATTGTCTGTGAATGCTTCCGTTTGGTTTTTAGATGAAGTTATTTCCTTTACTACAGTAGGCCTCAAAGCAGTCCAAATCTCCAATCGCAGATTCTACAAAAAGATTGTTTACAACCTGCTCTATCTATAGGAATGTTCAACTCTGTGAGTCGAATGCAATCATCACAAAGTAGTTTCTGAGAATGCTTCCATCTAGTTTTTATGTGAAGGTTTTCCTTTTCCACCACAGGCCTCAAAGCCCTCCAAATGTCCACTTGCAGATTCTAGAATAACAGGGTTTCAGAGCTGCTCTGTCAAGAGGAAAGTTCAATTCCTGAAGTGGAACAAAAACATCACAAAGCAGTTTCTGAGAATGCTTCTGTTTAGTTTTTCTGTGAAGATGAACCCGTTTCCAACGAAATCTTCACAGAGGTCCACATATCCACTTGCAGAATCCAAAGAAAGAGAGTTTCAAAACTGCTCCATCAGCAGGATTGTTCACCTCTGTGAGTTGAATGCAGTCATCACAGGAAACATTCTGAGAATGCTTCTGTCTAGGTTTGATGTGAAGATATACCCGTTTCGAAGGAAGGCCACAAAGTGGTCCAAATATCCACTTGCAGATTCTACAAAAAGAGTGTTTGAAAGCTGAACTATGAAAGCAAGGTTCAACTCTGTGAGTTGAATGCAAACATCAAAAAGAAGTTTCTCAGCATGCTTCCGTGTAGTTCTGGGAAGTTTATCCCGTTTCCAACGAAATCCTCAGAGAGGTCCAAATATCCACTTGCAGATTCTACAGAAAGTGTGTTTGGAAACTGCGCCATCTAAAGGAATGTTCAGCTCTGTTAGTTCAATCCAATGATCACTAAGAATTGTCTGTGAATGCTTCCATTTGGTTTTTAGATGAAGTTATTTCCTTTACTACAGTAGGCCTCAAAGCAGTCCAAATCTCCAATCGCAGATTCTACAAAAAGATTGTTTACAACCTGCTCTATCTATAGGAATGTTCAACTCTGTGAGTCGAATGCAATCATCACAAAGTAGTTCCTGAGAATGCTTCCATCTAGTTTTTATGTGAAGATTTTCCTTTTCCACCACAGGCCTCAAAGCCCTCCAAATGTCCACTTGCAGATTCTAGAATAAGAGGGTTTGAGAGCTGCTCTGTCAAGAGGAAAGTTCAATTCCTGAAGTGGAACACAAACATCACAAAGCAGTTTCTGAGAATGCTCCTGTTTAGTTTTTCTGTGAAGATGAACCCGTTTCCAACGAAATCTTCACAGAGGTCCACATATCCACTTGCAGAATCCAAAGAAAGAGAGTTTCAAAACTGCTCCATCAGAAGGATTGTTCACCTCTGTGAGTTGAATGCAGTCATCACAGGAAACATTCTGAGAATGCTTCTGTCTAGGTTTGATGTGAAGATATACCCTTTTCAAAGGAAGGCCACAAAGTGGTCCAAATATCCACTTGCAGATTCTACAAAAAGAGTGTTTGAAAGCTGAACTATGAAAGCAAGGTTCAACTCTGTGAGTTGAATGCAAACATCACAAAGAAGTTTCTCACAATGCTTCCGTGTAGTTCTGGGAAGTTTATTCCGTTTCCAACGAAATCCTCAGAGAAGTCCAAATATCCACTTGCAGATTCTGCAGAAAGTGTGTTTGGAAACTGCTCCATCTAAAGGAATGTTCAGCTCTGTTAGTTCAATCCAATGATCACTAAGAATTGTCTGTGAATGCTTCCGTTTGGTTTTTAGATGAAGTTATTTCCTTTACTACAGTAGGCCTCAAAGCAGTCCAAATCTCCAATCGCAGATTCTACAAAAACATTGTTTACAACCTGCTCTATCTATAGTAATGTTCAACTCTGTGAGTCGAATGCAATCATCACAAAGTAGTTTCTGAGAATGCTTCCATCTAGTTTTTATGTGAAGATTTTCCTTTTCCACCACAGGCCGCAAAGCCCTCCAAATGTCCACTTGCAGATTCTAGAAAAAGAGGGTTTCAGAGCTGCTCTGTCAAGAAGAAAGTTCAATTCCTGAAGTGGAACACAAACATCACAAAGCAGTTTCTGAGAATGCTCCTGTTTAGTTTTTCTGTGAAGATGAACCCGTTTCCAACGAAATCTTCACAGAGGTCCACATATCCACTTGCAGAATCCAAAGAAAGAGAGTTTCAAAACTGCTCCATCAGCAGGATTGTTCACCTCTGTGAGTTGAATGCAGTCATCACAGGAAACATTCTGAGAATGCTTCTGTCTAGGTTTGATGTGAAGATATACCCGTTTCGAAGGAAGGCCACAAAGTGGTCCAAATATCCACTTGCAGATTCTACAAAAAGAGTGTTTGAAAGCTGAACTATGAAAGCAAGGTTCAACTCTGTGAGTTGAATGCAAACATCACAAAGAAGTTTCTCACAATGCTTCCGTGTAGTTCTGGGAAGTTTATCCCGTTTCCAACGAAATCCTCAGAGAAGTCCAAATATCCACTTGCAGATTCTACAGAAAGTGTGTTTGGAAACTGCTCCATCTAAAGGAATGTTCAGCTCTGTTAGTTCAATCCAATGATCACTAAGAATTGTCTGTGAATGCTTCCGTTTGGTTTTTAGATGAAGTTATTTCCTTTACTACAGTAGGCCTCAAAGCAGTCCAAATCTCCAATCGCAGATTCTACAAAAAGATTGTTTACCACCTGCTCTATCTATAGGAATGTTCAACTCTGTGAGTCGAATGCAATCATCACAAAGTAGTTTCTGAGAATGCTTCCATCTAGTTTTTATGTGAAGATTTTCCTTTTCCACCACAGGCCTCAAAGCCCTCCAAATGTCCACTTGCAGATTCTAGAATAAGAGGATTTCAGAGCTGCTCTGTCAAGAGGAAAGTTCAATTCCTGAAGTGGAACACAAACATCACAAAGCAGTTTCTGAGAATGCTTCTGTTTAGTTTTTCTGTGAAGATGAACCCGTTTCCAACGAAATCTTCACAGAGGTCCACATATCCACTTGCAGAATCCAAAGAAAGAGAGTTTCAAAACTGCTCCATCAGCAGGATTGTTCACCTCTGTGAGGTGAATGCAGTCATCACAGGAAACATTCTGAGAATGCTTCTGTCTAGGTTTGATGTGAAGATATACCCGTTTCGATGGAAGGCCACAAAGTGGTCCAAATATCCACTTGCAGATTCTACAAAAAGAGTGTTTGAAAGCTGAACTATGAAAGCAAGGTTCAACTCTGTGAGTTGAATGCAAACATCACAAAGAAGTTTCTCACAATGCTTCCGTGTAGTTCTGGGAAGCATATCCCGTTTCCAACGAAATCCTCAGAGAAGTCCAAATATCCACTTGCTGATTCTACAGAAAGTGGGTTTGGAAACTGCTCCATCTAAAGGAATGTTCAGCTCTGTTAGTTCCATCCAATGATCACTAAGAATTGTCTGTGAATGCTTCCGTTTGGTTTTTAGATGAAGTTATTTCCTTTACTACAGTAGGCCTCAAAGCAGTCCAAATCTCCAATCGCAGATTCTACAAAAAGATTGTTTACAACCTGCTCTATCTATAGGAATGTTCAACTCTGTGAGTCGAATGCAATCATCACAAAGGAGTTTCTGAGAATGCTTCTATCTAGGTTTTATGTGAAGATATTTCCTTTTCCACCACAGGCCTCAAAGCCCTCCAAATGTCCACTTGCTGATTCTAGAATAAGAGGGTTTCAGAGCTGTTCTGTCAAGAGGAAAGTTCAATTCTTGAAGTGGAACACAAACATCACAAAGCAGTTTCTGAGAATGCTTCTGTTAAGTTTTTCTGTGAAGATGAACCCGTTTCCAACGAAATCTTCTCAGAGGTCCACATATCAACTTGCAGAATCCAAAGAAAGAGAGTTTCAAAAGTGCTCCATCAACAGGATTGTTCACCTCTGTGAGTTGAATGCAGTCATCACAGGAAACATTCTGAGAATGCTTCTGTCTAGGTTTGATGTGAAGATATACCCGTTTCGAAGGAAGGCCACAAAGTGGTCCAAATATCCACTTGCAGATTCTACAAAAAGAGTGTTTGAAAGCTGAACTATGAAAGCAAGGTTCAACTCTGTGAGTTGAATGCAAACATCACAAAGAAGTTTCTCAGAATGCTTCCGTGTAGTTCTGGGAAGTTTATCCCGTTTCCAACGAAATCCTCAGAGAGGTCCAAATATCCACTTGCAGATTCTACAGAAAGTGTGTTTGGAAACTGCGCCATCTAAAGGAATGTTCAGCTCTGTTAGTTCAATGCAATGATCACTAAGAATTGTCTGTGATTGCTTCCGTTTGGTTTTTAGATGAAGTTATTTCCTTTACTACAGTAGGCCTCAAAGCAGTCCAAATCTCCAATCGCAGATTCTACAAAAAGATTGTTTACAACCTGCTCTATCTATAGGAATGTTCAACTCTGTGAGTCGAATGCAATCATCACAAAGTAGTTTCTGAGAATGCTTCCATCTAGTTTTTATGTGAAGATTTTCCTTTTCCACCACAGGCCTCAAAGCCCTCCAAATGTCCACTTGCAGATTCTAGAAAAAGAGGGTTTCAGAGCTGCTCTGTCAAGAGGAAAGTTCAATTCTTGAAGTGGAACACAAACATCACAAAGTAGTTTCTGAGAATGCTTCTGTTTAGTTTTTCTGTGAAGATGAACCCGTTTCCAACGAAATCTTCACAGAGGTCCACATATCAACTAGCAGAATCCAAAGAAAGAGAGTTTCAAAAGTGCTCCATCAACAGGATTGTTCACCTCTGTGAGTTGAATGCAGTCATCACAGGAAACATTCTGAGAATGCTTCTGTCTAGGTTTGATGTGAAGATATACCCGTTTCGAAGGAAGGCCACAAAGTGGTCCAAATATCCACTTGCAGATTCTACAAAAAGAGTGTTTGAAAGCTGAACTATGAAAGCAAGGTTCAACTCTGTGAGTTGAATGCAAACATCACAAAGAAGTTTCTCAGAATACTTCCGTGTAGTTCTGGGAAGTTTATCCCGTTTCCAACGAAATCCTCAGAGAGATCCAAATATCCAGTTGCAGATTCTACAGAAAGTGTGTTTGGAAACTGCGCCATCTAAAGGAATGTTCAGCTCTGTTAGTTCAATCCAATGATCACTAAGAATTGTCTGTGAATGCTTCCGTTTGGTTTTTAGATGAAGTTATTTCCTTTACTACAGTAGGCCTCAAAGCAGTCCAAATCTCCAATCGCAGATTCTACAAAAAGATTGTTTTCAACCTGCTCTATCTATAGGAATGTTCAACTCTGTGATTCGAATGCAATCATCACAAAGTAGTTTCTGAGAATGCTTCCATCTAGTTTTTATGTGAAGATTTTCCTTTTCCACCACAGGCCTCAAAGCCCTCCAAATGTCCACTTGCAGATTCTAGAAAAAGAGGGTTTCAGAGCTGCTCTGTCAAGAGGAAAGTTCAATTCTTGAAGTGGAACACAAACATCACAAAGCAGTTTCTGAGAATGCTTCTGTTTAGTTTTTCTGTGAAGATGAACCCGTTTCCAACGAAATCTTCACAGAGGTCCACATATCCACTTGCAGAATCCAAAGAAAGAGAGTTTCAAAACTGCTCCATCAGCAGGATTGTTCACCTCTGTGAGTTGAATGCAGTCATCACAGGAAACATTCTGAGAATGCTTCTGTCTAGGTTTGATGTGAAGATATACCCGTTTCGAAGGAAGGCTACAAAGTGGTCCAAATATCCACCTGCAGATTCTACAAAAAGAGGGTTTGAAAGCTGAACTATGAAATCAAGGTTCAACTCTGTGAGTTGAATGCAAACATCACAAAGAAGTTTCTCAGAATGCTTCCGTGTAGTTCTGGGAAGTTTATCCCGTTTCCAACGAAATCCTCAGAGAAGTCCAAATATCCACTTGCAGATTCTACAGAAAGTGTGTTTGGAAACTGCTCCATCTAAAGGAATGTTCAGCTCTGTTAGTTCAATCCAATGATCACTAAGAATTGTCTGTGAATGCTTCCGTTTGGTTTTTAGATGAAGTTATTTCCTTTACTACAGTAGGCCTCAAAGCAGTCCAAATCTCCAATCGCAGTTTCTACAAAAAGATTGTTTACAACCTGCTCTATCTATAGGAATGTTCAACTCTGTGAGTCGAATGCAATCATCACAAAGGAGTTTCTGAGAATGCTTCCATCTAGTTTTTATGGGAAGATATTCCTTTTCCACCACAGGCCTCAAAGCCCTCCAAATGTCCACTTGCAGATTCTAGAAAAAGAGGGTTTCAGAGCTGCTCTGTCAAGAGGAAAGTTCAATTCTTGAAGTGGAACACAAACATCACAAAGCAGTTTCTGAGAGTGCTTCTGTTTAGTTTTTCTGTGAAGATGAACCCGTTTCCAACGAAATCTTCACAGAGTTCCACATATCAACTTGCAGAATCCAAAGAAAGAGAGTTTCAAAACTGCTCCATCAACAGGATTGTTCACCTCTGTGAGTTGAATGCAGTCATCACAGGAAACATTCTGAGAATGCTTCTGTCTAGGTTTGATGTGAAGATATACCCGTTTCGAAGGAAGGCCACAAAGTGGTCCAAATATCCACTTGCAGATTCTACAAAAAGAGTGTTTGAAAGCTGAACTATGAAAGCAAGGTTCAACTCTGTGAGTTGAATGCAAACATCACAAAGAAGTTTCTCACAATGCTTCCGTGTAGTACTGGGAAGTTTATCCCGTTTCCAACGAAATCCTCAGAGAGGACCAAATATCCACTTGCAGATTCTACAGAAAGTGTGTTTGGAAACTGCTCCATCTACAGGAATGTTCAGCTCTCTTAGTTCAATCCAATGATCACTAAGAATTGTCTGTGAATGCTTCCGTTTGGTTTTTAGATGAAGTTATTTCCTTTACTACAGTAGGCCTCAAAGCAGTCCAAATCTCCAATCGCAGATTTTACAAAAAGATTGTTTACTACCTGCTCTATCTATAGGAATGTTCAACTCTGTGAGTCGAATGCAATCATCACAAAGGAGTTTCTGAGAATGCTTCCATCTAGTTTTTATGTGAAGATATTTCCTTTTCCACCACAGGCCTCAAAGCCCTCCAAATGTCCAATTGCAGATTCTAGAAAAAGAGGGTTTCAGAGCTGCTCTGTCAAGAGGAAAGTTCAATTCTTGAAGTGGAACACAAACATCACAAAGCAGTTTCTGAGAATGCTTCTGTTTAGTTTTTCTGTGAAGATGAACCCGTTTCCAACGAAATCTTCACAGAGGTCCACATATCAACTTGCAGAATCCAAAGAAAGAGAGTTTCAAAAGTGCTCCATCAACAGGATTGTTCACCTCTGTGAGTTGAATGCAGTCATCACAAGAAACATTCTGAGAATGCTTCTGTCTAGGTTTGATGTGAAGATATACCCCTTTCGAAGGAAGGCCACAAAGTGGTCCAAATATCCACTTGCAGATTCTACAAAAAGAGTGTTTGAAAGCTGAATTATGAAAGCAAGGTTCAACTCTGTGAGTTGAATGCAAACATCACAAAGAAGTTTCTCAGAATGCTTTCCGTGTAGTTCTGGGAAGTTTATCCCGTTTCCAACGAAATCTTCGGAGAGGTCCAAATATCCACTTACAGATTCTACAGAAAGTGTGTTTGGAAACTGCGCCATCTAAAGGAATGTTCAGCTCTGTTAGTTCAATCCAATGATCACTAAGAATTGTCTGTGAATGCTTCCGTTTGGTTTTTAGATGAAGTTATTTCCTTTACTACAGTAGGCCTCAAAGCAGTCCAAATCTCCAATCGCAGATTCTACAAAAAGATTGTTTACAACCTGCTCTATCTATAGGAATGTTCAACTCTGTGAGTCGAATGCAATCATCACAAAGTAGTTTCTGAGAAGGCTTCCATCTAGTTTTTATGTGAAGATTTTCCTTTTCCACCACAGGCCTCAAAGCCCTCCAAATGTCCACTTGCAGATTCTAGAAAAAGAGGGTTTCAGAGCTGTTCTGTCAAGAGGAAAGTTCAATTATTGAAGTGGAACACAAACATCACAAAGCAGTTTCTGAGAATGCTCCTGTTTAGTTTTTCTGTGAAGATGAACCCGTTTCCAACGAAATCTTCACAGAGGTCCACATATCCACTTGCAGAATCCAAAGAAAGAGAGTTTCAAAACTGCTCCATCAACAGGATTGTTCACCTCTGTGAGTTGAATGCCGTCATCACAGGAAACATTCTGAGAATGCTTCTGTCTAGGTTTGATGTGAAGATATACCCGTTTCGAAGGAAGGCCACAAAGTGGTCCAAATATCCACTTGCAGATTCTACAAAAAGAGTGTTTGAAAGCTGAACTATGAAAGCAAGGTTCAACTCTGTGAGTTGAATGCAAACATCACAAAGAAGTTTCTCACAATGCTTCCGTGTAGTTCTGGGAAGTTTATCCCGTTTCCAACGAAATCCTCAGAGAGGTCCAAATATCCACTTGCAGATTCTACAGAAAGTGTGTTTGGAAACTGCGCCATCTAAAGGAATGTTCAGCTGCTGTTAGTTCAATCCAATGATCACTAAGAATTGTCTGTGAATGCTTCCGTTTGGTTTTTAGATGAAGTTATTTCCTTTACTACAGTAGGCCTCAAAGCAGTCCAAATCTCCAATCGCAGATTCTACAAAAAGATTGTTTACAACCTGCTCTATCTATAGGAATGTTCAACTCTGTGAGTCGAATGCAATCATCACAAAGTAGTTTCTGAGAATGCTTCCATCTAGTTTTTATGTGAAGATTTTCCTTTTCCACCACAGGCCTCAAAGCCCTCCAAATGTCCACTTGCAGATTCTAGAAAAAGAGGGTTTCAGAGCTGCTCTTTCAAGAGGAAAGTTCAATTCCTGAAGTGGAACACAAACATCACAAAGCAGTTTCTGAGAATGCTTCTGTTTAGTTTTTCTGTGAAGATGAACCCGTTTCCAACGAAATCTTCACAGAGGTCCACATATCCACTTGCAGAATCCAAAGAAAGAGAGTTTCAAAAGTGCTCCATCAACAGGATTGTTCACCTCTGTGAGTTGAATGCAGTCATCACAGGAAACATTCTGAGAATGCTTCTGTCTAGGTTTGATGTGAAGATATACCCTTTTCAAAGGAAGGCCACAAAGTGGTCCAAATATCCACTTGCAGATTCTACAAAAAGAGTGTTTGAAAGCTGAACTATGAAAGCAAGGTTCAACTCTGTGAGTTGAATGCAAACATCACAAAGAAGTTTCTCACAATGCTTCCGTGTAGTTCTGGGAAGTTTATCCCGTTTCCAACGAAATCCTCAGAGAGGTCCAAATATCCACTTGCAGATTCTACAGAAAATGTGTTTGGAAAATGCTCCATCTAAAGGAATGTTCAGCTCTGTTAGTTCAATGCAATGATCACTAAGAATTGTCTGTGAATGCTTCCGTTTGGTTTTTAGATGAAGTTATTTCCTTTACTACAGTAGGCCTCAAAGCAGTCCAAATCTCCAATCGCAGATTCTACAAAAAGATTGTTTACAACCTGCTCTATCTATAGGAATGTTCAACTCTGTGAGTCGAATGCAATCATCACAAAGTAGTTTCTGAGAATGCTTCCATCTAGTTTTTATGTGAAGATTTTCCTTTTCCACCACAGGCCTCAAAGCCCTCCAAATGTCCACTTGCAGATTCTAGAAAAAGAGGGTTTCAGAGCTGCTCTGTCAAGAGGAAAGTTCAATTCTTTAAGTGGAACACAAACATCACAAAGCAGTTTCTGAGAATGCTTCTGTTTAGTTTTTCTGTGAAGATGAACCCGTTTCCAACGAAATCTTCACAGAGGTCCACATATCCACTTGCAGAATCCAAAGAAAGAGAGTTTCAAAACTGCTCCATCAGCAGGATTGTTCACCTCTGTGAGTTGAATGCAGTCATCACAGGAAACATTCTGAGAATGCTTCTGTCTAGGTTTGATGTGAAGATATACCCGTTTCGAAGGAAGGCCACAAAGTGGTCCAAATATCCACTTGCAGATTCTACAAAAAGAGTGTTTGAAAGCTGAACTATGAAAGCAAGGTTCAACTCTGTGAGTTGAATGCAAACATCACAAAGAAGTTTCTCAGAATGCTTCCGTGTAGTTCTGGGAAGTTTATCCCGTTTCCAACGAAATCCTCAGAGAGGTCCAAATATCCACTTGCAGATTCTACAGAAAGTGTGTTTGGAAACTGCGCCATCTAAAGGAATGTTCAGCTCTGTTAGTTCAATCCAATGATCACTAAGAATTGTCTGTGAATGCTTCCGTTTGGTTTTTAGATGAAGTTATTTCCTTTACTACAGTAGGCCTCAAAGCAGTCCAAATCTCCAATCGCAGATTCTACAAAAACATTGTTTACCACCTGCTCTATCTATAGGAATGTTCAACTCTGTGAGTCGAATGCAATCATCACAAAGTAGTTTCTGAGAATGCTTCCATCTAGTTTTTATGTGAAGATTCTCCTTTTCCACCACAGGCCTCAAAGCCCTCCAAATGTCCACTTGCAGATTCTAGAAAAAGAGGGTTTCAGAGCTGCTCTGTCAAGAGGAAAGTTCAATTCTTGAAGTGGAACACAAACATCACAAAGTAGTTTCTGAGAATGCTCCTGTTTAGTTTTTCTGTGAAGATGAACCCGTTTCCAACGAAATCTTCACAGAGGTCCACATATCCACTTGCAGAATCCAAAGAAAGAGAGTTTCAAAACTGCTCCATCAGCAGGATTGTTCACCTCTGTGAGTTGAATGCAGTCATCACAGGAAACATTCTGAGAATGCTTCTGTCTAGGTTTGATGTGAAGATATACCCGTTTCGAAGGAAGGCCACAAAGTGGTCCAAATATCCACTTGCAGATTCTACAAAAAGAGTGTTTGAAAGCTGAACTATGAAAGCAAGGTTCAACTCTGTGAGTTGAATGCAAACATCACAAAGAAGTTTCTCACAATGCTTCCGTGTAGTTCTGGGAAGATTATCCCTTTTCCAACGAAATCCTCAGAGAAGTCCAAATATCCACTTGCAGATTCTACAGAAAGTGGGTTTGGAAACTGCTCCATCTAAAGGAATGTTCAGCTCTGTTAGTTGAATCCAATGATCACTAAGAATTGTCAGTGAATGCTTCCGTTTGATTTTTAGATGAAGTTATTTCCTTTACTACAGTAGGCCTCAAAGCAGTCCAAATCTCCAATCGCAGATTCTACAAAAAGATTGTTTACAACCTGCTCTATCTATAGGAATGTTCAACTCTGTGAGTCGAATGCAATCATCACAAAGTAGTTTCTGAGAATGCTTCCATCTAGTTTTTATGTGAAGATTTTCCTTTTCCACCACAGGCCTCAAAGCCCTCCAAATGTCCACATGCAGATTATAGAATAAGAGGGTTTCAGAGCTGCTCTGTCAAGAGGAAAGTTCAATTCCTGAAGTGGAACACAAACATCACAAAGCAGTTTCTGAGAATGCTTCTGTTTAGTTTTTCTGTGAAGATGAACCCGTTTCCAACGAAATCTTCACAGAGGTCCACATATCCACTTGCAGAATCCAAAGAAAGAGAGTTTCAAAACTGCTCCATCAGCAGGATTGTTCACCTCCGTGAGTTGAATGCAGTCATCACAGGAAACATTCTGAGAATGCTTCTCTCTAGGTTTGATGTGAAGATATACCCGTTTCGAAGGAAGGCCACAAAGTGGTCCAAATATCCACTTGCAGATTCTACAAAAAGAGTGTTTGAAAGCTGAACTATGAAAGGAAGGTTCAACTCTGTGAGTTGAATGCAAACATCACAAAGAAGTTTCTCAGAATGCTTCCGTGTAGTTCTGGGAAGTTTATCCCTTTTCCAACGATATCCTCAGAGAGGTCCAAATATCCACTTGCAGATTCTACAGAAAGTGTGTTTGGAAACTGCGCCATCTAAAGCAATGTTCAGCTCTGTTAGTTCAATGCAATGATCACTAAGAATTGTCTGTGAATGCTTCCGTTTGGTTTTTAGATGAAGTTATTTCCTTTACTACAGTAGGCCTCAAAGCAGTCCAAATCTCCAATCGCAGATTCTACAAAAAGATTGTTTACAACCTGCTCTATCTATAGGAATGTTCAACTCTGTGAGTCGAATGCAATCATCACAAAGTAGTTTCTGAGAATGCTTCCATCTAGTTTTTATGTGAAGATTTTCCTTTTCCACCACAGGCCTCAAAGCCCTCCAAATGTCCACTTGCAGATTCTAGAATAAGAGGATTTCAGAGCTGCTCTGTCAAGAGGAAAGTTCAATTCCTGAAGTGGAACACAAACATCACAAAGCAGTTTCTGAGAATGCTTCTGTTTAGTTTTTCTGTGAAGATGAACCCGTTTCCAACGAAATCTTCACAGAGGTCCACATATCCACTTGCAGAATCCAAAGAAAGAGAGTTTCAAAACTGCTCCATCAGCAGGATTGTTCACCTCTGTGAGTTGAATGCAGTCATCACAGGAAACATTCTGAGAATGCTTCTGTCTAGGTTTGATGTGAAGATATACCCGTTTCGAAGGAAGGCCACAAAGTGGTCCAAATATCCACTTGCAGATTCTACAAAAAGAGTGTTTGAAAGCTGAACTGTGAAAGCAAGGTTCAACTCTGTGCGTTGAATGCAAACATCACAAAGAAGTTTCTCACAATGCTTCCGTGTAGTTCTGGGAAGTTTATCCCGTTTCCAACGAAATCCTCAGAGACGTCCAAATATCCACTTGCAGATTCTAGAGAAAGTGGGTTTGGAAACTGCGCCATCTAAAGGAATGTTCAGCTCTGTTAGTTCAATCCAATGATCAGTAAGAATTGTCTGTGAATGCTTCCGTTTGGTTTTTAGATGAAGTTATTTCCTTTACTACAGTAGGCCTCAAAGCAGTCCAAATCTCCAATCGCAGATTCTACAAAAAGAGTGTTTACAACCTGCTCTATCTATAGGAATGTTCAACTCTGTGAGTCGAATGCAATCATCACAAAGTAGTTTCTGAGAATGCTTCCATCTAGTTTTTATGTGAAGATTTTCCTTTTCCACCACAGGCCTCAAAGCCCTCCAAATGTCCACTTGCAGATTCTAGAAAAAGAGGGTTTCAGAGCTGCTCTGTCAAGAGGAAAGTTCAATTCCTGAAGTGGAACACAAACATCACAAAGCAGTTTCTGAGAATGCTCCTGTTTAGTTTTTCTGTGAAGATGAACCCGTTTCCAACGAAATCTTCAAAGAGTTCCACATATCCACTTGCAGAATCCAAAGAAAGGGAGTTTCAAAACTGCTCCATCAACAGGATTGTTCACCTCTGTGAGTTGAATGCAGTCATCACAGGAAAGATTCTGAGAATGCTTCTGTCTAGGTTTGATGTGAAGATATACCCGTTTCGAAGGAAGGCCACAAAGTGGTCCAAATATCCACTTGCAGATTCTACAAAAAGAGTGTTTGAAAGCTGAACTATGAAAGCAAGGTTCAACTCTGTGAGTTGAATGCAAACATCACAAAGAAGTTTCTCAGAATGCTGCTTCCGTGTAGTTCTGGGAAGTTTATCCCGTTTCCAACGAAATCCTCAGAGAGGTCCAAATATCCACTTGCAGATTCTACAGAAAGTGTGTTTGGAAACTGCGCCATCTAAAGGAATGTTCAGCTCTGTTAGTTCAATGCAATGATCACTAAGAATTGTCTGTGAATGCTTCCGTTTGGTTTTTAGATGAAGTTATTTCCTTTACTACAGTAGGCCTCAAAGCAGTCCAAATCTCCAATCGCAGATTCTACAAAAAGATTGTTTACAACCTGCTCTATCTATAGGAATGTTCAACTCTGTGAGTCGAATGCAATCATCACAAAGTAGTTTCTGAGAATGCTTCCATCTAGTTTTTATGTGAAGATTTTCCTTTTCCACCACAGGCCTCAAAGCCCTCCAAATGTCCACTTGCAGATTCTAGAAAAAGAGGGTTTGAGAGCTGCTCTGTCAAGAGGAAAGTTCAATTCTTGAAGTGGAACACAAACATCACAAAGTAGTTTCTGAGAAATGCTCCTGTTTAGTTTTTCTGTGAAGATGAACCCGTTTCCAACGAAATCTTCACAGAGGTCCACATATCCACTTGCAGAATCCAAAGAAAGAGAGTTTCAAAACTGCTCCATCAGCAGGATTGTTCACCTCTGTGAGTTGAATGCAGTCATCACAGGAAACATTCTGAGAATGCTTCTGTCTAGGTTTGATGTGAAGATATACCCGTTTCGAAGGAAGGTCACAAAGTGGTCCAAATATCCACTTGCAGATTCTACAAAAAGAGTGTTTGAAAGCTGAACTTTGAAAGCAAGGTTCAACTCTGTGAGTTGAATGCAAACATCACAAAGAAGTTTCTCACAATGCTTCCGTGTAGTTCTGGGAAGTTTAGCCCGTTTCCAACGAAATCCTCAGAGAGGTCCAAATATCCAGTGGCAGATTCTACAGAAAGTGTGTTTGGAAACTGCGCCATCTAAAGGAATGTTCAGCTCTGTTAGTTCAATCCAATGATCACTAAGAATTGTCTGTGAATGCTTCCGTTTGGTTTTTAGATGAAGTTATTTCCTTTACTACAGTAGGCCTCAAAGCAGTCCAAATCTCAAATCGCAGATTCTACAAAAAGATTGTTTACAACCTGCTCTATCTATAGGAATGTTCAACTCTGTGTGTCGAATGCAACCATCACAAAGTAGTTTCTGAGAATGCTTCCATCTAGTTTTTATGTGAAGATTTTCCTTTTCCACCACAGGCCTCAAAGCCCTCCAAATGTCCACTTGCAGATTCTAGAATAAGAGGGTTTCAGAGCTGCTCTGTCAAGAGGAAAGTTCAATTCCTGAAGTGGAACACAAACATCACAAAGCAGTTTCTGAGAATGCTTCTGTTTAGTTTTTCTGTGAAGATGAACCCGTTTCCAACGAAATCTTCACAGAGGTCCACATATCCACTTGCAGAATCCAAAGAAAGAGAGTTTCAAAACTGCTCCATCAGCAGGATTGTTCACCTCTGTGAGTTGAATGCAGTCATCACAGGAAACATTCTGAGAATGCTTCTGTCTAGGTTTGATGTGAAGATATACCCGTTTCGAAGGAAGGCCACAAAGTGGTCCAAATATCCACTTGCAGATTCTACAAAAAGAGTGTTTGAAAGCTGAACTATGAAAGCAAGGTTCAACTCTGTGAGTTGAATGCAAACATCACAAAGAAGTTTCTCAGAATACTTCCGTGTAGTTCTGGGAAGTTTATCCCGTTTCCAACGAAATCCTCAGAGAGGTCCAAATATCCACTTGCAGATTCTACAGAAAGTGTGTTTGGAAACTGCGCCATCTAAAGTAATGTTCAGCTCTGTTAGTTCAATGCAATGATCACTAAGAATTCTCTGTGAATGCTTCCGTTTGGTTTTTAGATGAAGTTATTTCCTTTACTACAGTAGGCCTCGAAGCAGTCCAAATCTCCAATCGCAGATTCTACAAAAAGATTGTTTACAACCTGCTCTATCTATAGGAATGTTCAACTCTTTGAGTCGAATGCAATCATCACAAAGTAGTTTTCTGAGAATGCTTCCATCTAGTTTTTATGTGAAGATTTTCCTTTTCCACCACAGGCCTCAAAGCCCTCCAAATGTCCACTTGCAGATTCTAGAAAAAGAGGATTTCAGAGCTGCTCTGTCAAGAGGAAAGTTCAATTCTTGAAGTGGAACAAAAACATCACAAAGCAGTTTCTGAGAATGCTCCTGTTTAGTTTTTCTGTGAAGATGAACCCGTTTCCAACGAAATCTTCACAGAGGTCCACATATCCACTTGCAGAATCCAAAGAAAGAGAGTTTCAAAACTGCTCCATCAGCAGGATTGTTCACCTCTGTGAGTTGAATGCAGTCATCACAGGAAACATTCTGAGAATGCTTCTGTCTAGGTTTGATGTGAAGATATACCCGTTTCGAAGGAAGGCCACAAAGTGGTCCAAATATCCACTTGCAGATTCTACAAAAAGAGTGTTTGAAAGCTGAACTATGAAAGCAAGGTTCAACTCTGTGAGTTGAATGCAAACATCACAAAGAAGTTTCTCAGAATGCTTCCGTGTACTTCTGGGAAGTTTATCCCGTTTCCAACGAAATCCTCAGAGAAGTCCAAATATCCACTTGCAGATTCTAGAGAAAGTGTGTTTGGAAACTACTCCATCTAAAGGAATGTTCAGCTCTGTTAGTTCAATCCAATGATCACTAAGAATTGTCTGTGAATGCTTCCGTTTGGTTTTTAGATGAAGTTATTTCCTTTACTACAGTAGGCCTCAAAGCAGTCCAAATCTCCAATCGCAGATTCTACAAAAAGATTGTTTACAACCTGCTCTATCTATAGGAATGTTCAACTCTGTGAGTCGAATGCAATCATCACAAAGTAGTTTCTGAGAATGCTTCCATCTAGTTTTTATGTGAAGATTTTCCTTTTCCACCACAGGCCTCAAAGCCCTCCAAATGTCCACTTGCAGATTCTAGAATAAGAGGGTTGCAGAGCTGCTCTGTCAAGAGGAAAGTTCAATTCCTGAAGTGGAACACAAACATCACAAAGCAGTTTCTGAGAATGCTCCTGTTTAGTTTTTCTGCGAAGATGAACCCGTTTCCAAAGAAATCTTCACAGAGTTCCACATATCCACTTGCAGAATGCAAAGAAAGGGAGTTTCAAAACTTCTCCATCAACAGGATTGTTCACCTCTGAGAGTTGAATGCAGTTATCACAGGAAACATTCTGAGAATGCTTCTGTCTAGGTTTGATGTGAAGATATACCCGTTTCGAAGGAAGGCCACAAAGTGGTCCAAATATCCACTTGCAGATTCTACAAAAAGAGTGTTTGAAAGGTGAACTATGAAAGCAAGGTTCAACTCTGTGAGTTGAATGCAAACATCACAAAGAAGTTTCTCACAATGCTTCCGTGTAGTTCTGGGAAGTTTATCCCGTTTCCAACGAAATCCTCAGAGAAGTCCAAATATCCACTTGCAGATTCTACAGAAAGTGTGTTTGGAAACTGCGCCATCTAAAGGAATGTTCAGCTCTGTTAGTTCAATCCAATGATCACTAAGAATTGTCTGTGAATGCTTCCGTTTGGTTTTTAGATGAAGTTATTTCCTTTACTACAGTAGGCCTCCAAGCAGTCCAAATCTCCAATCGCAGATTCTACAAAAAGATTGTTTACAACCTGCTCTATCTATAGGAATGTTCAACTCTGTGAGTCGAATGCAATCATCACAAAGTAGTTTCTGAGAATGCTTCCATCTAGTTTTTATGTGAAGATTTTCCTTTTCCACCACAGGCCTCAAAGCCCTCCAAATGTCCACTTGCAGATTCTAGAATAAGAGGGTTTCAGAGCTGCTCTGTCAAGAGGAAAGTTCAATTCCTGAAGTGGAACACAACATTACAAAGCAGTTTCTGAGAATGCTGCTGTTTAGTTTTTCTGTGAAGATGAACCCGTTTCCAACGAAATCTTCACAGAGGTCCACATATCCACTTGCAGAATCCAAAGAAAGAGAGTTTCAAAACTGCTCCATCAGCAGGATTGTTCACCTCTGTGAGTTGAATGCAGTCATCACAGGAAACATTCTGAGAATGCTTCTGTCTAAGTTTGATGTGAAGATATACCCGTTTCGAAGGAAGGCCACAAAGTGGTCCAAATATCCACTTGCAGATTCTACAAAAAGAGTGTTTGAAAACTGAACTATGAAAGCAAGGATCATCTCTGTGAGTTGAATGCAAACATCACAAAGAAGTTTCTCAGAATGCTTCCCTGTAGTTCTGGGAAGTTTATCCCGTTTCCAACGAAATCCTCAGAGAAGTCCGAATATCCACTTGCAGATTCTACAGAAAGTGGGTTTGGAAACTGCTCCATCTAAAGGAATGTTCAGCTCTGTTAGTTCAATCCAATGATCACTAAGAATTGTCTGTGAATGCTTCCGTTTGGTTTTTAGATGAAGTTATTTCCTTTACTACAGTAGGCCTCAAAGCAGTCCAAATCTCCAATCGCAGATTCTACAAAAAGATTGTTTACAACCTGCTCTATCTATAGGAATGTTCAACTCTGTGAGTCGAATGCAATCATCACAAAGTAGTTTCTGAGAATGCTTCCATCTAGTTTTTATGTGAAGATTTTCCTTTTCCACCACAGGCCTCAAAGCCCTCCAAATGTCCACTTGCAGATTCTAGAAAAAGAGGGTTTCAGAGCTGCTCTGTCAAGAGGAAAGTTCAATTCTTGAAGTGGAACACAAACATCACAAAGCAGTTTCTGAGAATGCTCCTGCTTAGTTTTTCTGTGAAGATGAACCCGTTTCCAACGAAATGTTCACAGAGGTCCACATATCCACTTGCAGAATACAAAGAAAGAGAGTTTCAAAACTGCTCCATCAACAGGATTGTTCACCTCTGTGAGTTGAATGCAGTCATCACAGAAAACATTCTGAGAATGCTTCTGTCTAGGTTTGATGTGAAGATATACCCCTTTCGAAGGAAGGCCACAAAGTGGTCCAAATATCCACTTGCAGATTCTACAAAAAGAGTGTTTGAAAGCTGAACTATGAAAGCAAGGTTCAACTCTGTGATTTGAATGCAAACATCACAAAGAAGTTTCTCAGAACGCTTCCGTGTAGTTCTGGGAAGTTTATCCCTTTTCCAAAGAAATCCTCAGAGAGGTCCAAATATCCACTTGCAGATTCTACAGAAAGTGTGTTTGGAAACTGCGCCATCTAAAGGAATGTTCAGCTCTCTTAGTTCAATCCAATGATCACAAAGAATTGTCTGTGAATGCTTCCGTTTGGTTTTTAGATGAAGTTATTTCCTTTACTACAGTAGGCCTCAAAGCAGTCCAAATCTCCAATCGCAGATTCTACAAAAAGATTGTTTACAACCTGCTCTATCTATAGGAATGTTCAACTCTGTGAGTCGAATGCAATCATCACAAAGTAGTTTCTGAGAATGCTTCCATCTAGTTTTTATGTGAAGATTTTCCTTTTCCACCACAGGCCTCAAAGCCCTCCAAATGTCCACTTGCAGATTCTAGAAAAAGAGGGTTTCAGAGCTGCTCTGTCAAGAGGAAAGTTCAATTCTTGAAGTGGAACACAAACATCACAAAGCAGTTTCTGAGAATGTTTCTGTTTAGTTTTTCTGTGAAGATGAACCCGTTTCCAACGAAATCTTCACAGAGGTCCACATATCCACTTGCAGAATCCAAAGAAGGAGAGTTTCAAAAGTGCTCCATCAACAGGATTGTTCACCTCTGTGAGTTGAATGCAGTCATCACAGGAAACATTCTGAGAATGCTTCTGTCTAGGTTTGATGTGAAGATATACCCGTTTCGAAGGAAGGCCACAAAGTGGTCCAAATATCCACTTGCAGATTCTACAAAAAGAGTGTTTGAAAGCTGAACTATGAAAGCAAGGTTCAACTCTGTGAGTTGAATGCAAACATCACAAAGAAGTTTCTCAGAATACTTCCGTGTAGTTCTGGGAAGTTTAGACCGTTTCCAACGAAATCCTCAGAGAGGTCCAAATATCCACTTGCAGATTCTACAGAAAGTGTGTTTGGAAACTGCTCCATCTAAAGGAATGTTCAGCTGTGTTAGAACAATCCAATGATCACTAAGAATTGTCTGTGAATGCTTCCGTTTGGTTTTTAGATGAAGTTATTTCCTTTACTACAGTAGGCCTCAAAGCAGTCCAAATCTCCAATCGCAGATTCTACAAAAAAATTGTTTACAACCTGCTCTATCTATAGGAATGTTCAACTCTGTGAGTCGAATGCAATCATCACAAAGTAGTTTCTGAGAATGCTTCCATCTAGTTTTTATGTGAAGATTTTCCTTTTCCACCACAGGCCTCAAAGCCCTCCAAATGTCCACTTGCAGACTCTAGAAAAAGAGGGTTTCAGAGCTGCTCTGTCAAGAGGAAAGTTCAATTCTTGAAGTGGAACACAAACATCACAAAGCAGTTTCTGAGAACGCTCCTGTTAATTTTTCTGTGAAGATGAACCCGTTTCCAACGAAATCTTCACAGAGGTCCACATATCCACTTGCAGAATCCAAAGAAAGAGAGTTTCAAAACTGCTCCATCAGCAGGATTGTTCACCTCTGTGAGTTGAATGCAGTCATCACAGGAAACATTCTGAGAATGCTTCTGTCTAGGTTTGATGTGAAGATATACCCGTTTCGAAGGAAGGCCACAAAGTGGTCCAAATATCCACTTGCAGATTCTACAAAAAGAGTGTTTGAAAGCTGAACTATGAAAGCAAGGTTCAACTCTGTTAGTTGAATGCAAACATCACAAAGAAGTTTCTCAGAATGCTTCCGTGTAGTTCTGGGAAGTTTATCCCGTTTCCAACGAAATCCTCAGAGAGGTCCAAATATCCACTTGCAGATTCTAAAGAAAGTGTGTTTGGAAACTGCGCCATCTAAAGGAATGTTCAGCTCTGTTAGTTCAATGCAATGATCACTAAGAATTGTCTGTGAATGCTTCCGTTTGGTTTTTAGATGAAGTTATTTCCTTTACTACAGTAGGCCTCAAAGCAGTCCAAATCTCCAATCGCAGATTCTACAAAAAGATTGTTTACAACCTGCTCTATCTATAGGAATGTTCAACTCTGTGAGTCGAATGCAATCATCACAAAGTAGTTTCTGAGAATGCTTCCATCTAGTTTTTATGTGAAGATTTTCCTTTTCCACCACAGGCCTCAAAGCCCTCCAAATGTCCACTTGCAGATTCTAGAATAAGAGGGTTTCAGAGCTGCTCTGTCAAGAGGAAAGTTCAATTTCCTGAAGTGGAACACAAACATCACAAAGCAGTTTCTGAGAATGTTTCTGTTTAGTTTTTCTGTGAAGATGAACCCTTTTCCAACGAGATCTTCACAGAGGTCCACATATCAACTTGCAGAATCCAAAGAAAGAGAGTTTCAAAACTGCTCCATCAACAGGATTGTTCACCTCTGTGAGTTGAATGCAGTCATCACAGGAAACATTCTGAGAATGCTTCTGTCTAGGTTTGATGTGAAGATATACCCGTTTCGAAGGAAGGCCACAAAGTGGTCCAAATATCCACTTGCAGGTTCTACAAAAAGAGTGTTTGAAAGCTGAACTATGAAAGCAAGGTTCAACTCTGTGAGTTGAATGCAAACATCACAAAGAAGTTTCTCACAATGCTTCCGTGTAGTTCTGGGAAGTTTATCCCGTTTCCAACGAAATCCTCAGAGAAGTCCAAATATCCACTTGCAGATTCTACAGAAAGTGTGTTTGGAAACTGCGCCATCTAAAGGAATGTTCAGCTCTGTTAGTTCAATGCAATGATCACTAAGAATTGTCTGTGAATGCTTCCGTTTGGTTTTTAGATGAAGTTATTTCCTTTACTACAGTAGGCCTCAAAGCAGTCCAAATCTCCAATCGCAGATTCTACAAAAAGATTGTTTACAACCTGCTCTATCTATAGGAATGTTCAACTCTGTGAGTCGAATGCAATCATCACAAAGTAGTTTCTGAGAATGCTTCCATCTAGTTTTTATGTGAAGATTTTCCTTTTCCACCACAGGCCTCAAAGCCCTCCAAATGTCCACTTGCAGATTCTAGAATAAGAGGGTTTTAGAGCTGCTCTGTCAAGAGGAAAGTTCAATTCCTGAAGTGGAACACAAACATCACAAAGCAGTTTCTGAGAATGCTTCTGTTTAGTTTTTCTGTGAAGATGAACCCTTTTCCAACGAAATCTTCACAGAGGTCCACATATCCACTTGCAGAATCCAAAGAAAGAGAGATTCAAAACTGCTCCATCAACAGGATTGTTCACCTCTGTGAGTTGAATGCAGTCATCACATGAAACATTCTGAGAATGCTTCTGTCTAGGTTTGATGTGAAGATATACCCGTTTCGAAGGAAGGCCACAAAGTGGTCCAAATATCCACTTGCAGATTCTACAAAAAGAGTGTTTGAAAGCTGAACTATGAAAGCAAGGTTCAACTCTGTGAGTTGAATGCAAACATCACAAAGAAGTTTCTCACAATGCTTCCGTGTAGTTCTGGGAAGTTTATCCCGTTTCCAACGAAATCCTCAGAGAGGTCCAAATATCCACTTGCAGATTCTACAGAAACTGTGTTTGGAAACTGCGCCATCTAAAGGAATGTTCAGCTCTGTTAGTTCAATGCAATGATCACTATGAATTGTCTGTGAATGCTTCCGTTTGGTTTTTAGATGAAGTTATTTCCTTTACTACAGTAGGCCTCAAAGCAGTCCAAATCTCCAATCGCAGATTCTACAAAAAGATTGTTTACAACCTGCTCTATCTATAGGAATGTTAACTCTGTGAGTCGAATGCAATCATCACAAAGTAGTTTCTGAGAACGCTTCCATCTAGTTTTTATGTGAAGATTTTCCTTTTCCACCACAGGCCTCAAAGCCCTCCAAATGTCCACTTGCAGATTCTAGAATAAGAGGGTTTCAGAGCTGCTCTGTCAAGAGGAAAGTTCAATTCCTGAAGTGGAACACAAACATCACAAAGCAGTTTCTGAGAATGCTTCTGTTTAGTTTTTCTGTGAAGATGAACCCGTTTCCAACGAAATCTTCACAGAGGTCCACATATCCACTTGCAGAATCCAAAGAAAGAGAGTTTCAAAACTGCTCCATCAGCAGGATTGTTCACCTCTGTGAGTTGAATGCAGTCATCACAGGAAACATTCTGAGAATGCTTCTGTCTAGGGTTGATGTGAAGATATACCCGTTTCGAAGGAAGGCCACAAAGTGGTCCAAATATCCACTTGCAGATTCTACAAAAAGAGTGTTTGAAAGCTGAACTATGAAAGCAAGGTTCAACTCTGTGAGTTGAATGCAAACATCACAAAGAAGTTTCTCAGAATGCTTCCGTGTAGTTCTGGGAAGTTTATCCCGTTTCCAACGAAATCCTCAGAGAGGTCCAAATATCCACTTGCAGATTCTACAGAAAGTGTGTTTGGAAACTGCGCCATCTAAAGGAATGTTCAGCTCTGTTAGTTCAATGCAATGATCACTAAGAATTGTCTGTGAATGCTTCCGTTTGGTTTTTAGATGAAGTTATTTCCTTTACTACAGTAGGCCTCAAAGCAGTCCAAATCTCCAATCGCAGATTCTACAAAAAGATTGTTTACAACCTGCTCTATCTATAGGAATGTTCAACTCTGTGAGTCGAAAGCCATCATCACAAAGTAGTTTCTGAGAATGCTTCCATCTAGTTTTTATGTGAAGATTTTCCTTTTCCACCACAGGCCTCAAAGCCCTCCAAATGTCCACTTGCAGATTCTAGAATAAGAGGGTTTCAGAGCTGCTCTGTCAAGAGGAAAGTTCAATTCCTGAAGTGGAACACAAACATCACAAAGCAGTTTCTGAGAATGCTTCTGTTTAGTTTTTCTGTGAAGATGAACCCGTTTCCAACGAAATCTTCACAGAGGTCCACATATCCACTTGCAGAATCCAAAGAAAGGGAGTTTCAAAACTGCTCCATCAGCAGGATTGTTCACCTCTGTGAGTTGAATGCAGTCATCACAGGAAACATTCTGAGAATGCTTCTGTCTGGGTTTGATGTGAAGATATACCCGTTTCGAAGGAAGGCCACAAAGTGGTCCAAATATCCACTTGCAGATTCTACAAAAAGAGTGTTTGAAAGCTGAACTATTAAAGCAAGGTTCAACTCTGTGAGTTGAATGCAAGCATCACAAAGAAGTTTCTCACAATGCTTCCGTGTAGTTCTGGGAAGTTTATCCCGTTTCCAACGAAATCCTCAGAGAAGTCCAAATATCCACTTGCAGATTCTACAGAAAGTGGGTTTGGAAACTGCTCCATCTAAAGGAATGTTCAGCTCTGTTAGTTCAATCCAATGATCACTAAGAATTGTCTGTGAATGCTTCCGTTTGGTTTTTAGATGAAGTTATTTCCTTTACTACAGTAGGCCTCAAAGCAGTCCAAATCTCCAATCGCAGATTCTACAAAAAGATTGTTTACAACCTGCTCTATCTATAGGAATGTTCAACTCTGTGAGTCGAATGCAATCATCACAAAGTACTTTCTGAGAATGCTTCCATCTAATTTTTATGTGAAGATTTTCCTTTTCCACCACAGGCCTCAAAGCCCTCCAAATGTCCACTTGCAGATTCTAGAATAAGAGGGTTTCAGAGCTGCTCTGTCAAGAGGAAAGTTCAATTCCTGAAGTGGAACACAAACATCACAAAGCAGTTTCTGAGAATGCTTCTGTTTAGTTTTTCTGTGAAGATGAACCCGTTTCCAACGAAATCTTCACAGAGGTCCACATATCCACTTGCAGAATCCAAAGAAAGAGAGTTTCAAAACTGCTCCATCAGCAGGATTGTTCACCTCTGTGAGTTGAATGCAGTCATCACAGGAAACATTCTGAGAATGCTTCTGTCTAGGTTTGATGTGAAGATGTACCCGTTTCAAAGGAAGGCCACAAAGTGGTCCAAATATCCACTTGCAGATTCTACAAAAAGAGTGTTTGAAAGCTGAACTATGAAAGCAAGGTTCAACTCTGTGAGTTGAATGCAAACATCAGAAATATGATTCTCACAATGCTTCCGTGTAGTTCTGGGAAGTTTATCCCATTTCCAACGAAATCCTCAGAGAAGTCCAAATATCCACTTGCAGATTCTGCAGAAAGTGTGTTTGGAAACTGCTCCATCTAAAGGAATGTTCAGCTCTGTTAGTTCAATCCAATGATCACTAAGAATTGTCTGTGAATGCTTCCGTTTGGTTTTTAGATGAAGTTATTTCCTTTACTGCAGTAGGCCTCAAAGCATTCCAAATCTCGAATCGCAGATTCTACAAAAAGATTGTTTACAACCTGCTCTATCTATAGGAATGTTCAACTCTGTGAGTCGAATGCAATCATCACAAAGTAGTTTCTGAGAATGCTTCCATCTAGTTTTTAAGTGAAGATTTTCCTTTTCCACCACAGGCCTCAAAGCCCTCCAAATGTCCACTTGCAGATTCTAGAAAAAGAGGGTTTCAGAGCTGCTCTGTCAAGAGGAAAGTTCAATTCCTGAAGTGGAACACAAACATCACAAAGCAGTTTCTGAGAATGCTTCTGTTTAGTTTTTCTGTGAAGATGAACCCGTTTCCAACGAAATCTTCACAGAGGTCCACATATCCACTTGCAGAATCCAAAGAAAGAGAGTTTCAAAACTGCTCCATCAGCAGGATTGTTCACCTCTGTGAGTTGAATGCAGTCATCACAGGAAACATTCTGAGAATGCTTCTGTCTAGGTTTGATGTGAAGATATACCCGTTTCGAAGGAAGGCCACAAAGTGGTCCAAATATCCACTTGCAGATTCTACAAAAAGAGTGTTTGAAAGCTGAACTATGAAAGCAAGGTTCAACTCTGTGAGTTGAATGCAAACATCACAAAGAAGTTTCTCAGAATGCTTCCGTGTAGTTCTGGGAAGTTTAGCCCGTTTCCAACGAAATCCTCAGAGAGGTCCAAATATCCACTTGCAGATTCTACAGAATGTGTGTTTGGAAACTGCGCCATCTAAAGGAATGTTCAGCTCTGTTAGTTCAATGCAATGATCACTAAGAATTGTCTGTGAATGCTTTCCGTTTGGTTTTTAGATGAAGTTATTTCCTTTACTACAGTAGGCCTCAAAGCAGTCCAAATCTCCAATCGCAGATTCTACAAAAAGATTGTTTACAACCTGCTCTATCTATAGGAATGTTCAACTCTGTGAGTCGAATGCAATCATCACAAAGTAGTTTCTGAGAATGCTTCCATCTAGTTTTTATGTGAAGATTTTCCATTTCCACCACAGGCCTCAAAGCCCTCCAAATGTCCACTTGCAGATTCTAGAAAAAGAGGGTTTCAGAGCTGCTGTTTCAAGAGGAAAGTTCAATTCCTGAAGTGGAACACAAACATCACAAAGCAGTTTCTGAGAATGCTCCTGTTTAGTTTTTCTGTGAAGATGAACCCGTTTCCAACGAAATCTTCACAGAGGTCCACATATCCACTTGCAGAATCCAAAGAAAGAGAGTTTCAAAACTGCTCCATCAGCAGGATTGTTCACCTCTGTGAGTTGAATGCAGTCATCACAGGAAACATTCTGAGAATGCTTCTGTCTAGGTTTGATGTGAAGATATACCCGTTTCGAAGGAAGGCCACAAAGTGGTCCAAATATCCACTTGCAGATTCTACAAAAAGAGTGTTTGAAAGCTGAACTATGAAAGCAAGGTTCAACTCTGTGAGTTGAATGCAAACATCACAAAGAAGTTTCTCACAATTCTTCCGTGTAGTTCTGGGAAGTTTATCCCGTTTCCAAAGAAATCCTCAGAGAGGTCCAAATATCCACTTGCAGATTCTACAGAAAGTGTGCTTGGAAACTGCTCCATCTAAAGGAATGTTCAGCTCTGTTAGTTCAATCCAATGATCACTAAGAATTGTCTGTGAATGCTTCCGTTTGGTTTTTAGATGAAGTTATTTCCTTTACTACAGTAGGCCTCAAAGCAGTCCAAATCTCCAATCGCAGATTCTACAAAAAGATTGTTTACAACCTGCTCTATCTATAGGAATGTTCAACTCTGTGAGTCGAATGCAATCATCACAAAGTAGTTTCTGAGAATGCTTCCATCTAGTTTTTATGTGAAGATTTTCCTTTTCCACCACAGGCCTCAAAGCCCTCCAAATGTCCACTTGCAGATTCTAGAATAAGAGGGTTTTAGAGCTGCTCTGTCAAGAGGAAAGTTCAATTCCTGAAGTGGAACACAAACATCACAAAGCAGTTTCTGAGAATGCTCCTGTTTAGTTTTTCTGTGAAGATGAACCCGTTTCCAACGAAATCTTCACAGAGGTCCACATATCCACTTGCAGAATCCAAAGAAAGAGAGTTTCAAAACTGCTCCATCAGCAGGATTGTTCACCTCTGTGAGTTGAATGCAGTCATCACAGGAAACATTCTGAGAATGCTTCTGTCTAGGTTTGATGTGAAGATATACCCGTTTCGAAGGAAGGCCACAAAGTGGTCCAAATATCCACTTGCAGATTCTACAAAAAGAGTGTTTGAAAGCTGAACTATGAAAGCAAGGTTCAACTCTGTGAGTTGAATGCAAACATCACAAAGAAGTTTCTCACAATGCTTCCGTGTAGTTCTGGGAAGTTTATCCCGTTTCCAACGAAATCCTCAGAGAAGTCCAAATATCCACTTGCAGATTCTACAGAAAGTGTGTTTGGAAACTGCTCCATCTAAAGGAATGTTCAGCTCTGTTAGTTCAATCCAATGATCACTAAGAATTGTCTGTGAATGTTTCCGTTAGGTTTTTAGATGAAGTTATTTCCTTTACTACAGTAGGCCTCAAAGCAGTCCAAATCTCCAATCGCAGATTCTACAAAAAGATTGTTTACAACCTGCTCTATCTATAGGAATGTTCAACTCTGTGAGTCGAATGCAATCATCACAAAGTAGTTTCTGAGAATGCTTCCATCTAGTATTTATGTGAAGATTTTCCTTTTCCACCGCAGGCCTCAAAGCCCTCCAAATGTCCACTTGCAGATTCTAGAATAAGAGGGTTTCAGAGCTGCTCTGTCAAGAGGAAAGTTCAATTCCTGAAGTGGAACACAAACATCACAAAGCAGTTTCTGAGAATGCTTCTGTTTAGTTTTTCTCTGAAGATGAACCCGTTTCCAACGAAATCTTCACAGAGGTCGACATATCAACTTGCAGAATCCAAAGAAAGAGAGTTTCAAAACTGCTCCATAAACAGGATTGTTCACCTCTGTGAGTTGAATGCAGTCATCACAGGAAACATTCTGAGAATGCTTCTGTCTAGGTTTGATGTGAAGATATACCCGTTTCGAAGGAAGGCCACAATGTGGTCCAAATATCCACTTGCAGATTCTACAAAAAGAGTGTTTGAAAGCTGAACTATGAAAGCAAGGTTCAACTCTGTGAGTTGAATGCAAACATCACAAAGAAGTTTCTCACAATGCTTCCGTGTAGTTCTGGGAAGTTTAGCCCGTTTCCAACGAAATCCTCAGAGAGGTCCAAATATCCAGTGGCAGACTCTACAGAAAGTGTGTTTGGAAACTGCTCCATCTAAAGGAATGTTCAGCTCTGTTAGTTCAATCCAATGATCACTAAGAATTGTCTGTGAATGCTTCCGTTTGGTTTTTAGATGAAGTTATTTCCTTTACTACAGTAGGCCTCAAAGCAGTCCAAATCTCCAATCGCAGATTCTACAAAAAGATTGTTTACAACCTGCTCTATCTATAGGAATGTTCAACTCTGTGAGTCGAATGCAATCATCACAAAGTAGTTTCTGAGAATGCTTCCATCTAGTTTTTATGTGAAGATTTTCCTTTTCCACCACAGGCCTCAAAGCCCTCCAAATGTCCACTTGCAGATTCTAGAATAAGAGGGTTTCAGAGCTGCTCTGTCAAGAGGAAAGTTCAATTCCTGAAGTGGAACACAAACATCACAAAGCAGTTTCTGAGAATGCTTCTGTTTAGTTTTTCTGTGAAGATGAACCCGTTTCCAACGAAATCTTCACAGAGGTCCACATATCCACTTGCAGAATCCAAAGAAAGAGAGTTTCAAAACTGCTCCATCAGCAGGATTGTTCACCTCTGTGAGTTGAATGCAGTCATCACAGGAAACATTCTGAGAATGCTTCTGTCTAGGTTTGATGTGAAGATATACCCGTTTCGAAGGAAGGCCACAAAGTGGTCCAAATATCCACTTGCAGATTCTACAAAAAGAGTGTTTGAAAGCTGAAATATGAAAGCAAGGTTCAACTCTGTGAGTTGAATGCAAACATCACAAAGAAGTTTCTCAGAATGCTTCCGTGTAGTTCTGGGAAGTTTATCCCGTTTCCAACGAAATCCTCAGAGAGATCCAAATATCCACTTGCAGATTCTACAGAAAGTGTGTTTGGAAACTGCGCCATCTAAAGGAATGTTCAGCTCTGTTAGTTCAATGCAATGATCACTAAGAATTGTCTGTGAATGCTTCCGTTTGGTTTTTAGATGAAGTTATTTCCTTTACTACAGTAGGCCTCAAAGCAGTCCAAATCTCCAATCGCAGATTCTACAAAAAGATTGTTTACAACCTGCTCTATCTATAGGAATGTTCAACTCTGTGAGTCGAATGCAATCATCACAAAGTAGTTTCTGAGAATTCTTCCATCTAGTTTTTATGTGAAGATTTTCCTTTTCCACCACAGGCCTCAAAGCCCTCCAAATGTCCACTTGCAGATTCTAGAAAAAGAGGGTTTCAGAGCTGCTCTGTCAAGAGGAAAGTTCAATTCTTGAAGTGGAACACAAACATCACAAAGCAGTTTCTGAGAATGCTTCTGTTTAGTTTTTCTGTGAAGATGAACCCGTTTCCAACGAAATCTTCACAGAGGTCCACATATCCACTTGCAGAATCCAAAGAAAGAGAGTTTCAAAACTGCTCCATCAACAGGATTGTTCACCTCTGTGAGTTGAATGCAGTCATCACAGGAAACATTCTGAGAATGCTTCTGTCTATGTTTGATGTGAAGATATACCCGTTTCGAAGGAAGGCCACAAAGTGGTCCAAATATCCACTTGCAGATTCTACAAAAAGAGTGTTTGAAAGCTGAACTATGAAAGCAAGGTTCAACTCTGTGAGTTGAATGCAAACATCACAAAGAAGTTTCCCAGAATGCTTCCGTGTAGTTCTGGGAAGTTTATCCCGTTTCCAAAGAAATCCTCAGAGAGGTCCAAATATCCACTTGCAGATTCTACAGAAAGTGTGTTTGGAAACTGCGCCATCTAAAGGAATGTTCAGCTCTGTTAGTTCAATGCAATGATCACTAAGAATTGTCTGTGAATGCTTCCGTTTGGTTTTTAGATGAAGTTATTTCCTTTACTACAGTAGGCCTCAAAGCAGTCCAAATCTCCAATCGCAGATTCTACAAAAACATTGTTTACAACCTGCTCTATCTATAGGAATGTTCAACTCTGTGAGTCGAATGCAATCATCACAAAGTAGTTTCTGAGAATGCTTCCATCTAGTTTTTATGTGAAGATTTTCCTTTTCCACCACAGGCCTCAAAGCCCTCCAAATGTCCACTTGCAGATTCTAGAATAAGAGGGTTTCAGAGCTGCTCTGTCAAGAGGAAAGTTCAATTCCTGAAGTGGAACACAAACATCACAAAGCAGTTTCTGAGAATGCTTCTGTTTAGTTTTTCTGTGAAGATGAACCCGTTTCCAACGAAATCTTCACAGAGGTCCACATATCCACTTGCAGAATCCAAAGAAAGAGAGTTTCAAAACTGCTCCATCAGCAGGATTGTTCACCTCTGTGAGTTGAATGCAGTCATCACAGGAAACATTCTGAGAATGCTTCTGTCTAGGTTTGATGTGAAGATATACCCGTTTCGAAGGAAGGCCACAAAGTGGTCCAAATATCCACTTGCAGATTCTACAAAAAGAGTGTTTGAAAGCTGAACTATGAAAGCAAGGTTCAACTCTGTGAGTTGAATGCAAACATCACAAAGAAGTTTCTCACAATGCTTCCGTGTAGTTCTGGGAAGTTTATCCCGTTTCCAACGAAATCCTCAGAGAGGTCCAAATATCCACTTGCAGATTCTACAGAAAGTGTGTTTGGAAACTGCTCCATCTAAAGGAATGTTCAGCTCTGTTAGTTCAATCCAATGATCACTAAGAATTGTCTGTGAATGCTTCCGTTTGGTTTTTAGATGAAGTTATTTCCTTTACTACAGTAGGCCTCAAAGCAGTCCAAATCTCCAATCGCAGATTCTACAAAAAGATTGTTTACAACCTGCTCTATCTATAGGAATGTTCAACTCTGTGAGTCGAATGCAATCATCACAAAGTACTTTCTGAGAATGCTTCCATCTAGTTTTTATGTGAAGATTTTCCTTTTCCACCACAGGCCTCAAAGCCCTCCAAATGTCCACTTGCAGATTCTAGAATAAGAGGGTTTCAGAGCTGCTCTGTCAAGAGGAAAGTTCAATTCCTGAAGTGGAACACAAACATCACAAAGCAGTTTCTGAGAATGCTTCTGTTTAGTTTTTCTGTGAAGATGAACCCGTTTCCAACGAAATCTTCACAGAGGTCCACATATCCACTTGCAGAATCCAAAGAAAGAGAGTTTCAAAACTGCTCCATCAGCAGGATTGTTCACCTCTGTGAGTTGAATGCAGTCATCACAGGAAACATTCTGAGAATGCTTCTGTCTAGGTTTGATGTGAAGATATACCCGTTTCGAAGGAAGGCCACAAAGTGGTCCAAATATCCACTTGCAGATTCTACAAAAAGAGTGTTTGAAAGCTGAACTATGAAAGCAAGGTTCACCTCTGTGAGTTGAATGCAAACATCACAAAGAAGTTTCTCAGAATGCTTCCGTGTAGTTCTGGGAAGTTTATCCCGTTTCCAACGAAATCCTCAGAGAGGTCCAAATATCCACTTGCAGATTCTACAGAAAGTGTGTTTGGAAACTGCTCCATCTAAAGGAATGTTCAGCTCTGTTAGTTCAATCCAATGATCACTAAGAATTGTCTGTGAATGCTTCCGTTTGGTTTTTAGATGAAGTTATTTCCTTTACTACAGTAGGCCTCAAAGCAGTCCAAATCTCCAATCGCAGATTCTACAAAAACATTGTTTACAACCTGCTCTATCTATAGGAATGTTCAACTCTGTGAGTCGAATGCAATCATCACAAAGTAGTTTCTGAGAATGCTTCCATCTAGTTCTTATGTGAAGATTTTCCTTTTCCACCACAGGCCTCAAAGCCCTGCAAATGTCCACTTGCAGATTCTAGAAAAAGAGGGTTTCAGAGCTGCTCTGTCAAGAGGAAAGTTCAATTCCTGAAGTGGAACACAAACATCACAAAGCAGTTTCTGAGAATGCTCCTGTTTAGTTTTTCGGTGAAGATGAACCCGTTTCCAACGAAATCTTCACAGAGGTCCACATATCCACTTGCAGAATCCAAAGAAAGAGAGTTTCAAAACTGCTCCATCAGCAGGATTGTCCACCTCTGTGAGTTGAATGCAGTCATCACAGGAAACATTCTGAGAATGCTTCTGTCTAGGTTTGATGTGAAGATATACCCGTTTCGAAGGAAGGCCACAAAGTGGTCCAAATATCCACTTGCAGATTCTACAAAAAGAGTGTTTGAAAGCTGAACTATGAAAGCAAGGTTCAACTCTGTGAGTTGAATGCAAACATCACAAAGAAGTTTCTCAGAATGCTTCCGTGTAGTTCTGGGAAGTTTATCCCGTTTCCAACGAAATCCTCAGAGAGGTCCAAATATCCACTTGCAGATTCTACAGAAAGTGTGTTTGGAAACTGCGCCATCTAAAAGAATGTTCAGCTCTGTTGGTTCAATGCAATGATCACTAAGAATTGTCTGTGAATGCTTCCTTTTGGTTTTTAGATGAAGTTATTTCCTTTACTACAGTAGGCCTCAAAGCAGTCCAAATCTCCAATCGCAGATTCTACAAAAAGATTGTTTACAACCTGCTCTATCTATAGGAATGTTCAACTCTGTGAGTCGAATGCAATCATCACAAAGTAGTTTCTGAGAATGCTTCCATCTAGTTTTTATGTGAAGATTTTCCTTTTCCACCACAGGCCTCAAAGCCCTCCAAATGTCCACTTGCAGATGCTATAAAAAGAGGGTTTCAGAGCTGCTCTGTCAAGAGGAAAGTTGAATTCCTGAAGTGGAACACAAACATCACAAAGCAGTTTCTGAGAATGCTTCTGTTTAGTTTTTCTGTGAAGATGAACCCGTTTCCAACGAAATCTTCACAGAGGTCCACATATCAACTTGCAGAATCCAAAGAAAGAGAGTTTCAAAAGTGCTCCATCAACAGCATTGTTCACCTCTGTGAGTTGAATGCAGTCATCACAGGAAACATTCTGAGAATGCTTCTGTCTAGGTTTGATGTGAAGATATACCCGTTTCGAAGGAAGGCCACAAAGTGGTCCAAATATCCACTTGCAGATTCTACAAAAAGAGTGTTTGAAAGCTGAACTATGAAAGCAAGGTTCAACTCTGTGAGTTGAATGCAAACATCACAAAGAAGTTTCTCAGAATGCTTCCGTGTAGTCCTGGGAAGTTTAGCTCCTTTCCAACGAAATCCTCAGAGAGGTCCAAATATCCACTTGCAGATTCTACAGAAAGTGTGTTTGGAAACTGCTCCATCTGAAGGAATGTTCAGCTCTGTTAGTTCAATCCAATGATCACTAAGAATTGTCTGTGAATGCTTCCGTTTGGTTTTTAGATGAAGTTATTTCCTTTACTACAGTAGGCCTCAAAGCAGTCCAAATCTCCAATCGCAGATTCTACAAAAAGATTGTTTACAACCTGCTCTATCTATAGGAATGTTCAACTCTGTGAGTCGAATGCAATCATCACAAAGTAGTTTCTGAGAATGCTTCCATCTAGTTTTTATGGGAAGATTTTCCTTTTCCACCACAGGCCTCAAAGCCCTCCAAATGTCCACTTGCAGATTCTAGAAAAAGAGGGTTTCAGAGCTGCTCTGTCAAGAGGAAAGTTCAATTCTTGAAGTGGAACACAAACATCACAAAGCAGTTTCTGAGAATGCTTCTGTTTAGTTTTTCTGTGAAAATGAACCCGTTTCCAACGAAATCTTCACAGAGGTCCACATATCCACTTGCAGAATCCAAAGGAAGAGAGATTCAAAACTGCTCCATCAACAGGATTGTTCACCTCTGTGAGTGGAATGCAGTCATCACAGGAAACATTCTGAGAATGCTTCTGTCTAGGTTTGATGTGAAGATATACGCGTTTCGAAGGAAGGCCACAAAGTGGTCCAAATATCCACTTGCAGATTCTACAAAAAGAGTGTTTGAAAGCTGAACTATGAAAGCAAGGTTCAACTCTGTGAGTTGAATGCAAACTTCACAAAGAAGTTTCTCAGAATGCTTCCGTGTAGTTCTGGGAAGTTTATCCCGTTTCCAACGAAATCCTCAGAGAAGTCCAAATATCCACTTGCAGATTCTACAGAAAGTGTGTTTGGAAACTGCTCCATCTAAAGGAATGTTCAGCTCTGTTAGTTCAATGCAATGATCACTAAGAATTGTCTGTGAATGCTTCCGTTTGGTTTTTAGATGAAGTTATTTCCTTTACTACAGTAGGCCTCAAAGCAGTCCAAATCTCCAATCGCAGATTCTACAAAAAGATTGTTTACAACCTGCTCTATCTATAGGAATGTTCAACTCTGTGAGTCGAATGCAATCATCACAAAGTAGTTTCTGAGAATGCTTCCATCTAGTTTTTATGTGAAGATTTTCCTTTTCCACCACAGGCCTCAAAGCCCTCCAAATGTCCACTTGCAGATTCTAGAAAAAGAGGGTTTCAGAGCTGCTCTGTCAAGAGGAAAGTTCAATTCTTGAAGTGGAACACAAACATCACAAAGCAGTTTCTGAGAATGCTTCTGTTTAGTTTTTCTGTGAAGTTGAACCCGTTTCCAACGAAATCTTCACAGAGGTCCACATATCAACTTGCAGAATCCAAAGAAAGAGAGTTTCAAAAGTGCTCCATGAACAGGATTGTTCACCTCTGTGAGTTGAATGCAGTCATCACAGGAAACATTCTGAGAATGCTTCTGTCTAGGTTTGATGTGAAGATATACCCGTTTCGAAGGAAGGCCACAAAGTGGTCCAAATATCCACTTGCAGATTCTACAAAAAGAGTGCTTGAAAGCTGAACTATGAAAGCAAGGTTCAACTCTGTGAGTTGAATGCAAACATCACAAAGAAGTTTCTCACAATGCTTCCGTGTAGTTCTGGGAAGTTTATCCCGTTTCCAACGAAATCCTCAGAGAAGTCCAAATATCCCCTTGCAGATTCTACAGAAAGTGGGTTTGGAAACTGCTCCATCTAAAGGAATGTTCAGCTCTGTTAGTTCAATCCAATGATCACTAAGAATTGTCTGTGAATGCTTCCGTTTGGTTTTTAGATGAAGTTATTTCCTTTACTACAGTAGGCCTCAAAGCAGTCCAAATCTCCAATCGCAGATTCTACAAAAAGATTGTTTACAACCTGCTCTATCTATAGGAATGTTCAACTCTGTGAGTCGAATGCAATCATCACAAAGTAGTTTCTGAGAATGCTTCCATCTAGTTTTTATGTGAAGATTTTCCTTTTCCACCACAGGCCTCAAAGCCCTCCAAATGTCCACTTGCAGATTCTAGAATAAGAGGGTTTCAGAGCTGCTCTGTCAAGAGGAAAGTTCAATTCCTGAAGTGGAACACAAACATCACAAAGCAGTTTCTGAGAATGCTTCTGTTTAGTTTTTCTGTGAAGATGAACCCGTTTCCAACGAAATCTTCACAGAGGACCACATATTCACTTGCAGAATCCAAAGAAGGAGAGTTTCAAAACTGCTCCATCAGCAGGATTGTTCACCTCTGTGAGTTGAATGCAGTCATCACAGGAAACATTCTGAGAATGCTTCTGTCTAGGTTTGATGTGAAGATATACCCGTTTCGAAGGAAGGCCACAAAGTGGTCCAAATATCCACTTGCAGATTCTACAAAAAGAGTGTTTGAAAGCTGAACTATGAAACCAAGGTTCAACTCTGTGAGTTGAATGCAAACATCACAAAGAAGTTTCTCAGCATGCTTCCGTGTAGTTCTGGGAAGTTTATCCCGTTTCCAACGAAATCCTCAGAGAAGTCCAAATATCCACTTGCAGATTCTACAGAAAGTGTGTTTGGAAACTGCTCCATCTAAAGGAATGTTCAGCTCTGTTAGTTCAATGCAATGATCACTAAGAATTCTCTGTGAATGCTTCCGTTTGGTTTTTAGATGAAGTTATTTCCTTTACTACAGTAGGCCTCAAAGCAGTCCAAATCTCCAATCGCAGATTCTACAAAAAGATTGTTTACAACCTGCTCTATCTATAGGAATGTTCAACTCTGTGAGTCGAATGCAATCATCACAAAGTAGTTTCTGAGAATGCTTCCATCTAGTTTTTATGTGAAGATTTTCCTTTTCCACCACAGGCCTCAAAGCCCTCCAAATGTCCACTTGCAGATTCTAGAAAAAGAGGGTTTCAGAGCTGCTCAGTCAAGAGGAAAGTTCAATTCCTGAAGTGGAACACAAACATCACAAAGCAGTTTCTGAGAATGCTTCTGTTTAGTTTTTCTGTGAAGATGAACCCGTTTCCAACGAAATCTTCACAGAGGTCCACATATCCACTTGCAGAATCCAAAGAAAGAGAGTTTCAAAACTGCTCCATCAGCAGGATTGTTCACCTCTGTGAGTTGAATGCAGTCATCACAGGAAACATTCTGAGAATGCTTCTGTCTAGGTTTGATGTGAAGATATACCCGTTTCGAAGGAAGGCCACAAAGTGGTCCAAATATCCACTTGCAGATTCCACAAAAAGAGTGTTTGAAAGCTGAACTATGAAAGCAAGGTTCAACTCTGTGAGTTGAATGCAAACATCACAAAGAAGTTTCTCACAATGCTTCCGTGTAGTTCTGGGAAGTTTATCCCGTTTTCAACGAAATCCTCATAGAAGTCCAAATATCCACTTGCAGATTCTACAGAAAGTGTGTTTGGAAACTACTCCATCTAAAGGAATGTTCAGCTCTGTTAGTTCAATCCAATGATCACTAAGAATTTTCTGTGAATGCTTCCGTTTGGTTTTTAGATGAAGTTATTTCCTTTACTACAGTAGGCCTCAAAGCAGTCCAAATCTCCAATCGCAGATTCTACAAAAAGATTGTTTACAACCTGCTCTATCTATAGGAATGTTCAACTCTGTGAGTCGAATGCAATCATCACAAAGTAGTTTCTGAGAATGCTTCCATCTAGTTTTTATGTGAAGATTTTCCTTTTCCACCACAGGCCTCAAAGCCCTCCAAATGTCCACTTGCAGATTCTAGAATAAGAGGGTTTCAGAGCTGCTCTGTCAAGAGGAAAGTTCAATTCCTGAAGTGGAACACAAACATCACAAAGCAGTTTCTGAGAATGCTCCTGTTTATTTTTTCTGTGAAGATGAACCCGTTTCCAACGAAATCTTCACAGAGGTCCTCATATCCACTTGCAGAATCCAAAGAAAGAGAGTTTCAAAACTGCTCCATCAACAGGATTGTTCACCTCTGTGAGTTGAATGCAGTCATCACAGGAAACATTCTGAGAATGCTTCTGTCTAGGTTTGATGTGAAGATATACCCGTTTCGAAGGAAGGCCACAAAGTGGTCCAAATATCCACTTGCAGATTCTACAAAAAGAGTGTTTGAAAGCTGAACTATGAAAGCAAGGTTCAACTCTGTGAGTTGAATGCAAACATCACAAAGAAGTTTCTCACAATGCTTCCGTGTAGTTCTGGGAAGTTTATCCCGTTTCCAACGAAATCCTCAGAGAAGTCCAAATATCCACTTGCAGATTCTACAGAAAGTGTGTTTGGAAACTGCGCCATCTAAAGGAATGTTCAGCTCTGTTAGTTCAATCCAATGATCACTAAGAATTGTCTGTGAATGCTTCCGTTTGGTTTTTAGATGAAGTTATTTCCTTTACTACAGTAGGCCTCAAAGCAGTCCAAATCTCCAATCGCAGATTCTACAAAAAGATTGTTTACAACCTGCTCTATCTATAGGAATGTTCAACTCTGTGAGTCGAATGCAATCATCACAAAGTAGTTTCTGAGAATGCTTCCATCTAGTTTTTATTTGAAGATTTTCCTTTTCCACCACAGGCCTCAAAGCCCTCCAAATGTCCACTTGCAGATTCTAGAAAAAGAGGGTTTCAGAGCTGCTCTGTCAAGAGGAAAGTTCAATTCCTGAAGTGGAACACAAACATCACAAAGCAGTTTCTGAGAATGCTCCTGTTTAGTTTTTCTGTGAAGATGAACCCGTTTCCAACGAAATCTTCACAGAGGTCCACATATCCACTTGCAGAATCCAAAGAAAGAGAGTTTCAAAACTGCTCCATCAGCAGGATTGTTCACCTCTGTGAGTTGAATGCAGTCATCACAGGAAACATTCTGAGAATGCTTCTGTCTAGATTTGATGTGAAGATATACCCGTTTCGAAGGAAGGCCACAAAGTGGTCCAAATATCCACTTGCAGATTCTACAAAAAGAGTGTTTGAAAGCTGAACTATGAAAGCAAGGTTCAACTCTGTGAGTTGAATGCAAACATCACAAAGAAGTTTCTCACAATGTTTCCGTGTAGTTCTGGGAAGTTTATCCCGTTTCCAACGAAATCCTCAGAGAAGTCCAAATATCCACTTGCAGATTCTACAGAAAGTGGGTTTGGCAACTGCTCCATCTAAAGGAATGTTCAGCTCTGTTAGTTCAATCCAATGATCACTAAGAATTGTGCTGTGAATGCTTCCGTTTGGTTTTTAGATGAAGTTATTTCCTTTACTACAGTAGGCCTCAAAGCAGTCCAAATCTCCAGTCGCAGATTCTACAAAAAGATTGTTTACAACCTGCTCTATCTATAGGAATGTTCAACTCTGTGAGTCGAATGCAATCATCACAAAGGAGTTTCTGAGAATGCTTCCATCTAGTTTTTATGTGAAGATTTTCCTTTTGCACCACAGGCCTCAAAGCGCTCCAAATGTCCATTTGCAGATTCTAGAAAAAGAGGGTTTCAGAGCTGCTCTGTCAAGAGGAAAGTTCAATTCTTGAAGTGGAACACAAACATCACAAAGCAGTTTCTGAGAATGCTTCTGTTTAGTTTTTCTGTGAAGATGAACCCGTTTCCAACGAAATCTTCACAGAGGTCCACATATCCACTTGCAGAATCCAAAGAAAGAGAGTTTCAAAACTGCTCCATCAGCAGGATTGTTCACCTCTGTGAGTTGAATGCAGTCATCACAGGAAACATTCTGAGAATGCTTCTGTCTAGGTTTGATGTTTAGATATACCCGTTTCGAAGGAAGGCCACAAAGTGGTCCAAATATCCACTTGCAGATCCTACAAAAAGAGTGTTTGAAAGCTGAACTATGAAAGCAAGGTTCAACACTGTGAGTTGAATGCAAACATCACAAAGAATTTTCTCAGAATGCTTCCCTGTAGTTCTGGGAAGTTTATCCCGTTTCCAACGAAATCCTCAGAGAAGTCCAAATATCCACTTGCAGATTCTACAGAAAGTGTGTTTGGGAACTGCTCCATCTAAAGGAATGTTCAGCTCTGTTAGTTCAATCAAATGATCACTAAGAATTGTCTGTGAATGCTTCCGTTTGGTTTTTAGATGAAGTTATTTCCTTTACTACAGTAGGCCTCAAAGCAGTCCAAATCTCCAATCGCAGATTCTACAAAAAGATTGTTTACAACCTGCTCTATCTATAGGAATGTTCAACTCTGTGAGTCGAATGCAATCATCCCAAAGTAGTTTCTGAGAATGCTTCCATCTAGTTTTTATGTGAAGATTTTCCTTTTCCACCACAGGCCTCAAAGCCCTAAAAATGTCCACTTGCAGACTCTAGAAAAAGAGGGTTTCAGAGCTGCTCTGTCAAGAGGAAAGTTCAATTCTTGAAGTGGAACACAGACATCACAAAGCAGTTTCTGAGAATGCTTCTGTTTAGTTTTTCTGTGAAGATGAACCCGTTTCCAACGAAATCTTCACAGAGTTCCACATATCAACTTGCAGAATCCAAAGAAAGAGAGTTTCAAAACTGCTCCATCAACAGGATTGTTCACCTCTGTGAGTTGAATGCAGTCATCACAGGAAACATTCTGAGAATGCTTCTGTCTAAGTTTGATGTGAAGATATACCCGTTTCGAAGCAAGGCCACAAAGTGGTCCAAATATCCACTTGCAGATTCTACAAAAAGAGTGTTTGAAAGCTGAACTATGAAAGCAAGGTTCAACTCTGTGAGTTGAATGCAAACATCACAAAGAAGTTTCTCAGAATGCTTCCGTGTAGTTCTGGGAAGTTTATCCCGTTTCCAACGAAATCCTCAGAGAGGTCCAAATATCCACTTGCAGATTCTACAGAAAGTGTGTTTGGAAACTGCTCCATCTAAAGGAATGTTCAGCTCTGTTAGTTCAATCCAATGATCACTAAGAATTGTCTGTGAATGCTTCCGTTTGGTTTTTAGATGAAGTTATTTCCTTTACTACAGTAGGCCTCAAAGCAGTCCAAATCTCCAATCGCAGATTCTACAAAAAGATTGTTTACAACCTGCTCTATCTATAGGAATGTTCAACTCTGTGAGTCGAATGCAATCATCACAAAGTAGTTTCTGAGAATGCTTCCATCTAGTTTTTATGTGAAGATTTTCCTTTTCCACCACAGGCCTCAAAGCCCTCCAAATGTCCACTTGCAGATTCTAGAAAAAGAGGGTTTCAGAGCTGCTCTGTCAAGAGGAAAGTTCAATTCTTGAAGTGGAACACAAACATCACAAAGCAGTTTCTGAGAATGTTTCTGTTTAGTTTTTCTGTGAAGATGAACCCGTTTCCAACGAAATCTTCACAGAGGTCCACATATCCACTTGCAGAATCCAAAGAAAGAGAGTTTCAAAACTACTCCATCAGCAGGATTGTTCACCTCTGTGAGTTGAATGCAGTCATCACAGGAAACATTCTGAGAATGCTTCTGTCTAGGTTTGATGTGAAGATATACCCGTTTCGAAGGAAGGCCACAAAGTGGTCCAAATATCCACTTGCAGATTCTACAAAAAGAGTGTTTGAAAGCTGAACTATGAAAGCAAGGTTCAACTCTGTGAGTTGAATGCAAACATCACAAAGAAGTTTCTCACAATGCTTCCGTGTAGTTCTGGGAAGTTTATCCCGTTTCCAACGAAATCCTCAGAGAAGTCCAAATATCCACTTGCAGATTCTACAGAAAGTGTGTTTGGAAACTGCTCCATCTAAAGGAATGTTCAGCTCTGTCAGTTCAATGCAATGATCACTAAGAATTGTCTGTGAATGCTTCCGTTTGGTTTTTAGATGAAGTTATTTCGTTACTACAGTAGGCCTCAAAGCAGTCCAAATCTCCAATCGCAGATTCTACAAAAAGATTGTTTACAACCTGCTCTATCTGTAGGAATGTTCAACTCTGTGAGTCGAATGCAATCATCACAAAGTAGTTTCTGAGAATGCTTCCATCTAGTTTTTATGTGAATATTTTCCTTTTCCACCACATGCCTCAAAGCCCTCCAAATGTCCACTTGCAGATTCTAGAAAAAGAGGGTTTCAGAGCTGCTCTGTCAAGAGGAAAGTTCAATTCTTGAAGTGGAACACAAACATCACAAAGCAGTTTCTGAGAATGCTTCTGTTTAGTTTTTCTGTGAAGATGAACCCGTTTCCAACGAAATCTTCACAGAGGTCCACATATCCACTTGCAGAATCCAAAGAAGGAGAGTTTCAAAACTGCTCCATCAGCAGGATTGTTCACCTCTGTGAGTTGAATGCAGTCATCACAGGAAACATTCTGAGAATGCTTCTGTCTAGGTTTGATGTGAAGATATACCCGTTTCGAAGGAAGACCACAAATGGTCCAAATATCCACTTGCAGATTCTACAAAAAGAGTGTTTGAAAGCTGAACTATGAAAGCAAGGTTCAACTCTGTGTGTTGAATGCAAACTTCACAAAGAAGTTTCTCAGAATGCTTCCGTGTAGTTCTGGGTAAGTTTATCCCGTTTCCAACGAAATCCTCAGAGAAGTCCACATATCCACTTGCAGATTCTACAGAAAGTGTGTTTGGAAACTGCTCCATCTAAAGGAATGTTCAGCTCTGTTAGTTCAATGCAATGATCACTAAGAATTGTCTGTGAATGCTTCCATTTTGGTTTTTAGATGAAGTTATTTCCTTTACTACAGTAGGCCTCAAAGCAGTCCAAATCTCCAATCGCAGATTCTACAAAAAGATTGTTTACAACCTGCTCTATCTATAGGAATGTTCAACTCTGTGAGTCGAATGCAATCATCACAAAGTAGTTTCTGAGAATGCTTCCATCTAGTTTTTATGTGAAGATTTTCCTTTTCCACCACAGGCCTCAAAGCCCTCCAAATGTCCACTTGCAGATTCTAGAAAAAGAGGGTTTCAGAGCTGCTCTGTCAAGAGGAAAGTTCAATTCTTGAAGTGGAACACAAACATCACAAAGCAGTTTCTGAGAATGTTCCTGTTTAGTTTTTCTGTGAAGATGAACCCGTTTCCAACGAAATCTTCACAGAGGTCCACATATCCACCTGCAGAATCCAAAGAAAGAGAGTTTCAAAACTGCTCCATCAACAGGATTGTTCACCTCTGTGAGTTGAATGCAGTCATCACAGGAAAACATTCTGAGAATGCTTCTGTCTAGGTTTGAAGTGAAGATATAGCCGTTTCGAAGGAAGGCCACAAAGTGGTCCAAACATCCACTTGCAGATTCTACAAAAAGAGTGTTTGAAAGCTGAACTATGAAAGCAAGGTTCAACTCTGTGAGTTGAATGCAAACATCCAAAGAAGTTTCTCAGAATGCTTCCGTGTAGTTCTGGGAAGTATATCCCGTTTCCAACGAAATCCTCAGAGAAGTCCAAATATCCACTTGCAGATTCTACAGAAAGTGGGTTTGGAAACTGCTCCATCTAAAGGAATGTTCAGCTCTGTTAGTTCAATGCAATGATCACTAAGAATTGTCTGTGAATGCTTCCGTTTGGTTTTTAGATGAAGTTATTTCCTTTACTACAGTAGGCCTCAAAGCAGTCCAAATCTCCAATCGCAGATTCTACAAAAAGATTGTTTACAACCTGCTCTATCTATAGGAATGTTCAACTCTGTGAGTCGAATGCAATCATCACAAAGTAGTTTCTGAGAATGCTTCCATCTAGTTTTTATGTGAAGATTTTCCTTTTCCACCACAGGCCTCTAAGCCCTCCAAATGTCCACTTGCAGTTTCTAGAAAAAGAGGGTTGCAGAGCTGCTCTGTCAAGAGGAAAGTTCAATTCTTGAAGTGGAACACAAACATCACAAAGCAGTTTCTGAGAATGCTTCTGTTTAGTTTTTCTGTGAAGATGAACCCGTTTCCAACGAAATCTTCACAGAGGTCCACATATCCACTTGCAGAATCCAAAGAAAGAGAGTTTCAAAACTGCTCCATCAACAGGATTGTTCGCCTCTGTGACTTGAATGCAGTCATCAGAGGAAACATTCTGAGAATGCTTCTGTCTAGGTTTGATGTGAAGATATACCCGTTTCGAAGGAAGGCCACAAAGTGGTCCAAATATCCACTTGCAGATTCTACAAAAAGAGTGTTTGAAAGCTGAACTATGAAAGCAAGGCTCAACTCTCTGAGTTGAATGCAAATATCACAAAGAAGTTTCTCAGAATGCTTCCGTGTAGTTCTGGGAATTTTATCCCGTTTCCAACGAAATCCTCAGAGAAGTCCAAATATCCACTGGCAGATTCTACAGAAAGTGTGTTTGGAAACTGCTCCATCTAAAGGAATGTTCAGCTCTGTTAGTTCAATCCAATGATCACTAAGAATTGTCTGTGAATGCTTCCGTTTGGTTTTTAGATGAAGTTATTTCCTTTACTACAGTAGGCCTCAAAGAAGTCGAAATCTCCAATCGCAGATTCTACAAAAAGATTGTTTACATCCTGCTCTATCTATATGAATGTTCAACTCTGTGAGTCGAATGCAATCATCACAAAGTAGTTTCTGAGAATGCTTCCATCTAGTTTTTATGTGAAGATTTTCCTTTTCCACCACAGGCCTCAAAGCCCTCCAAATGTCCACTTGCAGATTCTAGAAAAAGAGGGTTTCAGAGCTGCTCTGTCAAGAGGAAAGTTCAATTCCTGAAGTGGAACACAAACATCACAAAGCAGTTTCTGAGAATGCTTCTGTTTAGTTTTTCTGTGAAGATGAACCCGTTTCCAACGAAATCTTCACAGAGGTCCACATATCCACTTGCAGAATCCAAAGAAAGAGAGTTTCAAAACTGCTCCATCAGCAGGATTGTTCACCTCTGTGAGTTGAATGCAGTCATCACAGGAAACATTCTGAGCAGGCTTCTGTCTAGGTTTGATGTGAAGATATACCCGTTTCGAAGGAAGGCCACAAAGTGGTCCAAATATCCACTTGCAGATTCTACAAAAAGAGTGTTTGAAAGCTGAACTATGAAAGCAAGGTTCAACTCTGTGAGTTGAATGCAAACATCACAAAGAAGTTTCTCAGAATGCTTCCGTGTAGTTCTGGGAAGATTATCCCGTTTCCAACGAAATCCTCAGAGAAGTCCAAATATCCACTTGCAGATTCTACAGAAAGTGTGTTTGGAAACTGCTCCGTCTCAAGGAATATTCAGCTCTGTTAGTTCAATCCAATGATCACTAAGAATTGTCTGTGAATGCTTCCGTTTGGTTTTTAGATGAAGTTATTTCCTTTACTACAGTAGGCCTCAAAGCAGTCCAAATCTCCAATCGCAGATTCTACAAAAAGATTGTTTACAACCTGCTCTATCTATAGGAATGTTCAACTCTGTGAGTCGAATGCAATCATCACAAAGTAGTTTCTGAGAATGCTTCCATCTAGTTTTTATGTGAAGATTTTCCTTTTGCACCACAGGCCTCAAAGCCCTCCAAATGTCCACTTGCAGATTCTAGAAAAAGAGGGTTTCAGAGCTGCTCTGTCAAGAGGAAAGTTCAATTCTTGATGTGGAACACAAACATCACAAAGCAGTTTCTGAGAATGCTCCTGTTTAGTTTTTCTGTGAAGATGAACCCGTTTCCAACGAAATCTTCACAGAGGTCCACATATCCACTTGCAGAATCCAAAGAAAGAGAGTTTCAAAACTGCTCCATCAGCAGGATTGTTCACCTCTGTGAGTTGAATGCAGTCATCACAGGAAACATTCTGAGAATGCTTCTGTCTAGGTTTGATGTGAAGATGTACCCGTTTCAAAGGAAGGCCACAAAGTGGTCCAAATATCCACTTGCAGATTCTACAAAAAGAGTGTTTGAAAGCTGAACTATGAAAGCAAGGTTCAACTCTGTGAGTTGAATGCAAACATCAGAAAGATGATTCTCACAATGCTTCCGTGTAGTTCTGGGAAGTTTATCCCGTTTCCAACGAAATCCTCAGAGAAGTCCAAATATCCACTTGCAGATTCTGCAGAAAGTGTGTTTGGAAACTGCTCCATCTAAAGGAATGTTCAGCTCTGTTAGCTCAATCCAATGATCACTAAGAATTGTCTGTGAATGCTTCCGTTTGGTTTTTAGATGAAGTTATTTCCTTTACTACAGTAGGCCTCAAAGCAGTCCAAATTTCCAATCGCAGATTGTACAAAAACATTGTTTACAACCTGCTCTATCTATAGTAATGTTCAACTCTGTGAGTCGAATGCAATCATCACAAAGTAGTTTCTGAGAATGCTTCCATCTAGTTTTTATGTGAAGATTTTCCTTTTCCACCACAGGCCTCAAAGCCCTCCAAATGTCCACTTGCAGATTCTAGAAAAAGAGGGTTTCAGAGCTGCTCTGTCAAGAGGAAAGTTCAATTCTTGAAGTGGAACACAAACATCACAAAGCAGTTTCTGAGAATGCTCCTGTTTAGTTTTTCTGTGAAGATGAAACCGTTTCCAACGAAATCTTCACAGAGGTCCACATATCCACTTGCAGAATCCAAAGAAAGAGAGTTTCAAAACTGCTCCATCAGCAGGATTGTTAACCTCTGTGTGTTGAATGCAGTCATCGCAGGAAACATTCTGAGAATGCTTCTGTCTAGGTTTGATGTGAAGATATACCCTTTTCGAAGGAAGGCCACAAAGTGGTCCAAATATCCACTTGCAGATTCTACAAAAAGAGTGTTTGAAAGCTGAACTATGAAAGCAAGGTGCAAATCCTGTGAGTTGAATGCAAACATCACAAAGAAGTTTCTCAGAATGCTTTCCGTGTAGTTCTGGGAAGTTTATCCCGTTTCCAACGAAATCCTCAGAGAAGTCCAAATATCCACTTGCAGATTCTACAGAAAGTGGGTTTGGCAACTGCTCCATCTAAAGGAATGTTCAGCTCTGTTAGTTCAATCCAATGATCACTAAGAATTGTCTGTGAATGCTTCCGTTTGGTTTTTAGATGAAGTTATTTCCTTTACTACAGTAGGCCTCAAAGCAGTCCAAATCTCCAATCGCAGATTCTACAAAAAGATTGTTTACAACCTGCTCTATCTATAGGAATGTTCAACTCTGTGAGTCGAATGCAATCATCACAAAGTAGTTTCTGAGAATGCTTCCATCTAGTTTTTATGTGAAGATTTTCCTTTTCCACCACAGGCCTCAAAGCCCTCCAAATGTCCACTTGCAGATTCTAGAATAAGAGGGTTTCAGAGCTGCTCTGTCAAGAGGAAAGTTCAATTCCTGAAGTGGAACACAAACATCACAAAGCAGTTTCTGAGAATGCTTCTGTTTAGTTTTTCTGTGAAGATGAACCCGTTTCCAACGAAATCTTCACAGAGGTCCACATATCCACTTGCAGAATCCAAAGAAAGAGAGTTTCAAAACTGCTCCATCAGCAGGATTGTTCACCTCTGTGAGTTGAATGCAGTCATCACAGGAAACATTCTGAGAATGCTTCTGTCTAGGTTTGATGTGAAGATATACCCGTTTCGAAGGAAGGCCACAAAGTGGTCCAAATATCCACTTTCTGTAGATTCTACAAAAAGAGTGTTTGAAAGCTGAACTATGAAAGCAAGGTTCAACTCTATGAGTTGAATGCAAACATCACAAAGAAGTTTCTCAGAATGCTTCCGTGTAGTTCTGGGAAGTTTATCCCTTTTCCAACGAAATCCTCAGAGAAGTCCAAATATCCACTTGCAGATTCTACAGAAAGTGTGTTTGGAAACTGCTCCATCTAAAGGAATGTTCAGCTCTGTTAGTTCAATGCAATGATCACTAAGAATTGTCTGTGAATGCTTCCGTTTGGTTTTTAGATGAAGTTATTTCCTTTACTACAGTAGGCCTCAAAGCAGTCCAAATCTCCAATCGCAGATTCTACAAAAAGATTGTTTACAACCTGCTCTATCTATAGGAATGTTCAACTCTGTGAGTCGAATGCAATCATCACAAAGTAGTTTCTGAGAATGCTTCCATCTAGTTTTTATGTGAAGATTTTCCTTTTCCACCACAGGCCTCAAAGCCCTCCAAATGTCCACTTGCAGATTCTAGAATAAGAGGGTTTCAGAGCTGCTCTGTCAAGAGGAAAGTTCAATTCCTGAAGTGGAACACAAACATCACAAAGCAGTTTCTGAGAATGCTCCTGTTTAGTTTTTCTGTGAAGATGAACCCGTTTCCAACGAAATGTTCACAGAGGTCCACATATCCACTTGCAGAATCCAAAGAAAGAGAGTTTCAAAACTGCTCCATCAACAGGATTGTTCACCTCTGTGAGTTAAATGCAGTCATCACAGGAAACATTCTGAGAATGCTTCTGTCTAGGTTTGATGTGAAGATATACCCGTTTCGAAGGAAGGCCACAAAGTGGTCCAAATATCCACTTGCAGATTCTACAAAAAGAGTGTTTGAAAGCTGAACTATGAAAGCAAGGTTCCCCTCTGTGAGTTGAATGCAAACATCATAAAGAAGTTTCTCAGAATACTTCCGTGTAGTTCTGGGAAGTTTATCCCGTTTCCAAAGAAATCCTCAGAGAGGTCCAAATATGCACTTGCAGATTCTACAGAAAGTGGGTTTGGAAACTGCTGCATCTAAAGGAATGTTCAGCTCTGTTTGTTCAATCCAATGATCACTAAGAATTGTCTGTGAATGCTTCCGTTTGGTTTTTAGATGAAGTTATTTCCTTTACTACAGTAGGCCTCAAAGCAGTCCAAATCTCCAATCGCAGATTCTACAAAAAGATTGATTACAACCTGCTCTATCTGTAGGGAAGTTCAACTCTGTGAGTCGAATGCAATCATCACAAAGTAGTTTCTGAGAATGCTTCCATCTAGTTTTTATGTGAAGATTTTCCTTTTCCACCACAGGCCTCAAAGCCCTCCAAATGTCCACTTGCAGATTCTAGAATAAGAGGGTTTCAGAGCTGCTCTGTCAAGAGGAAAGTTCAATTCCTGAAGTGGAACACAAACATCACAAAGCAGTTTCTGAGAATGCTCCTGTTTAGTTTTTCTGTGAAGATGAACCCGTTTCCAACGAAATCTTCAAAGAGTTCCACATATCCACTTGCAGAATCCAAAGAAAGGGAGTTTCAAAACTGCTCCATCAACAGGATTGTTCACCTCTGTGAGTTGAATGCAGTCATCACAGGAAACATTCTGAGAATGCTTCTGTCTAGGTTTGATGTGAAGATATACCCTTTTCAAAGGAAGGCCACAAAGTGGTCCAAATATCCACTTGCAGATTCTACAAAAAGAGTGTTTGAAAGCTGAACTATGAAAGCAAGGTTCAACTCTGTGAGTTGAATGCAAACATCACAAAGAAGTTTCTCACAATGCTTCCGTGTAGTTCTGGGAAGTTTATCCCGTTTCCAACGAAATCCTCAGAGAAGTCCAAATATCCACTTGCAGATTCTACAGAAAGTGGGTTTGGCAACTGCTCCATCTAAAGGAATGTTCAGCTCTGTTAGTTCAATCCAATGATCCCTAAGAATTGTCTGTGAATGCTTCCGTTTGGTTTTTAGATGAAGTTATTTCCTTTACTACAGTAGGCCTCAAAGCAGTCCAAATCTCCAATCGCAGATTCTACAAAAAGATTGTTTACAACCTGCTCTATCTATAGGAATGTTCAACTCTGTGAGTCGAATGCAATCATCACAAAGTAGTTTCTGAGAATGCTTCCATCTAGTTTTTATGTGAAGATTTTCCTTTTCCACCACAGGCCTCAAAGCCCTCCAAATGTCCACTTGCAGATTCTAGAATAAGAGGATTTCAGAGCTGCTCTGTCAAGAGGAAAGTTCAATTCCTGAAGTGGAACACAAACATAACAAAGCAGTTTCTGAGAATGCTCCTGTTTAGTTTTTCTGTGAAGATGAACCCGTTTCCAACGAAATCTTCACAGAAGTCCACATATCCACTTGCAGAATCCAAAGAAAGAGAGTTTCAAAACTGCTCCATCAACAGGATTGTTCACCTCTGTGAGTTGAATGCAGTCATCACAGGAAACATTCTGAGAATGCTTCTGTCTAGGTTTGATGTGAAGATATACCCGTTTCGAAGGAAGGCCACAAAGTGGTCCAAATATCCACTTGCAGATTCTACAAAAAGAGTGTTTGAAAGCTGAACTATGAAAGCAAGGTTCAACTCTGTGAGTTGAATGCAAACATCACAAAGAAGTTTCTCAGAATGCTTCCGTGTAGTTCTGGGAAGTTTATCCCGTTTCCAACGAAATCCTCAGAGAAGTCCAAATATCCACTTGCAGATTCTACAGAAAGTGTGTTTGGAAACTGCTCCATCTAAAGGAATGTTCAGGTCTGTTAGTTCAATCCAATGATCACTAAGAATTTTCTGTGAATGCTTCCGTTTGGTTTTTAGATGAAGTTATTTCCTTTACTACAGTAGGCCTCAAAGCAGTCCAAATCTCCAATCGCAGATTCTACAAAAAGATTGTTTTCAACCTGCTCTATCTATAGGAATGTTCAGTTCTGTGAGTCGAATGCAATCATCACAAAGTAGTTTCTGAGAATGCTTCCATCTAGTTTTTATGTGAAGATTTTCCTTTTCCACCACAGGCCTCAAAGCCCTCCAAATGTCCACTTGCAGATTCTAGAAAAAGAGGGTTTCAGAGCTGCTCTGTCAAGAGGAAAGTTCAATTCTTGAAGTGGAACACAAACATCACAAAGCAGTTTCTGAGAATGTTCCTGTTTAGTTTTTCTGTGAAGATGAACCCCTTTCCAACGAAATCTTCACAGAGGTCCACATATCCACTTGCAGAATCCAAAGAAAGAGAGTTTCAAAACTGCTCCATCAGCAGGATTGTTCACCTCTGTGAGTGGAATGCAGTCATCACAGGAAACATTCTGAGAATGCTTCTGTCTATGTTTGATGTGAAGAATATACCCGTTTCGAAGGAAGGCCACAAAGTGGTCCAAATATCCACTTGCAGATTCTACAAAAAGAGTATTTGAAAGCTGAACTATGAAAGCAAGGTTCAACTCTGTGAGTTGAATGCAAACATCACAAAGAAGTTTCTCAGAATGCTTCCGTGTAGTTCTGGGAAGTTTATCCCGTTTCCAACGAAATCCTCAGAGAAGTCCAAATATCCACTTGCAGATTCTACAGAAAGTGTGTTTGGAAACTGCTCCATCTAAAGGAATGTTCAGCTCTGTTAGTTCAATGCAATGATCACTAAGAATTGTCTGTGAATGCTTCCGTTTGGTTTTTAGATGAAGTTATTTCCTTTACTACAGTAGGCCTCAAAGCAGTCCAAATCTCCAATCGCAGATTCTACAAAAAGATTGTTTACAACCTGCTCTATCTATAGGAATGTTCAACTCTGTGAGTCGAATGCAATCATCACAAAGTAGTTTCTGAGAATGCTTCCATCTAGTTTTTATGTGAAGATTTTCCTTTTCCACCACAGGCCTCAAAGCCCTCCAAATGTCCACTTGCAGATTCTAGAATAAGAGGGTTTCAGAGCTGCTCTGTCAAGAGGAAAGTTCAATTCCTGAAGTGGAACACAAACATCACAAAGCAGTTTCTGAGAATACTTCTGTTTAGTTTTTCTGTGAAGATGAACCCGTTTCCAACGAAATCTTCACAGAGGTCCACATATCCACTTGCAGAATCCAAAGAAAGAGAGTTTCAAAACTGCTCCATCAGCAGGATTGTTCACCTCTGTGAGTTGAATGCAGTCATCACAGGAAACATTCTGAGAATGCTTCTGTCTAGGTTTGATGTGAAGATATACCCGTTTCGAAGGAAGGCCACAAAGTGGTCCAAATATCCACTTGCAGATTCTACAAAAAGAGTGTTTGAAAGCTGAACTATGAAAGCAAGCTTCAACTCTGTGAGTTGAATGCAAACATCACAAAGAAGTTTCTCACAATGCTTCCGTGTAGTTCTGGGAAGTTTATCCCGTTTCCAACGAAATCCTCAGAGAGGTCCAAATATCCACTTGCAGATTCTACAGAAAGTGTGTTTGGAAACTGCGCCATCTAAAGGAATGTTCAGCTCTGTTAGTTCAATGCAATGATCACTAAGAATTGTCTGTGAATGCTTCCGTTTGGTTTTTAGATGAAGTTATTTCCTTTACTACAGTAGGCCTCAAAGCAGTTCAAATTTCCAATAGCAGATTCTACAAAAAGATTGTTTACAACCTGCTCTATCTATAGGAATGTTCAACTCTGTGAGTCGAATGCAATCATCACAAAGTAGTTTCTGAGAATGCTTCCATCTAGTTTTTATGTGAAGATTTTCCTTTTCCACCACAGGCCTCAAAGCCCTCCAAATGTCCACTTGCAGATTCTAGAATAAGAGGGTTTCAGAGCTGCTCTGTCAAGAGGAAAGTTCAATTCCTGAAGTGGAACACAAACATCACAAAGCAGTTTCTGAGAATGTTTCTGTTTAGTTTTTCTGTGAAGATGAACCCGTTTCCAACGAAATCTTCACAGAGGTCCACATATCCACTTGCAGAATCCAAAGAAGGAGAGTTTCAAAACTGCTCCATCAGCAGGATTGTTCACCTCTGTGAGTTGAATGCAGTCATCACAGGAAACATTCTAAGAATGCTTCTGTCTAGGTTTGATGTGAAGATATACCCGTTTCGAAGGAAGGCCACAAAGTGGTCCAAATATCCACTTGCAGATTCTACAAAAAGAGTGTTTGAAAGCTGAACTATGAAAGCAAGGTTCAACTCTGTGAGTTGAATGCAAACATCACAAAGAAGTTTCTCAGAATGCTTCCGTGTAGTTCTGGGAAGTTTATCCCGTTTCCAACGAAATCCTCAGAGAAGTCCAAATATCCACTTGCAGATTCTACAGAAAGTGCGTTTGGAAAATGCTCCATCTAAAGGAATGTTCAGCTCTGTTAGTTCAATCCAATGATCACTAAGAATTGTCTGTGAATGCTTCTGTTTGGTTTTTAGATGAAGTTATTTCCTTTACTACAGTAGGCCTCAAAGCAGTCCAAATCTCCAATCGCAGATTCTACAAAAAGATTGTTTTCAACCTGCTCTATCTATAGGAATGTTCAACTCTGTGAGTCGAATGCAATCATCACAAAGTAGTTTCTGAGAATGCTTCCATCTAGTTTTTATGTGAAGATTTTCCTTTTCCACCACAGGCCTCAAAGACCTCCAAATGTCCACTTGCAGATTCTAGAAAAAGAGGGTTTCAGAGCTGCTCTCTCAAGAGGAAAGCTCAATTCCTGAAGTGGAACACAAACATCACAAAGCAGTTTCTGAGAATGCTCCTGTTTAGTTTTTCTGTGAAGATGAACCCGTTTCCAACGAAATCTTCACAGAGGTCCACATATCCACCTGCAGAATCCAAAGAAAGAGAGTTTGAAAACTGCTCCATCAGCAGGATTGTTCACCTCTGTGAGTTGAATGCAGTCATCACAGGAAACATTCTGAGAATGCTTCTGTCTATGTTTGATGTGAAGATATACCCGTTTGGATGGAAGGCCACAAAGTGGTCCAAATATCCACTTGCAGATTCTACAAAAAGAGTGTTTGAAAGCTGAACTATGAAAGCAAGGTTCAACTCTGTGAATTGAATGCAAACATCACAAAGAAGTTTCTCACAATGCTTCCGTGTAGTTCTGGGAAGTTTATCCCGTTTCCAACGAAATCCTCAGAGAAGTCCAAATATCCACTTGCAGATTCTACAGAAAGTGTGTTTGGAAACTGCTCCATCTAAAGGAATGTTCAGCTCCGTTAGTTCAATCCAATGATTACTAAGAATTGTCTGTGAATGCTTCCGTTTGGTTTTTAGATGAAGTTATTTCCTTTACTACAGTAGGCCTCAAAGCAGTCCAAATCTCCAATCGCAGATTCTACAAAAAGATTGTTTACAACCTGCTCTATCTATAGGAATGTTCAACTCTGTGAGTCGAATGCAATCATCACAAAGTAGTTTCTGAGAATGCTTCCATCTAGTTTTTATGTGAAGATTTTCCTTTTCCACCACAGGCCTCAAAGCCCTCCAAATGTCCACTTGCAGATTCTAGAATAAGAGGGTTTCAGAGCTGCTCTGTCAAGAGGAAAGTTCAATTCCTGAAGTGGAACTCAAACATCACAAAGCAGTTTCTGAGAATGCTTCTGTTTAGTTTTTCTGTGAAGATGAACCCGTTTCCAACCAAATCTTCACAGAGGTCCACATATCCACTTGCAGAATCCAACGAAAGAGAGTTTCAAAACTGCTCCATCAACAGGATTGTTCACCTCTGTGAGTTGAATGCAGTCATCACAGGAAACATTCTGAGAATGCTTCTGTCTAGGTTTGATGTGAAGATATACCCGTTTCGAAGGAAGGCCACAAAGTGGTCCAAATATCCACTTGCAGATTCTACAAAAAGAGTGTTTGAAAGCTGAACTATGAAAGCAAGGTTCAACTCTGTGAGTTGAATGCAAACATCACAAAGAAGTTTCTCACAATGCTTCCGTGTAGTTCTGGGAAGTTTATCCCGTTTCCAACGAAATCCTCAGAGAGGTCCAAATATCCACTTGCAGATTCTACAGAAAGTGTGTTTGGAAACTGCGCCATCTAAAGGAATGTTCAGCTCTGTTAGTTCAATGCAATGATCACTAAGAATTGTCTGTGAATGCTTCCGTTTGGTTTTTAGATGAAGTTATTTCCTTTACTACAGTAGGCCTCAAAGCAGTCCAAATCTCCAATCGCAGATTCTACAAAAAGATTGTTTACAACCTGCTCTATCTATAGGAATGTTCAACTCTGTGAGTCGAATGCAATCATCACAAAGTAGTTTCTGAGAATGCTTCCATCTAGTTTTTATGTGAAGATTTTCCTTTTCCACCACAGGCCTCAAAGCCCTCCAAATGTCCACTTGCAGATTCTAGAAAAAGAGGGTTTCAGAGCTGCTGTGTCAAGAGGAAAGTTCAATTCTTGAAGAGGAACACAAACATCACGAAGCAGTTTCTGAGAATGCTCCTGTTTAGTTTTTCTGTGAAGATGAACCCGTTTCCAACGAAATCTTCACAGAGGTCCACATATCCACTTGCAGTATCCAAAGAAAGGAAGTTTCAAAACTGCTCCATCAACAGGATGGTTCACCTCTGTGAGTTGAATGCAGTCATCACAGGAAACATTCTGAGAATGCTTCTGTCTAGGTTTGATGTGAAGATATACCCGTATTGGAAGGAAGGCCACAAAGTGGTCCAAATATCCACTTGCAGATTCTACAAAAAGAGTATTTGAAAGCTGAACTATGAAAGCAAGGTTCAAGTCTGTGAGTTGAATGCAAACATCACAAAGAAGTTTCTCAGAATGCTTCCGTGTACTTCTGGGAAGTTTATCCCGTTTCCAACGAAATCCTCAGAGAGGTCCAAATATCCACTTGAAGATTCTACAGAAAGTGTGTTTGGAAACTGCGCCATCTAAAGGAATGTTCAGCTCTGTTAGTTGAATGCAATGATCACTAAGAATTGTCTGTGAATGCTTCCGTTTGGTTTTTAGATGAAGTTATTTCCTTTACTACAGTAGGCCTCAAAGCAGTCCAAATCTCCAATCGCAGATTCTACAAAAAGATTGTTTACAACCTGCTCTATCTATAGGAATGTTCAACTCTGTGAGTCGAATGCAATCATCACAAAGTAGTTTCTGAGAATGCTTCCATCTAGTTTTTATGTGAAGATTTTCCTTTTCCACCACAGGCCTCAAAGCCCTCCAAATGTCCACTTGCAGATTCTAGAATAAGAGGGTTTCAGAGCTCCTCTGTCAAGAGGAAAGTTCAATTCCTGAAGTGGAACACAAACATCACAAAGCAGTTTCTGAGAATGCTTCTGTTTAGTTTTTCTGTGAAGATGAACCCGTTTCCAACGAAATCTTCACACAGGTCCACATATCCACTTGCAGAATCCAAAGAAAGAGAGTTTCAAAACTGCTCCATCAGCAGGATTGTTCACCTCTGTGAGTTGAATGCAGTCATCACAGGAAACATTCTGAGAATGCTTCTGTCTAGGTTTGATGTGAAGATATACCCGTTTCGAAGGAAGGCCACAAAGTGGTCCAAATATCCACTTGCAGATTCTACAAAAAGAGTGTTTGAAAGCTGAACTATGAAAGCAAGGTTCAACTCTGTGAGTTGAATGCAAACATCACAAAGAAGTTTCTCACAATGCTTCCGTGTAGTTCTGGGAAGTTTATCCCGTTTCCAACGAAATCCTCAGAGAGGTCCAAATATCCACTTGCAGATTCTACAGAAAGTGTGTTTGGAAACTGCGTCATCTAAAGGAATGTTCAGCTCTGTTAGTTCAATCCAATGATCACTAAGAATTGTCTGTGAATGCTTCCGTTTGGTTTTTAGATGAAGTTATTTCCTTTACTACAGTACGCCTCAAAGCAGTCCAAATCTCCAATCGCAGATTCTACAAAAAGATTGTTTTCAACCTGCTCTATCTATAGGAATGTTCAACTCTGTGAGTCGAATGAAATCATCACAAAGTAGTTTCTGAGAATGCTTCCATCTAGTTTTTATGTGAAGAGTTTCCTTTTCCACCACAGGCCTCAAAGCCCTCCAAATGTCCACTTGCAGATTCTAGAAAAAGAGGGTTTCAGAGCTACTCTGTCAAGAGGAAAGTTCAATTCCTGAAGTGGAACACAAACATCACAAAGCAGTTTCTGAGAATGCTCCTGTTTAGTTTTTCTGTGAAGATGAACCCGTTTCCAACGAAATCTTCACAGAGGTCCACATATCCACTTGCAGAATCCAAAGAAAGAGAGTTTCAACACTGCTCCATCAGCAGGATTGTTCACCTCTGTGCGTTGAATGCAGTCATCACAGGAAACATTCTGAGAATGCTTCTGTCTAGGTTTGATGTGAAGATATACCCGTTTCGAAGGAAGGCCACAAAGTGGTCCAAATATCCACTTGCAGATTCTACAAAAAGAGTGTTTGAAAGCTGAACTATGAAAGCAAGGTTCAACTCTGTGAGTTGAATGCAAACATCACAAAGAAGTTTCTCAGAATGCTTCCATGTAGTTCTGGGAAGATTATCCCGTTTCCAACGAAATCCTCAGAGAAGTCCAAATATCCACTTGCAGATTCTACAGAAAGTGGGTTTCGAAACTGCTCCATCTAAAGGAATGTTCAGCTCTGTTAGTTCAATCCAATGATCACTAAGAATTGTCTGTGAATGCTTCCGTTTGGTTTTTAGATGAAGTTATTTCCTTTACTACAATAAGCCTCAAAGCAGTCCAAATCTCCAATCGCAGATTCTACAAAAAGATTGTTTACAACCTGCTCTATCTATAGGAATATTCAACTCTGTGAGTCGAATGCAATCATCACAAAGTAGTTTCTGAGAATGCTTCCATCTAGTTTTTATGTGAAGATTTTCCTTTTCCACCACAGGCCTCAAAGCCCTCCAAATGTCCACTTGCAGATTCTAGAAAAAGAGGGTTTCAGAGCTGCTCTGTCAAGAGGAAAGTTCAATTCTTGAAGTGGAACACAAACATCACAAAGCAGCTTCTGAGAATGCTCCTGTTTAGTTTTTCTGTGAAGATGTACCCGTTTCCAACGAAATCTTCACAGAGTTCCACATATCCACTTGCAGAATCCAAAGAAAGAGAGTTTCAAAACTGCTCCAACAGCAGGATTGTTCACCTCTGTGAGTTGAATGCAGTCATCACAGGAAACATTACTGAGAATGCTTCTGTCTAGGTTTGATGTGAAGATATACCCGTTTCGAAGGAAGGCCACAAAGTGGTCCAAATATCCACTTGCAGATTCTACAAAAAGAGTGTTTGAAAGCTGAACTATGAAAGCAAGGTTCAACTCTGTGAGTTGAATGCAAACATCACAAAGAAGTTTCTCACAATGCTTCCGTGTAGTTCTGGGAAGTTTATCCCGTTTCCAACGAAATCCTCAGAGAAGTCCAAATATCCACTTGCAGATTCTACAGAAAGTGGGTTTGGAAACTGCTCCATCTAAAGGAATGTTCAGCTCTGTTAGTTCAATCCAATGATCACTAAGAATTGTCTGTGAATGCTTCCGTTTGGTTTTTAGATGAAGTAATTTCCCTTACTACAGTAGGCCTCAAAGCAGTCCAAATCTCCAATCGCAGATTCTACAAAAAGATTGTTTACAACCTGCTCTATCTATAGGAATGTTCAACTCTGTGAGTCGAATGCAATCATCACAAAGAAGTTTCTGAGAATGCTTCCATCTAGTTTTTATGTGAAGATTTTCCTTTTCCACCACAGGCCTCAAAGCCCTCCCAATGTCCACTTGCAGATTCCAGAAAAAGAGGGTTTCAGAGCTGCTCTGTCAAGAGGAAAGTTCAATTCTTGAAGTGGAACACAAACATCACAAAGCAGTTTCTGAGAATGCTCCTGTTTAGTTTTTCTGTGAAGATGAACCCGTTTCCAACGAAATCTTCACAGAGGTCCACATATCCATTGCAGAATCCAAAGAAAGAGAGTTTCAAAATTGCTCCATCAGCAGGATTGTTCACCTCTGTGAGTTGAATGCAGTCATCACAGGAAACATTCTGAGAATGCTTCTGTCTAGGTTTGATGTGAAGATATACCCGTTTCGAAGGAAGGCCACAAAGTGGTCCAAATATCCACTTGCAGATTCTACAAAAAGAGTGTTTGAAAGTTGAACTGTGAAAGCAAGGTTCAACTCTGTGAGTTGAATGCAAACATCACAAAGAACTTTCTCAGAATGCTTCCGTGTAGTTCTGGGAAGTTTATCCCGTTTCCAACGAAATCCTCAGAGAGGTCCAAATATCCACTTGCAGATTCTACAGAAAGTGTGTTTGGAAACTGCGCCATCTAAAGGAATGTTCAGCTCTGTTAGTTCAATGCAATGATCACTAAGAATTGTCTGTGAATCCTTCCGTTTGGTTTTTAGATGAAGTTATTTCCTTTACTACAGTAGGCCTCAAAGCAGTCCAAATCTCCAATCGCAGATTCTACAAAAAGATTGTTTACAACCTGCTCTATCTATAGGAATGTTCAACTCTGTGAGTCGAATGCAATCATCACAAAGTAGTTTCTGAGAATGCTTCCATCTAGTTCTTATGTGAAGATTTTCCTTTTCCACCACAGGCCTCAAAGCCCTCCAAATGTCCACTTGCAGATTCTAGAAAAAGAGGGTTTCAGAGCTGCTCTGTCAAGAGGAAAGTTCAATTCTTGAAGTGGAACACAAACATCACAAAGCAGTTTCTGAGAATGCTGCTGTTTAGTTTTTCTGTGAAGATGAACCCGTTTCCAACGAAATCTTCACAGAGGTCCACATATCCACTTGCAGAATCCAAAGAAAGAGAGTTTCAAAACTGCTCCATCAAGAGGATTGTTCACCTCTGTGAGTTGAATGCAGTCATCACAAGAAACATTCTGAGAATTCTTCTGTCTATGTTTGATGTGAAGATATACCCGTTTCGAAGGAAGGCCACAAAGTGGTCCAAATATCCACTTACAGATTCTACAAAAAGAGTGTTTGAAAGCTGAACTATGAAAGCAAGGTTCAACTCTGTGAGTTGAATGCAAACATCACAAAGAAGTTTCTCAGAATGCTTCCGTGTAGTTCTGGGAAGTTTATCCCGTTTCCAACGAAATCCTCAGAGAGGTCCAAATATCCACTTGCAGATTCTACAGAAAGTGTGTTTGGAAACTGCGCCATCTAAAGGAATGTTCAGCTCTGTTAGTTCAATCCAATGATCACTAAGAATTGTCTGTGAATGCTTCCGTTTGGTTTTTAGATGAAGTTATTTCCTTTACTACAGTAGGCCTCCAAGCAGTCCAAATCTCCAATCGCAGATTCTACAAAAAGATTGTTTACAACCTGCTCTATCTATAGGAATGTTCAACTCTGTGAGTCGAATGCAATCATCACAAAGTAGTTTCTGAGAATGCTTCCATCTAGTTTTTATGTGAAGATTTTCCTTTTCCACCACAGGCCTCAAAGCCCTCCAAATGTCCACTTGCAGATTCTAGAAAAAGACGGGTTTCAGAGCTGCTCTGTCAAGAGGAAAGTTCAATTCTTGAGGTGGAACCCAAACATCACAAAGCAGTTTCTGAGAATGCTCCTGTTTAGTTTTTCTGTGAAGATGAAACCGTTTCCAACGAAATCTTCACAGAGGTCCACATATCGACTTGCAGAATCCAAAGAAAGAGAGTTTCAAAACTGCTCCATCAACAGGATTGTTCACCTCTGTGAGTTGAATGCAGTCATCGCAGGAAACATTCTGAGAATACTTCTGTCTAGGTTTGATGTGAAGATATACACGTTTCGAAGGAAGGCCACAAAGTGGTCCAAATATCCACTTGCAGATTCTACAAAAAGAGTGTTTGAAAGCTGAACTATGAAAGCAAGTTTCAACTCTGTGAGTTGAATGCAAACATCACAAAGAAGTTTCTCACAATGCTTCCGTGTAGTTCTGGGAAGTTTATCCCGTTTCCAACGAAATCCTCAGAGAGGTCCAAATATCCACTTGCAGATTCTACAGAAAGTGTGTTTGGAAACTGCTCCATCTAAAGGAATGTTCAGCTCTGTTAGTTCAATTCAATGATCACTAAATATTGTCTGTGAATGCTTCCGTTTGGTTTTTAGATGAAGTTATTTCCTTTACTACAGTAGGCCTCAAAGCAGTCCAAATCTCCAATCGCAGATTCTACAAAAAGATTGTTTACAACCTGCTCTATCTATAGGAATGTTCAACTCTGTGAGTCGAATGCAATCATCACAAAGTAGTTTCTGAGAATGCTTCCATCTAGTTTTTATGTGAAGATTTTCCTTTTCCACCACAGGCCTCAAAGCCCTCCAAATGTCCACTTGCAGATTCTAGAATAAGAGGGTTTCAGAGCTGCTCTGTCAAGAGGAAAGTTCAATTCCTGAAGTGGAACACAAACATCACAAAGCAGTTTCTGAGAATGCTTCTGTTTAGTTTTTCTGTGAAGATGAACCCGTTTCCAACGAAATCTTCACAGAGGTCCACATATCCACTTGCAGAATCCAAAGAAAGGGAGTTTCAAAACTGCTCCGTCAGCAGGATTGTTCACCTCTGTGAGTTGAATGGAGTCATCACAGGAAACATTCTGAGAATGCTTCTGTCTAGGTTTGATGTGAAGATATACCCGTTTCGAAGGAAGGCCACAAAGTGGTCCAAATATCCACTTGCAGATTCTACAAAAAGAGTGTTTGAAAGCTGAACTATGAAAGCAAGGTTCAACTCTGTGGGTTGAATGCAAACATCACAAAGAAGTTTCTCACAATGCTTCCGTGTAGTTCTGGGAAGTTTATCCCGTTTCCAACGAAATCCTCAGAGAGGTCCAAATATCCACTTGCAGATTCTACAGAAAGTGTGTTTGGAAACTGCGCCATCTAAAGGAATGTTCAGCTCTGTTAGTTCAATGCAATGATCACTAAGAATTGTCTGTGATTGCTTCCGTTTGGTTTTTAGATGAAGTTATTTCCTTTACTACAGTAGGCCTCAAAGCAGTCCAAATCTCCAATCGCAGATTCTACAAAAAGATTGTTTACAACCTGCTCTATCTATAGGAATGTTCAACTCTGTGAGTCGAATGCAATCATCACAAAGTAGTTTCTGAGAATGCTTCCATCTAGTTTTTATGTGAAGATTTTCCTTTTGCACCACAGGCCTCAAAGCCCTCCAAATGTCCACTTGCAGATTCTAGAAAAAGAGGGTTTCAGAGCTGCTCTGTCAAGAGGAAAGTTCAATTCTTGAAGTGGAACACAAACATCACAAAGCAGTTTCTGAGAATGCTCCTGTTTAGTTTTTCTGTGAAGATGAACCCGTTTCCAACGAAATCTTCACAGAGGTCCACATATCCACTTGCAGAATCCAAAGAAAGAGAGTTTCAAAACTGCTCCATCAGCAGGATTGTTCACCTCTGTGAGTTGAATGCAGTCATCACAGGAAACATTCTGAGAATGCTTCTGTCTAGGTTTGATGTGAAGATATACCCGTTTCGAAGGAAGGCCACAAAGTGGTCCAAATATCCACTTGCAGATTCTACAAAAAGAGTGTTTGAAAGCTGAACTATGAAACCAAGGTTCAACTCTGTGAGTTGAATGCAAACATCACAAAGAATTTTCTCACAATGCTTCCGTGTAGTTCTGGGAAGTTTATCCCGTTTCCAACGAAATCCGCAGAGAGGTCCAAATATCCACTTGCAGATTCTACAGAAAGTGTGTTTGGAAACTGCTCCATCTAAAGGAATGTTCAGCTCTGTTAGTTCAATCCAATGATCACTAAGAATTGTCTGTGAATGCTTCCGTTTGGTTTTTAGATGAAGTTATTTCCTTTACTACAGTAGGCCTCAAAGCAGTCCAAATCTCCAATCGCAGATTCTACAAAAACATTGTTTACAACCTGCTCTATCTATAGGAATGTTCAACTCTGTGAGTCGAATGCAATCATCACAAAGTAGTTTCTGAGAATGCTTCCATCTAGTTTTTATGTGAAGAGTTTCCTTTTCCACCACAGGCCTCAAAGCCCTCCAAATGTCCACTTGCAGATTCTAGAAAAAGAGGGTTTCAGAGCTGCTCTGTCAAGAGGAAAGTTCAATTCCTGAAGTGGAACACAAACATCACAAAGCAGTTTCTGAGAATGCTTCTGTTTAGTTTTTCTGTGAAGATGAACCCGTTTCCAACGAAATCTTCACAGAGGTCCACATATCCACTTGCAGAATCCAAAGAAAGAGAGTTTCAAAACTGCTCCATCAACAGGATTGTTCACCTCTGTGAGTTGAATGCAGTCATCACAGGAAACATTCTGAGAATGCTTCTGTCTAGGTTTGATGTGAAGATATACCCGTTTCGAAGGAAGGCCACAAAGTGGTCCAAATATCCACTTGCAGATTCTACAAAAAGAGTGTTTGAAAGCTGAACTATGAAAGCAAGGTTCAACTCTGTGAGTTGAATGCAAACATCACAAAGAAGTTTCTCAGAATGCTTCCGTGTAGTTCTGGGAAGTTTATCCCGTTTCCAACGAAATCCTCAGAGAAGTCCAAATATCCACTTGCAGATTCTACAGAAAGTGTGTTTGGAAACTGCTCCATCTAAAGGAATGTTCAGCTCTGTTAGTTCAATCCAATGATCACTAAGAATTGTCTGTGAATGCTTCCGTTTGGTTTTTAGATGAAGTTATTTCCTTTACTACAGTAGGCCTCAAAGCAGTCCAAATCTCCAATCGCAGATTCTACAAAAAGATTGTTTACAACCTGCTCTATCTATAGGAATGTTCAACTCTGTGAGTCGAATACAATCATCACAAACTAGTTTCTGAGAATGCTTCCATATAGTTTTTATGTGAAGATTTTCCTTTTCCACCACAGGACTCAAAGCCCTCCAAATGTCCACTTGCAGATTCTAGAAAAAGAGGGTTTCAGAGCTGCTCTGTCAAGAGGAAAGTTCAATTCTTGAAGTGGAACACAAACATCACAAAGCAGTTTCTGAGAATGCTTCTGTTTAGTTTTTCTGTGAAGATGAACACGTTTCCAACGAAATCTTCACAGAGGTCCACATATCCACTTGCAGAATCCAAAGAAAGAGAGTTTCAAAACTGCTCCATCAGCAGGATTGTTCACCTCTGTGAGTTGAATGCAGTCATCACAGGAAACATTCTGAGAATGCTTCTGTCTAGGTTTGATGTGAAGATATACCCGTTTCGAAGGAAGGCCACAAAGTGGTCCAAATATCCACTTGCAGATTCCACAAAAAGAGTGTTTGAAAGCTGAACTATGAAAGCAAGGTTCAACTCTTTGAGTTGAATGCAAACATCCAAAGAAGTTTCTCAGAATGCTTCCGTGTAGTTCTGGGAAGTTTATCCCGTTTCCAACGAAATCCTCAGAGAAGTCCAAATATCCACTTGCAGATTCTACAGAAAGTGGGTTTGGAAACTGCTCCATCTAAAGGAATGTTCAGCTCTGTTAGTTCAATCCAATGATCACTAAGAATTGTCTGTGAATGCTTCCGTTTGGTTTTTAGATGAAGTTATTTCCTTTACTACAGTAGGCCTCAAAGCAGTCCAAATCTCCAATCGCAGATTCTACAAAAAGATTGTTTACAACCTGCTCTATCTATAGGAATGTTCAACTCTGTGAGTCGAATGCAATCATCACAAAGTAGTTTCTGAGAATGCTTCCATCTAGTTTTTATGTGAAGATTTTCCTTTTCCACCACAGGCCTCAAAGCCCTCCAAATGTCCACTTGCAGATTCTAGAATAAGAGGGTTTCAGAGCTGCTCTGTCAAGAGGAAAGTTCAATTCCTGAAGTGGAACACAAACTTCACAAAGCAGTTTCTGAGAATGTTTCTGTTTAGTTTTTCTGTGAAGATGAACCCGTTTCCAACGAAATCTTCACAGAGGTCCACATATCCACTTGCAGAATCCAAAGAAAGAGAGTTTCAAAACTGCTCCATCAGCAGGATTGTTCACCTCTGTGAGTTGAATGCAGTCATCACAGGAAACATTCTGAGAATGCTTCTGTCTAGGTTTGATGTGAAGATATACCCGTTTCGAAGGAAGGCCACAAAGTGGTCCAAATATCCACTTGCAGATTCTACAAAAAGAGGGTTTGAAAGCTGAACTATGAAAGCAAGGTTCAACTCTGTGAGTTGAATGCAAACATCACAAAGAAGTTTCTCAGAATGCTTCCGTGTAGTTCTGGGAAGTTTATCCCGCTTCCAACGAAATCCTCAGAGAAGTCCAAATATCCACTTGCAGATTCTACAGAAAGTGGGTTTGGAAACTGCTCCATCTAAAGGAATGTTCAGCTCTGTTAGTTCAATCCAATGATCACTAAGAATTGTCTGTGAATGCTTCCGTTTGGTTTTTAGATGAAGTTATTTCCTTTACTACAGTAGGCCTCAAAGCAGTCCAAATCTCCAATCGCAGATTCTACAAAAAGATTGTTTACAACCTGCTCTATCTATAGGAATGTTCAACTCTGTGAGTCGAATGCAATCATCACAAAGTAGTTTCTGAGAATGCTTCCATCTAGTTTTTATGTGAAGATTTTCCTTTTCCACCACAGGCCTCAAAGCCCTCCAAATGTCCACTTGCAGATTCTAGAAAAAGAGGGTTTCAGAGCAGCTCTGTCAAGAGGAAAGTTCAATTCTTGAAGTGGAACACAAACATCACAAAGCAGTTTCTGAGAATGTTTCTGTTTAGTTTTTCTGTGAAGATGAACCCGTTTCCAACGAAATCTTCACAGAGGTCCACATATCCACTTGCAGAATCCAAAGAAGGAGAGTTTCAAAACTGCTCCATCAACAGGATTGTTCACCTCTGTGAGTTGAATGCAGTCATCACAGGAAACATTCTGAGAATGCTTCTGTCTAGGTTTGATGTGAAGATATACCCGTTTCGAAGGAAGGCCACAAAGTGGTCCAAATATCCACTTGCAGATTCTACAAAAAGAGTGTTTGAAAGCTGAACTATGAAAGCAAGGTTCAACTCTGTGAGGTGAATGCAAACATCACAAAGAAGTTTCTCAGAATGCTTCCGTGTAGTTCTGGGAAGTTTATCCCGTTTCCAACGAAATCCTCAGAGAGGTCCAAATATCCACTTGCAGATTCTACAGAAAGTGTGTTTGGAAACTGCTCCATCTAAAGGAATGTTCAGCTCTGTTAGTTCAATCCAATGATCACTAAGAATTGTCTGTGAATGCTTCCGTTTGGTTTTTAGATGAAGTTATTTCCTTTACTACAGTAGGCCTCAAAGCAGTCCAAATCTCCAATCGCAGATTCTACAAAAAGATTGTTTACAACCTGCTCTATCTATAGGAATGTTCAACTCTGTGAGTCGAATGCAATCATCACAAAGTAGTTTCTGAGAATGCTTCCATCTAGTTTTTATGTGAAGATTTTCCTTTTCCACCACAGGCCTCAAAGCCCTCCAAATGTCCACTTGCAGATTCTAGAATAAGAGGGTTTCAGAGCTGCTCTGTCAAGAGGAAAGTTCAATTCCTGAAGTGGAACACAAACATCACAAAGCAGTTTCTGAGAATGCTGCTGTTTAGTTTTTCTGTGAAGATGAACCCGTTTCCAACGAAATCTACACAGAGGTCCACATATCCACTTGCAGAATCCAAAGAAAGAGAGTTTCAAAACTGCTCCATCAGCAGGATTGTTCACATCTGTGAGTTGAATGCAGTCATCACAGGAAACATTCTGAGAATGCTTCTGTCTAGGTTTGATGTGAAGATATACCCTTTTCAAAGGAAGGCCACAAAGTGGTCCAAATATCCACTTGCAGATTCTACAAAAAGAGTGTTTGAAAGCTGAACTATGAAAGCAAGGTTCAACTCTGTGAGTTGAATGCAAACATCACAAAGAAGTTTCTCACAATGCTTCCGTGTAGTTCTGGGAAGTTTATCCCGCTTCCAACGAAATCCTCAGAGAAGTCCAAATATCCACTTGCAGATTCTACAGAAAGTGTGTTTGGAAACTGCGCCATCTAAAGGAATGTTCAGTTCTGTTAGTTCAATGCAATGATCACTAAGAATTGTCTGTGAATGCTTCCGTTTGGTTTTTAGATGAAGTTATTTCCTTTACTACAGTAGGCCTCAAAGCAGTCCAAATCTCCAATCGCAGATTCTACAAAAAGATTGTTTACAACCTGCTCTATCTATAGGAATGTTCAACTCTGTGAGTCGAATGCAATCATCACAAAGTAGTTTCTGAGAATGCTTCCATCTAGTTTTTATGTGAAGATATTCCTTTTCCACCACAGGCCTCAAAGCCCTCCAAATGTCCACTTGCAGATTCTAGAAAAAGAGGGTTTCAGAGCTGCTCTGTCAAGAGGAAAGTTCAATTCCTGAAGTGGAACGCAAACATCACAAAGCAGTTTCTGAGAATGCTTCTGTTTAGTTTTTCTGTGAAGATGAACCCGTTTCCAACGAAATCTTCACAGAGGTCCACATATCCACTTGCAGAATCCAAAGAAAGAGAGTTTCAAAACTGCTCCATCAGCAGGATTGTTCACCTCTGTGAGTTGAATGCAGTCATCACAGGAAACATTCTGAGAATGCTTCTGTCTAGGTTTGATGTGAAGATATACCCGTTTCGAAGGAAGGCCACAAAGTGGTCCAAATATCCACTTGCAGATTCTACAAAAAGAGTGTTTGAAAGCTGAACTATGAAATCAAGGTCCAACTCTGTGAGTTGAATGCAAACATCACAAAGAAGTTTCTCAGAATGCTTCCGTGTAGTTCTGGGAATTTTATCCCGTTTCCAACGAAATCCTTAGAAAGGTCCAAATATCCACTTGCAGATTCTACAGAAAGTGTGTTTGGAAACTGCGACATCTAAAGGAATGTTCAGCTCTGTTAGTTCAATGCAATGATCACTAAGAATTGTCTGTGAATGCTTCCGTTTGGTTTTTAGATGAAGTTATTTCCTTTACTACAGTAGGCCTCAAAGCAGTCCAAATCTCCAATCGCAGATTCTACAAAAAGATTGTTTACAACCTGCTCTATCTATAGGAATGTTCAACTCTGTGAGTCGAATGCAATCATCACAAAGGAGTTTCTGAGAATGCTTCCATCTAGTTTTTATGTGAAGATTTTCCTTTTCCACCACAGGCCTCAAAGCCCTCCAAATGTCCACTTGCAGATTCTAGAATAAGAGGGTTTCAGAGCTGCTCTGTCAAGAGGAAAGTTCAATTCCTGAAGTGGAACACAAACATCACAAAGCAGTTTCTGAGAATGCTTCTGTTTAGTTTTTCTGTGAAGATGAACCCGTTTCCAACGAAATCTTCACAGAGGTCCACATATCCACTTGCAGAATCCAAAGAAAGAGAGTTTCAAAACTGCTCCATCAGCAGGATTGTTCACCTCTGTGAGTTGAATGCAGTCATCACAGGAAACATTCTGAGAATGCTTCTGTCTAGGTTTGATGTGAAGATATACCCGTTTCGAAGGAAGGCCACAAAGTTGTCAAATATCCACTTGCGGATCCTACAAAAAGAGTGTTTGAAAGCTGAACTATGAAAGCAAGGTTCAACTCTGTGAGTTGAATGCAAACATCACAAAGAAGTTTCTCAGAATGCTTCCGTGTAGTTCTGGGAAGTTTAGCCCTTTTCCAACGAAATCCTTAGAGAGGTCCAAATATCCACTTGCAGATTCTACAGAAAGTGTGTTTGGAAACTGCTCCATCTAAAGGAATGTTCAGCTCTGTTAGTTCAATCCAATGATCACTAAGAATTTTCTGTGAATGCTTCCGTTTGGTTTTTAGATGAAGTTATTTCCTTTACTACAGTAGGCCTCAAAGCAGTCCAAATCTCCAATCGCAGATTCTACAAAAAGATTGTTTACAACCTGCTCTATCTATAGGAATGTTCAACTCTGTGAGTCGAATGCAATCATCACAAAGTAGTTTCTGAGAATGCTTCCATCTAGTTTTTATGTGAAGATTTTCCTTTTCCACCACAGGCCTCAAAGCCCTCCAAATGTCCACTTGCAGATTCTAGAAAAAGAGGGTTTCAGAGCTGCTCTGTCAAGAGGAAAGTTCAATTCTTGAAGTGGAACACAAACATCACAAAGCAGTTTCTGAGAATGTTTCTGTTTAGTTTTTCTGTGAAGATGAACACCGTTTCCAACGAAATCTTCACAGAGGTCCACATATCAACTTGCAGAATCCAAAGAAAGAGAGTTTCAAAAGTGCTCCATCAACAGGATTGTTCACCTCTGTGAGTTGAATGCAGTCATCACAGGAAACATTCTGAGAATGCTTCTGTCTAGGTTTGATGTGAAGATATACCCGTTTCGAAGGAAGGCCACAAAGTGGTCCAAATATCCACTTGCAGATTGTACAAAAAGAGTGTTTGAAAGCTGAACTATGAAAGCAAGGTTCAACTCTGTGAGTTGAATGCAAACATCACAAAGAAGTTTCTCACAATGCTTCCGTGTAGTTCTGGGAATTTTATCCCGTTTCCAACGAAATCCTCAGAGAAGTCCAAATATCCACTTGCAGATTCTACAGAAAGTGTGTTTGGAAACTGCTCCATCTAAAGGAATGTTCAGCTCTGTTAGTTCAATGCAATGATCAGTAAGAATTGTCTGGGAATGCTTCCGTTTGGTTTTTAGATGAAGTTATTTCCTTTACTACAGTAGACCTCAAAGCAGTCCAAATCTCCAATCGCAGATTCTACAAAAAGATTGTTTACAACCTGCTCTATCTATAGGAATGTTCAACTCTGTGAGTCGAATGCAATCATCACAAAGTAGTTTCTGAGAATGCTTCCATCTAGTTTTTATGTGAAGATTTTCCTTTTCCACCACAGGCCTCAAAGCCCTCCAAATGTCCACTTGCAGATTCTAGAAAAAGAGGGTTTCAGAGCTGCTCTGTCAAGAGGAAAGTTCAATTCTTGAAGTGGAACACAAACATCACAAAGTAGTTTCTGAGAATGCTTCTGTTTAGTTTTTCTGTGAAGATGAACCCGTTTCCAACGAAATCTTCACAGAGGTCCACATATCAACTTGCAGAATCCAAAGAAAGAGAGTTTCAAAACTGCTCCATCAACAGGATTGTTCACCTCTGTGAGTTGAATGCAGTCATCACAGGAAACATTCTGAGAATGCTTCTGTCTAGGTTTGATGTGAAGATATACCCGTTTCGAAGGAAGGCCACAAAGTGGTCCAAATATCCACTTGCAGATTCTACGAAAAGAGTGTTTGAAAGCTGAACTATGAAAGCAAGGTTCAACTCTGTGAGTTGAATGCAAACATCACAAAGATGTTTCTCAGAATGCTTCCGTGTAGTTCTGGGAAGTTTATCCCGTTTCCAACGAAATCCTCAGAGAGGTCCAAATATCCACTTGCAGATTCTACAGAAAGTGTGTTTGGAAACTGCGCCATCTAAAGGAATGTTCAGCTCTGTTAGTTCAATGCAATGATCACTAAGAATTGTCTGTGAATGCTTCCGTTTGGTTTTTAGATGAAGTTATTTCCTTTACTACAGTAGGCCTCAAAGCAGTCCAAATTTCCAATCGCAGATTCTACAAAAAGATTGTTTACAACCTGCTCTATCTATAGGAATGTTCAACTCTGTGAGTCGAATGCAATCATCACAAAGTAGTTTCTGAGAATGCTTCCATCTAGTTTTTATGTGAAGATTTTCGTTTTCCACCACAGGCCTCAAAGCCCTCCAAATGTCCACTTGCAGATTCTAGAATAAGAGGGTTTCAGAGCTGCTCTGTCAAGAGGAAAGTTCAATTCCTGAAGTGGAACACAAACATAACAAAGCAGTTTCTGAGAATGCTTCTGTTTAGTTTTTCTGTGAAGATGAACCCGTTTCCAACGAAATCTTCACAGAGGTCCACATATCCACTTGCAGAATCCAAAGAAAGAGAATTTCAAAACTGCTCCATCAACAGGATTGTTCACCTCTGTGAGTTGAATGCAGTCATCAGAGGAAACATTCTGAGAATGCTTCTGTCTAGGTTTGATGTGAAGATATACCCGTTTCGAAGGAAGGCCACAAAGTGGTCCAAATATCCACTTGCAGATTCTACAAAAAGAGTGTTTGAAAGCTGAACTATGAAAGCAAGGTTCAACTCTGTGAGTTGAATGCAAACATCACAAAGAAGTTTCTCAGAATGCTTCCCTGTAGTTCTGGGAAGTTTATCCCGTTTCCAACGAAATCCTCAGAGAAGTCCAAATATCCACTTGCAGATTCTACAGAAAGTGTGTTTGGAAACTGCGCCATCTAAAGGAATTTTCAGCTCTGTTAGTTCAATGCAATGATCACTAAGAATTGTCCTGTGAATGCTTTCCGTTTGGTTTTTAGATGAAGTTATTTCCTTTACTACAGTAGGCCTCAAAGCAGTCCAAATCTCCAATCGCAGATTCTACAAAAAGATTGTTTACAACCTGCTCTATGTATAGGAATGTTCAACTCTGTGAGTCGAATGCAATCATCACAAAGTAGTTTCTGAGAATGCTTCCATCTAGTTTTTATGTGAAGATTTTCCTTTTCCACCACAGGCCTCAAAGCCCTCCAAATGTCCACTTGCAGATTCTAGAAAAAGAGGGTTTCAGAGCTGCTCTGTCAAGAGGAAAGTTCAATTCTTGAAGTGGAACACAAACATCACAAAGCAGTTTCTGAGAATGCTCCTGTTTAGTTTTTCTGTGAAGATGAACCCGTTTCCAACGAAATCTTCACAGAGGTCCACATATCCACTTGCAGAATCCAAAGAAAGAGAATTTCAAAACTGCTCCATCAGAAGGATTGTTCACCTCTGTGAGTTGAATGCAGTCATCACAGGAAACATTCTGAGAATCCTTCTGTCTAGGTTTGATGTGAAGATATACCCGTTTGGAAGGAAGGCCACAAAGTGGTCCAAATATCCACTTGTAGATTCTACAAAAAGAGTGTTTGAAAGCTGAACTATGAAAGCAAGGTTCAACACTGTGAGTTGAATGCAAACATCCAAAGAAGTTTCTCACAATGCTTCCGTGTAGTACTGGGAAGTTTATCCCGTTTCCAACGAAATCCTCAGAGAGGTCCAAATATCCACTTGCAGATTCTCCAGAAAGTGTGTTTGGAAACTGCGCCATCTACAGGAATGTTCAGCTCTGTTAGTTCAATGCAATGATCACTAAGAATTGTCTGTGAATGCTTCCGTTTGGTTTTTAGATGAAGTTATTTCCTTTACTACAGTAGGCCTCAAAGGAGTCCAAATCTCCAATCGCAGATTCTACAAAAAGATTGTTTACAACCTGCTCTATCTATAGGAATGTTCAACTCTGTGAGTCGAATGCAATCATCACAAAGTAGTTTCTGAGAATGCTTCCATCTAGTTTTTATGTGAAGATTTTCCTTTTCCACCACAGGCCTCAATCCCTCCCAATGTCCACTTGCAGATTCCAGAAAAAGAGGGTTTCAGAGCTGCTCTGTCAAGAGGAAAGTTCAATTCTTGAAGTGGAACACAAACATCACAAAGCAGTTTCTGAGAATGCTCCTGTTTAGTTTTTCTGTGAAGATGAACCAGTTTCCAACGAAATCTTCACAGAGGTCCACATATCCACTTGCAGAATCCAAAGAAAGAGAGTTTCAAAACTGCTCCATCAACAGGATTGTTCACCTCTGTTAGTTGAATGCAGTCATCACAGGAAACATTCTGAGAATGCTTCTGTCTAGGTTTGATGTGAAGATATACCCGTTTCGAAGGAAGGCCACAAAGTGGTCCAAATATCCACTTGCAGATTCTACAAAAGGAGTGTTTCAAAGCTGAACTATGAAAGCAAGGTTCAACTCTGTGAGTTGAATGCAAACATCACAAAGAAGTTTCTCAGAATGCTTCCGTGTAGTTCTGGGAAGTTTATCCCGTTTCCAACGAAATCCTCAGAGAGGTCCAAATATCCACTTGCAGATTCTACAGAAAGTGTGTTTGGAAACTGCTCCATCTAAAGGAATGTTCAGCTCTGTTAGTTCAATCCAATGATCACTAAGAATTGTCTGTGAATGCTTCCGTTTGGTTTTTAGATGAAGTTATTTCCTTTACTACAGTAGGCCTCAAAGCAGTCCAAATCTCCAATCGCAGATTCTACAAAAAGATTGTTTACAACCTGCTCTATCTATAGGAATGTTCAACTCTGTGAGTCGAATGCAATCATCACAAAGTAGTTTCTGAGAATGCTTCCATCTAGTTTTTATGTGAAGATTTTCCTTTTCCACCACAGGCCTCAAAGCCCTCCAAATGTCCACTTGCAGTTTCTAGAATAAGAGGGTTTCAGAGCTGCTCTGTCAAGAGGAAAGTACAATTCCTGAAGTGGAACACAAACATCACAAAGCAGTTTCTGATAATGCTTCTGTTTAGTTTTTCTGTGAAGATGAACGCGTTTCCAACGAAATCTTCACAGAGGTCCACATATCCACTTGCAGAATCCAAAGAAAGAGAGTTTCAAAACCGCTCCATCAGCAGGATTGTTCACCTCTGTGAGTTGAATGCAGTCATCACAGGAAACATTCTGAGAATGCTTCTGTCTAGGTTTGACGTGAACATATACCCGTTTCGAAGGAAGGCCACAAAGTGGTCCAAATATCCACTTGCAGATTCTACAAAAAGAGGGTTTGAAAGCTGAACTATGAAAGCAAGGTTCAACTCTGTGAGTTGAATGCAAACATCACAAAGAAGTTTCTCACAATGCTTCCGTGTAGTTCTGGGAAGTTTATCCCGTTTCCAACGAAATCCTCAGAGAGGTCCAAATATCCACTTGCAGATTCAACAGAAAGTGTGTTTGGAAACTGCGCCACCTAAAGGAATGTTCAACTCTGTTAGTTCAATGCAATGATCACTAAGAATTGTCTGTGAATGCTTCCGTTTGGTTTTTAGATGAAGTTATTTCCTTTACTACAGTAGGCCTCAAAGCAGTCCAAATCTCCAATCGCAGATTCTACAAAAAGATTGTTTACAACCTGCTCTATCTATAGGAATGTTCAACTCTGTGAGTCGAATGCAATCATCACAAAGTAGATTCTGAGAATTCTTCCATCTAGTTTTTATGTGAAGATTTTCCTTTTCCACCACAGGCCTCAAAGCCCTCCAAATGTCCACTTGCAGATTCTAGAAAAAGAGGGTTTCAGAGCTGCTCTGTCAAGAGGAAAGTTCAATTCTTGAAGTGGAACACAAACATCACAAAGCAGTTTCTGAGAATGTTTCTGTTTAGTTTTTCTGTGAAGATGAACCCGTTTCCAACGAAATCTTCACAGAGGTCCACATATCCACTTGCAGAATCCAAAGAAAGAGAGTTTCAAAACTGCTCCATCAGCAGGATTGTTCACCTCTGTGAGTTGAATGCAGTCATCACAGGAAACATTCTGAGAATGCTTCTGTCTAGGTTTGATGTGAAGATATACCCGTTTCGAAGGAAGGCCACAAAGTGGTCCAAATATCCACTTGCAGATTCTACAAAAAGAGTGTTTGAAAGCTGAACTATGAAAGCAAGGTTCAACTCTGTGAGTTGAATGCAAACATCACAAAGAAGTTTCTCAGAATGCTTCCGTGTAGTTCTGGGAAGTTTATCCCGTTTCCAACGAAATCCTCAGAGAAGTCCAAATATCCACTTGCAGATTCTACAGAAAGTGTGTTTGGAAACTGCGCCATCTAAAGGAATGTTCAGCTCTGTTAGTTCAATGCAATGATCACTAAGAATTGTCTGTGAATGCTTCCGTTTGGTTTTTAGATGAAGTTATTTCCTTTACTACAGTAGGCCTCAAAGCAGTCCAAATCTCCAATCGCAGATTCTACAAAAAGATTGTTTACAACCTGCTCTATCTATAGGAATGTTCAACTCTGTGAGTCGAATGCAATCATCACAAAGTAGTTTCTGAGAATGCTTCCATCTAGTTTTTATGTGAAGATTTTCCTTTTCCACCACAGGCCTCAAAGCCCTCCAAATGTCCACTTGCAGATTCTAGAAAAAGAGGGTTTCAGAGCTGCCCTATCAAGAGGAAAGTTCAATTCCTGAAGTGGAACACAAACATCACAAAGCAGTTTCTGAGAATGCTCCTGTTTAGTTTTTCTGTGAAGATGAACCCGTTTCCAACGAAATCTTCACAGAGGTCCACATATCCACTTGCAGAATCCAAAGAAAGAGAGTTTCAAAACTGCTCCATCAACAGGATTGTTCACCTCTCTGAGTTGAATGCAGTCATCACAGGAAACATTCTGAGAATGCTTCTGTCTAGGTTTGATGTGAATATATACCCGTTTCGAAGGAAGGCCACAAAGTGGTCCAAATATCCACTTGCAGATTCTACAAAAAGAGTGTTTGAAAGCTGAACTATGAAAGCAAGGTTCAACTCTGTGAGTTGAATGCAGACGTCACAAAGAAGTTTCTCAGAATGCTTCCGTGTAGTTCTGGGAAGTTTATCCCGTTTCCAACGAAATCCTCAGAGAGGTCCAAATATCCACCTGCAGATTCTACAGAAAGTCTGTTTGGAAACTGCGCCATCTAAACGAATTTTCAGCTGTGTTAGTTCAATGCAATGATCACTAAGAATTGTCTGTGAATGCTTCCGTTTGGTTTTTAGATGAAGTTATTTCCTTTACTACAGTAGGCCTCAAAGCAGTCCAAATCTCCAATCGCAGATTCTACAAAAGATTGTTTACAACCTGCTCTATCTATAGGAATGTTCAACTCTGTGAGTCGAATGCAATCATCACAAAGTAGTTTCTGAGAATGCTTCCATCTAGTTTTCATGTGAAGATTTTCCTTTTCCACCACAGGCCTCAAAGCCCTCCAAATGTCCACTTGCAGATTCTAGAAAAAGAGGGTTTCAGAGCTGCTCTGTCAAGAGGAAAGTTCAATTCTTGAAGTGGAACACAAACATCACAAAGCAGTTTCTGAGAATGCTCCTGTTTAGTTTTTCTGTGAAGATGAACCCGTTTCCAACGAAATCTTCACAGAGGTCCACATATCCACTTGCAGAATCCAAAGAAAGAGAGTTTCAAAACTGCTCCATCAACAGGATTGTTCACCTCTGTGAGTTGAATGCAGTCATCACAGGAAACATTCTGAGAATGCTTCTGTCTAGGTTTGATGTGAAGATATACCCGTTTCGAAGGAAGGCCACAAAGTGGTCCAAATATCCACTTGCAGATTCTACAAAAAGAGTGTTTGAAAGCTGAACTATGAAAGCAAGGTTCAACTCTGTGAGTTGAATGCAAACATCACAAAGAAGTTTCTCACAATGCTTCCCTGTAGTTCTGGGAAGTTTATCCCGTTTCCAACGAAATCCTCAGAGAAGTCCAAATATCCACTTGCAGATTCTACAGAAAGTGGGTTTGGAAACTGCGCCATCTAAAGGAATGTTCAGCTCTGTTAGTTCAATCCAATGATCACTAAGAATTGTCTGTGAATGCTTCCGTTTGGTTTTTAGATGAAGTTATTTCCTTTACTACAGTAGGCCTCAAAGCAGTCCAAATCTCCAATCGCAGATTCTACAAAAAGATTGTTTACAACCTGCTCTATCTATAGGAATGTTCAACTCTGTGAGTCGAATGCAATCATCACAAAGTAGTTTCTGAGAATGCTTCCATCTATTTTTTATGTGAAGATTTTCCTTTTCCACCACAGACCTCAAAGCCCTCCAAATGTCCACTTGCAGATTCTAGAAAAAGAGGGTTTCAGAGCTGCTCTGTCAAGAGGAAAGTTCAATTCTTGAAGTGGAACAGAAACATCACAAAGCAGTTTCTGAGAATGCTTCTGTTTAGTTTTTCTGTGAAGATGAACCCGTTTCAAACGAAATCTTCACAGAGGTCCACATATCCACTTGCAGAATCCAAAGAAAGAGAGTTTCAAAACTGCTCCATCAACAGGATTGTTCACCTCTGTGAGTTGAATGCAGTCATCACAGGAAACATTCTGAGAATGCTTCTGTCTAGGTTTGATGTGAAGATATACCCGTTTCGAAGGAAGGCCACAAAGTGGTCCAAATATCCACTTGCAGATTCTACAAAAAGAGTGTTTGAAAGCTGAACTATGAAAGCAAGGTTCAACTCTGTGAGTTGAATGCAAACATCACAAAGAAGTTTCTCACAATGCTTCCGTGTAGTTCTGGGAAGTTTATCCCGTTTCCAACGAAATCCTCAGAGAAGTCCAAATATCCACTTGCAGATTCTACAGAAAGTGCGTTTGGAAAATGCTCCATCTAAAGGAATGTTCAGCTCTGTTAGTTCAATCCAATGATCACTAAGAATTGTCTGTGAATGCTTCCGTTTGGTTTTTAGATGAAGTTATTTCCTTTACTACAGTAGGCCTCAAAGCAGTCCAAATCTCCAATCGCAGATTCTACAAAAAGATTGTTTACAACCTGCTCTATCTATAGGAATGTTCAACTCTGTGAGTCGAATGCAATCATCACAAAGTAGTTTCTGAGAATGCTTCCATCTAGTTTTTATGTGAACATTTTCCTTTTCCACCACAGGCCTCAAAGCCCTCCAAATGTCCACTTGCAGATTCTAGAAAAAGAGGGTTTCAGAGCTGCTCTGTCAAGAGGAAAGTTCAATTCTTGAAGTGGAACACAAACATCACAAAGCAGTTTCTGAGAATGCTCCTGTTTAGTTTTTCTGTGAAGATGGACCCGTTTCCAACGAAATCTTCACAGAGATCCACATATCCACTTGCAGAATCCAAAGAAAGAGAGTTTCAAAAGTGCTCCATCAACAGGATTGTTCACCTCTGTGAGTTGAATGCAGTCATCACAGGAAACATTCTGAGAATGCTTCTGTCTAGGTTTGATGTGAAGATATACCCGTTTCGAAGGAAGGCCACAAAGTGGTCCAAATATCCACTTGCAGATTCTACAAAAAGAGTGTTTGAAAGCTGAACTATGAAAGCAAGGTTCAACTCTGTGAGTTGAATGCAAACATCACAAAGAAGTTTCTCACAATGCTTCCGTGTAGTTCTGGGAAGTTTATCCCGTTTCCAACGAAATCCTCAGAGAAGTCCAAATATCCACTTGCAGATTCTACAGAAAGTGTGTTTGGAAACTGCGCCATCTAAAGGAATGTTCAGCTCTGTTAGTTCAATGCAATGATCACTAAGAATTGTCTCTGAATGCTTCCGTTTGGTTTTTAGATGAAGTTATTTCCTTTACTACAGTAGGCCTCAAAGCAGTCCAAATCTCCAATCGCAGATTGTACAAAAAGATTGTTTACAACCTGCTCTATCTATAGGAATGTTCAACTCTGTGAGTCGAATGCAATCATCACAAAGTAGTTTCTGAGAATGCTTCCATCTAGTTTTTATGTGAAGATTTTCCTTTTCCACCACAGGCCTCAAAGCCCTCCAAATGTCCACTTGCAGATTCTAGAAAAAGAGGGTTTCAGAGGTGCTCTTTCAAGAGGAAAGTTCAATTCCTGAAGTGGAACACAAACATCACAAAGCAGTTTCTGAGAATGCTTCTGTTTAGTTTTTCTGTGAAGATGAACCCGTTTCCAACGAAATCTTCACAGAGGTCCACATATCCTCTTGCAGAATCCAAAGAAAGAGAATTTCAAAACTGCTCCATCAGCAGGATTGTTCACCTCTGTGAGTTGAATGCAGTCATCACAGGAAACATTCTGAGAATGCTTCTGTCTAGGTTTGATGTGAAGATATACCCGTTTCGAAGGAAGGCCACAAAGTGGTCCAAATATCCACTTGCAGATTCTACAAAAAGAGTGTTTGAAAGCTGAACTAAGAAAGCAAGGTTCAACTCTGTGAGTTGAATGCAAACATCACAAAGAAGTTTCTCAGAATGCTTCCGTGTAGTTCTGGGAAGTTTATCCCGTTTCCAACGAAATCCTCAGAGAGGTCCAAATATCCACTTGCAGATTCTACAGAAAGTGTGTTTGGAAACTGCGCCATCTAAAGGAATGTTCAGCTCTGTTAGTTCAATGCAATGATCACTAAGAATTGTCTGTGAATGCTTCCGTTTGGTTTTTAGATGAAGTTATTTCCTTTACTACAGTAGGCCTCAAAGCAGTCCAAATCTCCAATCGCAGATTCTACAAAAAGATTGTTTACAACCTGCTCTATCTATAGGAATGTTCAACTCTGTGAGTCGAATGCAATCATCACAAAAGTAGTTTCTGAGAATGCTTCCATCTAGTTTTTATGTGAAGATTTTCCTTTTCCACCACAGGCCTCAAAGCCCTCCAAATGTCCACTTGCAGATTCTAGAAAAAGAGGGTTTCAGAGCTGCTCTGTCAAGAGGAAAGTTCAATTCTTGAAGTGGAACACAAACATCACAAAGCAGTTTCTGAGAATGCTCCTGTTTAGTTTTTCTGTGAAGATGAACCCGTTTCTAACGAAATATTCACAGAGGTCCACATATCCACTTGCAGAATCCAAAGAAACAGAGTTTCAAAACTGCTCCATCAGCAGGATTGTTCACCTCTGTGAGTTGAATGCAGTCATCACAGGAAACATTCTGAGAATGCTTCTGTCTAGGTTTGATGTGAAGAGATACCCGTTTCGAAGGAAGGCCCCAAAGTGGTCCAAATATCCACTTGCAGATTCTACAAAAAGAGTGTTTGAAAGCTGAACCATGAAAGCAAGGTTCAACTCTGTGAGTTGAATGCAAACATCACAAAGAAGTTTCTCAGAATGCTTCCGTGTATTTCTGGGAAGTTTATCCCATTTCCAACGAAATCCTCAGAGAGGTCCAAATATCCAATTGCAGATTCTACAGAAAGTGTGTTTGGAAACTGCTCCATCTAAAGGAATGTTCAGCTCTGTTAGTTCAATCCAATGATCACTAAGAATTGTCTGTGAATGCTTCCGTTTGGTTTTTAGATGAAGTTATTTCCTTTACTACAGTAGGCCTCAAAGCAGTCCAAATCTCCAGTCGCAGATTCTACAAAAAGATTGTTTACAACCTGCTCTATCTATAGGAATGTTCAACTCTGTGAGTCGAATGCAATCATCACAAAGGAGTTTGCTGAGAATGCTTCCATCTAGTTTTTATGTGAAGATTTTCCCTTTGCACCACAGGCCTCAAAGCCCTCCAAATGTCCACTTGCAGATTCTAGAAAAAGAGGGTATCAGAGCTGCTCTGTCAAGAGGAAAGTTCAATTCTTGATGTGGAACACAAACATCACAAAGCAGTTTCTGAGAATGCTCCTGTTTAGTTTTTCTGTGAAGATGAACCCGTTTCCAACGAAATCTTCACAGAGGTCCACATATCCACTTGCAGAATCCAAAGAAAGAGAGTTTCAAAACTGCTCCATCAGCAGGATTGTTCACCTCTGTGAGTTGAATGCAGTCATCACAGGAAACATTCTGAGAATGCTTCTGTCTAGGTTTGATGTGAAGATATACCCGTTTCGAAGGAAGGCCACAAAGTGGTCCAAATATCCACTTGCAGATTCTACAAAAAGAGTGTTTGAAAGCTGAACTAAGAAAGCAAGGTTCAACTCTGTGAGTTGAATGCAAACATCACAAAGAAGTTTCTCAGCATGCTTCCGTGTAGTTCTGGGAAGTTTATCCCGTTTCCAACGAAATCCTCAGAGAAGTCCAAATATCCACTTGCAGATTCTACAGAAAGTGTGTTTGGAAACTGCGCCATCTAAAGGAATGTTCAGCTCTGTTAGTTCAATGCAATGATCACTAAGAATTGTCTGTGAATGCTTCCGTTTGGTTTTTAGATGAAGTTATTTCCTTTACTACAGTAGGCCTCAAAGCAGTCCAAATCTCCAATCGCAGATTCTACAAAAAGATTGTTTACAACCTGCTCTATCTATAGGAATGTTCAACTCTGTGAGTCGAATGCAATCATCTCAAAGTAGTTTCTGAGAATGCTTCCATCTAGTTTTTATGTGAAGATTTTCCTTTTGCACCACAGGCCTCAAAGCCCTCCAAATGTCCACTTGCAGATTCTAGAAAAAGAGGGTTTCAGAGCTGCTCTGTCAAGAGGAAAGTTCAATTCTTGATGTGGAACACAAACATCACAAAGCAGTTTCTGAGAATGCTCCTGTTTAGTTTTTCTGTGAAGATGAACCCGTTTCCAACGAAATCTTCACAGAGGTCCACATATCCACTTGCAGAATCCAAAGAAAGAGAGTTTCAAAACTGCTCCATCAGCAGGATTGTTCACCTCTGTGAGTTGAATGCAGTCATCACAGGAAACATTCTGAGAATGCTTCTGTCTAGGTTTGATGTGAAGATGTACCCGTTTCAAAGGAAAGCCACAAAGTGGTCCAAATATCCACTTGCAGATTCTACAAAAAGAGTGTTTGAAAGCTGAACTATGAAAGCAAGGTTCAACTCTGTGAGTTGAATGCAAACATCACAAAGATGTTTCTCACAATGCTTCCGTGTAGTTCTGGGAAGTTTATCCCGTTTCCAACGAAATCCTCAGAGAAGTCCAAATATCCACTTGCAGATTCTACAGAAAGTGGGTTTGGAAACTGCGCCATCTAAAGGAATGTTCAGCTCTGTTAGTTCCATCCACTGATCACTAAGAATTGTCTGTGAATGCTTCCGTTTGGTTTGTAGATGAAGTTATTTCCTTTACTACAGTAGGCCTCAAAGCAGTCCAAATCTCCAATCGCAGATTCTACAAAAAGATTGTTTACAACCTGCTCTATCTATAGGAATGTTCAACTCTGTGAGTCGAATGCAATCATCACAAACTAGTTTCTGAGAATGCTTCCATCTAGTTTTTATGTGATGATTTTCCTTTTCCACCACAGGCCTCAAAGCCCTCCAAATGTCCACTTGCAGATTCTAGAAAAAGAGGGTTTCAGAGTTGCTCTGTCAAGAGGAAAGTTCAATTCTTGAAGTGGAACACAAACATCACATAGCAGTTTCTGAGAATGCTCCTGTTTAGTTTTTCTGTGAAGATGAACCCGTTTCCAACGAAATCTTCACAGAGGTCCACACATCCACTTGCAGAATCCAAAGAAAGAGAGTTTCAAAACTGCTCCATCAACAGGATTGTTCACCTCTGTGAGTTGAATGCAGTCATCACAGGAAACATTCTGAGAATGCTTTCTGTCTAGGTTTGATGTGAAGTATATACCCGTTTCGAAGGAAGGCCACAAAGTGGTCCAAATATCCACTTGCAGATTCTACAAAAAGAGGGTTTGAAAGCTGAACTATGAAATCAAGGTTCAACTCTGTGAGTTGAATGCAAACATCACAAAGAAGTTTCTCAGAATGCTTCTGTGTAGTTCTGGGAAGTTTATCCCGTTTCCAACGAAATCCTCAGAGAGGTCCAAATATCCACTTGCAGATTCTACAGAAAGTGTGTTTGGAAACTGCTCCATCTAAAGGAATGTTCAGCTCTGTTAGTTCAATCCAATGATCACTAAGAATTGTCTGTGAATGCTTCCCGTTTGGTTTTTAGATGAAGTTATTTCCTTTACTACAGTAGGCCTCAAAGCAGTCGAAATCTCCAATCGCAGATTCTACAAAAAGATTGTTTACAACCTGCTCTATCTATAGGAATGTTCAACTCTGTGAGTCGAATGCAATCATCACAAAGTAGTTTGTGAGAATGCTTCCATCTAGTTTTTATGTGAAGATTTTCCTTTTCCACCACAGGCCTCAAAGCCCTCCAAATGTCCACTTGCAGATTCTAGAATAAGAGGGTTTCAGAGCTGCTCTGTCAAGAGGAAAGTTCAATTCCTGAAGTGGAACACAAACATCACAAAGCAGTTTCCGAGAATGCTTCCTCTGTTTAGTTTTTCTGTGAAGATGAACCCGTTTCCAACGAAATCTTCACAGAGGTCCACATATCCACTTGCAGAATCCAAAGAAAGAGAGTTTCAAAACTGCTCCATCAGCAGGATTGTTCACCTCTGTGAGTTGAATGCAGTCATCACAGGAAACATTCTGAGAATGCTTCTGTCTAGGTTTGATGTGAAGATATACCCGTTTCGAAGGAAGGCCACAAAGTTGTCAAATATCCACTTGCAGATCCTACAAAAAGAGTGTTTGAAAGCTGAACTATGAAAGCAAGGTTCAACTCTGTGAGTTGAATGCAAACATCACAAAGAAGTTTCTCAGAATGCTTCCGTGTAGTTCTGGGAAGTTTATCCCGTTTCCAACGAAATCCTCAGAGAGGTCCAAATATCCACTTGCAGATTCTACAGAAAGTGTGTTTGGAAACTGCTCCATCTAAAGGAATGTTCAGCTCTGTTAGTTCAATCCAATGATCACTAAGAATTGTCTGTGAATGCTTCCGTTTGGTTTTTAGATGAAGTTATTTCCTTTACTAGAGTAGGCCTCAAAGCAGTAAAATCTCCAATCGCAGATTCTACAAAAAGATTGTTTACAACCTGCTCTATCTATAGGAATGTTCAACTCTGTGAGTCGAATGCAATCATCGCAAAGTAGTTTCTGAGAATGCTTCCATCTAGTTTTTATGGGAAGATTTTCCTTTTCCACCACAGGCCTCAAAGCCCTCCAAATGTTCACTTGCAGATTCTACAAAAAGAGGGTTTCAGAGCTGCTCTGTCAAGAGGAAAGTTCAATTCTTGAAGTGGAACACAAACATCACAAAGCAGTTTCTGAGAATGCTTCTGTTTAGTTTTTCTTTGAAGATGAACCCTTTTCCAACGAAATCTTCAAAGAGGTCCACATATCCACTTGCACATTCCAGAGAAAGAGAGATTCAAAACTGCTCCATCAACAGGATTGTTCACCTCTGTGCGTTGAATGCAGTCATCACAGGAAACATTCTGAGAATGCTTCTGTCTAGGTTTGATGTGAAGATATACCCGTTTCGAAGGAAGGCCACAAAGTGGTCCAAATATCCACTTGCAGATTCTACAAAAAGAGTGTTTGAAAGCTGAACTATGAAAGCAAGGTTCAACTCTGTGAGTTGAATGCAAACATCACAAAGAAGTTTCTCACAATGCTTCCGTGTAGTTCTGGGAAGTTTATCCCGTTTCCAACGAAATCCTCAGAGAAGTCCAAATATCCACTTGCAGATTCTACAGAAAGTGGGTTTGGAAACTGCTCCATCTAAAGGAATGTTCAGCTCTGTTAGTTCAATCCAATGATCACTAAGAATTGTCTGTGAATGCTTCCGTTTGGTTTTTAGATGAAGTTATTTCCTTTACTACAGTAGGCCTCAAAGCAGTCCAAATCTCCAATCGCAGATTCTACAAAAAGATTGTTTTCAACCTGCTCTATCTATAGGAATGTTCAACTCTGTGAGTCGAATGCAATCATCACAAAGTAGTTTCTGAGAATGCTTCCATCTAGTTTTTATGTGAAGATTTTCCTTTTCCACCACAGGCCTCAAAGCCCTCCAAATGTCCACTTGCAGATTCTAGAAAAAGAGGGTTTCAGAGCTGCTCTGTCAAGAGGAAAGTTCAATTCTTGAAGTGGAACACAAACATCACAAAGCAGTTTCTGAGAATGCTCCTGTTTAGTTTTTCTGTGAAGATGAACCCGTTTCCAAAGAAATCTTCACAGAGGTCCACATATCCAGCTGCAGAATCCAAAGAAAGAGAGTTTCAAAACTGCTCCATCAGCAGAATTGTTCACCTCTGTGAGTTGAATGCAGTCATCACAGGAAACATTCCGAGAATGCTTCTGTCTAGGTTTGATGTGAAGATATACCCGTTTCGAAGGAAGGCCACAAAGTGGTCCAAATATCCACTTGCAGATTCTACAAAAAGAGTGTTTGAAAGCTGAACTATGAAAGCAAGGTTCAACTCTGTGAGTTGAATGCAAACATCACAAAGAAGTTTCTCAGAATGCTTCCGTGTAGTTCTGGGAAGTTTATCCCGTTTCCAACGAAATCCTCAGAGAAGTCCAAATATCCACTTGCAGATTCTACAGAAAGTGTGTTTGGAAACTGCTCCATCTAAAGGAATGTTCAGCTCTGTTAGTTCAATCCAGTGATCACTAAGAATTGTCTGTGAATGCTTCCGTTTGGTTTTTAGATGAAGTTATTTCCTTTACTACAGTAGGCCTCAAAGCAGTCCAAATCTCCAATCGCAGATTCTACAAAAAGATTGTTTACAACCTGCTCTATCTATAGGAATGTTCAACTCTGTGAGTCGAATGCAATCATCACAAAGTAGTTTCTGAGAATGCTTCCATCTAGTTTTTATGTGAAGATTTTCCTTTACCACCACAGGCCTCAAAGCCCTCCAAATGTCCACTTGCAGATTCTAGAAAAAGAGGGTTTCAGAGCTGCTCTGTCAAGAGGAAAGTTCAATTCCTGAAGTGGAACACAAACATCACAAAGCAGTTTCTGAGAATGCTGCTGTTTAGTTTTTCTGTGAAGATGAACCCGTTTCCAACGAAATCTTCACAGAGGTCCACATATCCACTTGCAGAATCCAAAGAAAGAGAGTTTCAAAACTGCTCCATCAAGAGGATTGTTCACCTCTGTGAGTTGAATGCAGTCATCACAGGAAACATTCTGAGAATTCTTCTGTCTATGTTTGATGTGAAGATATACCCGTTTCGAAGGAAGGCCACAAAGTGATCCAAATATCCACTTGCAGATTCTACAAAAAGAGTGTTTGAAAGCTGAACTATGAAAGCAAGGTTCAACTCTGTGAGTTGAATGCAAACATCACAAAGAAGTTTCTCAGAATGCTTCCGTGTAGTTCTGGGAAGTTTATCCCGTTTCCAACGAAATCCTCAGAGAGGTCCAAATATCCACTTGCAGATTCTACAGAAAGTGTGTTTGGAAACTGCGCCATCTAAAGGAATGTTCAGCTCTGTTAGTTCAATGCAATGATCACTAAGAATTGTCTGTGAATGCTTCCGTTTGGTTTTTAGATGAAGTTATTTAATTTACTACAGTAGGCCTCAAAGCAGTCCAAATCTCCAATCGCAGATTCTACAAAAAGATTGTTTACAACCTGCTCTATCTATAGGAATGTTCAACTCTGTGAGTCGAATGCAATCATCCCAAAGTAGTTTCTGAGAATGCTTCCATCTAGTTTTTATGTGAAGATTTTCCTTTTCCACCACAGGCCTCAAAGCCCTCCAAATGTCCACTTGCAGATTCTAGCATAAGAGGGTTTCAGAGCTGCTCTGTCAAGAGGAAAGTTCAATTCCTGAAGTGGAACACAAACATCACAAAGCAGTTTCTGAGAATGCTTCTGTTTAGTTTTTCTGTGAAGATGAACCCGTTTCCAACGAAATCTTCACAGAGGTCCACATATCCACTTGCAGAATCCAAAGAAAGAGAGTTTCAAAACTGCTCCATCAGCAGGATTGTTCACCTCTGTGAGTTGAATGCAGTCATCACAGGAAACATTCTGAGAATGCTTCTCTCTAGGTTTGATGTGAAGATATACCCGTTTCGAAGGAAGGCCACAAAGTGGTCCAAATATCCACTTGCAGATTCTACAAAAAGAGTGTTTGAAAGCTGAACTATGAAAGCAAGGTTCAACTCTGTGTGTTGAATGCAAACATCACAAAGAAGTTTCTCAGAATGCTTCCGTGTAGTTCTGGGAAGTTTATCCCGTTTCCAACGAAATCCTCAGAGAGGTCCAAATATCCACTTGCAGATTCTACAGAAAGTGTGTTTGGAAACTGCTCCATCTAATGGAATGTTCAGCTCTGTTAGTTCAATCCAATGATCACTAAGAATTGTCTGTGAATGCTTCCGTTTGGTTTTTAGATGAAGTTATTTCCTTTACTACAGTAGGCCTCAAAGCAGTCCAAATCTCCAATCGCAGATTCTACAAAAAGATTGTTTACAACCTGCTCTATCTATAGGAATGTGCAACTCTGTGAGTCGAATGCAATCATCACAAAGTAGTTTCTGAGAATGCTTCCATCTAGTTTTTATGTGAAGATTTTCCTTTTCCACCACAGGCCTCAAAGCCCTCCAAATGTCCACTTGCAGATTCTAGAATAAGAGGGTTTCAGAGCTGCTCTGTCAAGAGGAAAGTTCAATTCCTGAAGTGGAACAAAAACATCACAAAGCAGCTTCTGAGAATGCTTCTGTTTAGTTTTTCTGTGAAGATGAACCCGTTTCCAACGAAATCTTCACAGAGGTCCACATATCCACTTGCAGAATCCAAAGAAAGAGAGTTTCAAAACTGCTCCATCAGCAGGATTGTTCACCTCTGTGAGTTGAATGCAGTCATCTCAGGAAACATTCTGAGAATGCTTCTGTCTAGGTTTGATGTGAAGATATACCCGTTTCGAAGGAAGGCAACAAAGTGGTCCAAATATCCACTTGCAGATTCTACAAAAAGAGTGTTTGAAAGCTGAACTATGAAAGCAAGATTCAACTCTGTGAGTTGAATGCAAACATCACAAAGAAGTTTCTCACAATGCTTCCGTGTAGTTCTGGGAAGTTTATCCCGTTTCCAACGAAATCCTCAGAGAGGTCCAAATATCCACTTGCAGATTCTACAGAAAGTGTGTTTGGAAACTGCGCCATCTAAAGGAATGTTCAGCTCTGTTAGTTCAATGCAATGATCACTAAGAATTGTCTGTGAATGCTTCCGTTTGGTTTTTAGATGAAGTTATTTCCTTTACTACAGTAGGCCTCAAAGCAATCCAAATCTCCAATCGCAGATTCTACAAAAAGATTGTTTACAACCTGCTCTATCTATAGGAATGTTCAACTCTGTGAGTCGAATGCAATCATCACAAAGTAGTTTCTGAGAATGCTTCCATCTAGTTTTTATGTGAAGATTTTCCTTTTCCACCACAGGCCTCAAAGCCCTCCAAATGTCCACTTGCAGATTCTAGAAAAAGAGGGTTTCAGAGCTGCTCTGTCAAGAGGAAAGTTCAATTCTTGAAGTGGAACACAAACATCACAAAGCAGTTTCTGAGAATGCTCCTGTTTAGTTTTTCTGTGAAGATGAACCCGTTTCCAACGAAATCTTCACAGAGGTCCAAATATCCACTTGGAGAATCCAAAGAAAGAGAGTTTCAACACTGCTCCATCAGCAGGATTGTTCACCTCTGTGAGTTGAATGCAGTCATCACAGGAAACATTCTGAGAATGCTTCTGTCTAGGTTTGATGTGAAGATATACCCGTTTCGAAGGAAGGCCACAAAGTGGTCCCAATATCCACTTGCAGATTCTACAAAAAGAGTGTTTGAAAGCTGAACTATGAAAGCAAGGTTCAACTCTGTGAGTTGAATGCAAACATCCAAAGAAGTTTCTCACAATGCTTCCGTGTAGTTCTGGGAAGTTTATCCCCTTTACAACGAAATCCTCAGAGAAGTCCAAATATCCACTTGCAGATTCTACAGAAAGTGGGTTTGGAAACTGCTCCATCTAAAGGAATGTTCAGCTCTGTTAGTTCAATCCAATGATCACTAAGAATTGTCTGTGAATGCTTCCGTTTGGTTTTTAGATGAAGTTATTTCCTTTACTACAGTAGGCCTCAAAGCAGTCCAAATCTCCAATCGCAGATTCTACAAAAAGATTGTTTACAACCTGCTCTATCTATAGGAATGTTCAACACTGTGAGTCGAATGCAATCATCACAAAGTAGTTTCTGAGAATGCTTCCATCTAGTTTTTATGTGAAGATTTTCCTTTTCCACCACAGGCCTCAAAGCCCTCCAAATGTCCACTTGCAGATTCTAGAATAAGAGGGTTTCAGAGCTGCTCTGTCAAGAGGAAAGTTCAATTCCTGAAGTGGAACACAAACATCACAAAGCAGTTTCTGAGAATGCTTCTGTTTAGTTTTTCTGTGAAGATGAACCCGTTTCCAACGAAATCTTCACAGAGGTCCACATATCAACTTGCAGAATCCAAAGAAAGAGAGTTTCAAAACTGCTCCATCAACAGGATTGTTCACCTCTGTGAGTTGAATGCAGTCATCACAGGAAACATTCTGAGAATGCTTCTGTCTAGGTTTGATGTGAAGATATACCCGTTTCGAAGGAAGGCCACAAAGTGGTCCAAATATCCACTTGCAGATTCTACAAAAAGAGTGTTTGAAAGCTGAACTATGAAAGCAAGGTTCAACTCTGTGAGTTGAATGCAAACATCACAAAGAAGTTTCTCAGAATGCTTCCGTGTAGTTCTGGGAAGTTTATCCCGTTTCCAACGAAATCCTCAGAGAGGTCCAAATATCCACTTGCAGATTCTACAGAAAGTGTGTTTGGAAACTGCGCCATCTAAAGCAATGTTCAGCTCTGTTAGTTCAATGCAATGATCACTAAGAATTGTCTGTGAATGCTTCCGTTTGGTTTTTAGATGAAGTTATTTCCTTCACTACAGTAGGCCTCAAAGCAGTCCAAATCTCCAATCGCAGATTCTACAAAAAGATTGTTTACAACCTACTATATCTATAGGAATGTTCAACTCTGTGAGTCGAATGCAATCATCACAAAGTAGTTTCTGAGAATGCTTCCATCTAGTTTTTATGTGAAGATTTTCCTTTTCCACCACAGGCCTCAAAGCCCTCCAAATGTCCACTTGCAGATTCCAGAATAAGAGGGTTTCAGAGCTGCTCTGTCAAGAGGAAAGTTCAATTCCTGAAGTGGAACACAAACATCACAAAGCAGTTTCTGAGAATGCTTCTGTTTAGTTTTTCTGTGAAGATGAACCCGTTTCCAATGAAATCTTCACAGAGGTCCACCTATCCACTTGCAGAATCCAAAGAAAGAGAGTTTCAAAACTGCTCCATCAGCAGGATTGTTCACCTCTGTGAGTTGAATGCAGTCATCACAGGAAACATTCTGAGAATGCTTCTGTCTAGGTTTGATGTGAAGATATACCCGTTTCGAAGGAAGGCCACAAAGTGGTCCAAATATCCACTTGCAGATTCTACAAAAAGAGTGTTTGAAAGCTGAACTATGAAAGCAAGGTTCAACTCTGTGAGTTGAATGCAAACGTCACAAAGAAGTTTCTCAGAATGCTTCCGTGTAGTTCTGGGAAGTTTATCCCTTTTCCAACGAAATCCTCAGAGAGGTCCAAATATCCACTTGCAGATTCTACAGAAAGTGTGTTTGGAAACTGCGCCATCTAAAGGAATGTTCAGCTCTGTTAGTTCAATGCAATGATCACTAAGAATTGTCTGTGAATGCTTCCGTTTGGTTTTTAGATGAAGTTATTTCCTTTACTACAGTAGGCCTCAAAGCAGTCCAAATCTCCAATCGCAGATTCTACAAAAACATTGTTTACAACCTGCTCTATCTATAGGAATGTTCAACTCTGTGAGTCGAATGCAATCATCACAAAGTAGTTTCTGAGAATGCTTCCATCTAGTTTTTATGGGAAGATTTTCCTTTTCCACCACAGGCCTCAAAGCCCTCCAAATGTCCACTTGCAGATTCTAGAAAAAGAGGGTTTCAGAGCTGCTCTGTCAAGAGGAAAGTTCAATTCTTGAAGTGGAACACAAACATCACAAAGCAGTTTCTGAGAATGCTTCTGTTTAGTTTTTCTGTGAAGATGAACCCGTTTCCAACGAAATCTTCATAGAGGTCCACATATCCACTTGCAGAATCCAAAGAAAGAGAGTTTCAAAACTGCTCCATCAACAGGATTCTTCACCTCTGTGAGTTGAATGCAGTCATCACAGGAAACATTCTGAGAATGCTTCTGTCTAGGTTTGATGTGAAGATATACCCGTTTCGAAGGAAGGCCACAAAGTGGTCCAAATATCCACTTGTAGATTCTACAAAAAGAGTGTTTGAAAGCTGAACTATGAAAGCAAGGTTCAACTCTGTGAGTTGAATGCAAACATCACAAAGAAGTTTCTCACAATGCTTCCGTGTAGTTCTGGGAAGTTTATCCCGTTTCCAACGAAATCCTCAGAGAGGTCCAAATATCCACTTGCAGATTCTACAGAAAGTGTGTTTGGAAACTGCGCCATCTAAAGGAATGTTCAGCTCTGTTAGTTCAATGCAATGATCACTAAGAATTGTCTGTGAATGCTTCCGTTTGGTTTTTAGATGAAGTTATTTCCTTTACTACAGTAGGCCTCAAAGCAGTCCAAATCTCCAATCGCAGATTCTACAAAAAGATTGTTTACAACCTGCTCTATCTATAGGAATGTTCAACTCTGTGAGTCGAATGCAATCATCACAAAGGAGTTTCTGAGAATGCTTCCATCTAGTTTTTATGTGAAGATTTTCCTTTTCCACCACAGGCCTCAAAGCCCTCCAAATGTCCACTTGCAGATTCTAGAAAAAGAGGGTTTCAGAGCTGCTCAGTCAAGAGGAAAGTTCAATTCCTGAAGTGGAACACAAACATCACAAAGCAGTTTCTGAGAATGCTTCTGTTTAGTTTTTCTGTGAAGATGAACCCGTTTCCAACGAAATCTACACAGAGGTCCACATATCCACTTGCAGAATCCAAAGAAAGAGAGTTTCAAAACTGCTCCATCAGCAGGATTGTTCACCTCTGTGAGTTGAATGCAGTCATCACAGGAAACATTCTGAGAATGCTTCTGTCTAGGTTTGATGTGAAGATATACCCGTTTCGAAGGAAGGCCACAAAGTGGTCCAAATATCCACTTGCAGATTCTACAAAAAGAGTGTTTGAAAGCTGAACTATGAAAGCAAGGTTCAACTCTGTGAGTTGAATGCAAACATCACAAAGAAGTTTCTCAGAATGCTTCCGTGTAGTTCTGGGAAGTTTATCCCGTTTCCAACGAAATCCTCAGAGAAGTCCAAATATCCACTTGCAGATTCTACAGAAAGTGCGTTTGGAAAATGCTCCATCTAAAGGAATGTTCAGCTCTGTTAGTTCAATCCAATGATCACTAAGAATTGTCTGTGAATGCTTCCGTTTGGTTTTTAGATGAAGTTATTTCCTTTACTACAGTAGGCCTCAAAGCAGTCCAAATCTCCAATCGCAGATTCTACAAAAAGATTGTTTACAACCTGCTCTATCTATAGGAATGTTCAACTCTGTGAGTCGAATGCAATCATCACAAAGTAGTTTCTGAGAATGCTTCCATCTAGTTTTTATGTGAAGATTTTCCTTTTCCACCACAGGCCTCAAAGCCCTCCAAATGTCCACTTGCAGATTCTAGAATAAGAGGGTTTCAGAGCTGCTCTGTCAAGAGGAAAGTTCAATTCTTGAAGTGGAACACAAACATCACAAAGCAGTTTCTGAGAATGCTTCTGTTTAGTTTTTCTGTGAAGATGAACCCGTTTCCAACGAAATCTTCACAGAGGTCCACATATCCACTTGCAGAATCCAAAGAAAGAGAGTTTCAAAACTGCTCCATCAGCAGGATTGTTCACCTCTGTGAGTTGAATGCAGTTATCACAGGAAACATTCTGAGAATGCTTCTGTCTAGGTTTGATGTGAAGATATACCCGTTTCGAAGGAAGGCCACAAAGTGGTCCAAATATCCACTTGCAGATTCTACAAAAAGAGGGTTTGAAAGCTGAACTATGAAAGCAAGGTTCAACTCTGTGAGTTGAATGCAAACATCACAAAGAAGTTTCTCAGAATGCTTCCGTGTAGTTCTGTGAAGTTTATCCCGTTTCCAACGAAATCCTCAGAGAAGTCCAAATATCCACTTGCAGATTCTACAGAAAGTGTGTTTGGAAACTGCTCTATCTAAAGGAATGTTCAGCTCTGTTAGTTCAATCCAATGATCACTAAGAATTGTCTGTGAATGCTTCCGTTTGGTTTTTAGATGAAGTTATTTCCTTTACTACAGTAGGCCTCAAAGCAGTCCAAATCTCCAATCGCAGATTCTACAAAAAGATTGTTTACAACCTGCTCTATCTATAGGAATGTTCAACTCTGTGAGTCGAATGCAATCATCACAAAGTAGTTTCTGAGAATGCTTCCATCTAGTTTTTATGTGAAGATTTTCCTTTTCCACCACAGGCCTCAAAGCCCTCCAAATGTCCACTTGCAGATTCTAGATAAAGAGGGTTTCAGAGCTGCTCTTTCAAGAGGAAAGTTCAATTCCTGAAGTGGAACACAAACATCACAAAGCAGTTTCTGAGAATGTTCCTGTTTAGTTTTTCTGTGAAGATGAACCCGTTTCCAACGAAATCTTCACAGAGGTCCACATATCCACTTGCAGAATCCAAAGAAAGAGAGTTTCAAAACTGCTCCATCAGCAGGATTGTTCACCTCTGTGAGTTGAATGCAGTCATCACAGGAAACATTCTGAGAATGCTTCTGTCTCGGTTTGATGTGAAGATATACCCGTTTCGAAGGAAGGCCACAAAGTGGTCCAAATATCCACTTGCAGATTCTACAAAAAGAGTGTTTGAAAGCTGAACTATGAAAGAAAGGTTCAACTCTGTGAGTTGAATGCAAACATCACAAAGAAGTTTCTCACAATGCTTCCGTGTAGTTCTGGGAAGTTTATCCCGTTTCCAACGAAATCCTCAGAGAAGTCCAAATATCCACTTGCAGATTCTACAGAAAGTGTGTTTGGAAACTGCTCCATCTAAAGGAATGTTCAGCTCTGTTAGTTCAATCCAATGATCACTAAGAATTGTCTGTGAATGCTTCCGTTTGGTTTTTAGATGAAGTTATTTCCTTTACTACAGTAGGCCTCAAAGCAGTCCAAATCTCCAATCGCAGATTCTACAAAAAGATTGTTTACAACCTGCTCTATCTATAGGAATGTTCAACTCTGTGAGTCGAATGCAATCATCACAAAGTAGTTTCTGAGAATGCTTCCATCTAGTATTTATGTGAAGATTTTCCTTTTCCACCACAGGCCTCAAAGCCCTCCAAATGTCCACTTGCAGATTCTAGAAAAAGAGGGTTTCAGAGCTGCTCTGTCAAGAGGAAAGTTCAATTCTTGAAGTGGAACACAAACATCACAAAGCAGTTTCTGAGAATGCTCCTGTTTAGTTTTTCTGTGAAGATGAACCCGTTTCCAACGAAATCTTCACAGAGGTCCACATATCCACTTGCAGAATCCAAAGAAAGAGAGTTTCAAAACTGCTCCATCAGCAGGATTGTTCACCTCTGTGAGTTGAATGCAGTCATCACAGGAAACATTCTGAGAATGCTTCTGTCTAACTTTGATGTGAAGATATACCCGTTTCGAAGGAAGGACACAAAGTGGTCCAAATATCCACTTGCGGATTCTACAAAAAGAGTGTTTGAAAGCTGAACTATGAAAGCAAGGTTCAACTCTGTGAGTTGAATGCAAACATCACAAAGAAGTTTCTCACAATGCTTCCGTGTAGTTCGGGGAAGTTTATCCCGTTTCCAACGAAATCCTCAGAGAAGTCCAAATATCCACTTGCAGATTCTACAGAAAGTGGGTTTGGAATCTGCTCCATCTAAAGGAATGTTCAGCTCTGTTAGTTCAATCCAATGATCACTAAGAATTGTCTGTGAATGCTTCCGTTTGGTTTTTAGATGAAGTTATTTCCTTTACTACAGTAGGCCTCAAAGCAGTCCAAATCTCCAATCGCAGATTCTACAAAAACATTGTTTACAACCTGCTCTATCTATAGGAATGTTCAACTCTGTGAGTCGAATGCAATCATCACAAAGTAGTTTCTGAGAATGCTTCCATCTAGTTTTTATGTGAAGATTTTCCTTTTCCACCACAGGCCTCAAAGCCCTCCAAATGTCCACTTGCAGATTCTAGAAAAAGAGGGTTTCAGAGCTGCTCTGTCAAGAGGAAAGTTCAATTCTTGAAGTGGAACACAAACATCACAAAGCAGTTTCTGAGAATGTTTCTGTTTAGTTTTTCTGTGAAGATGAACCCGTTTCCAACGAAATCTTCACAGAGGTCCACATATCCACTTGCAGAATCCAAAGAAAGAGAGTTTCAAAACTGCTCCATCAGCAGGATTGTTCACCTCTGTGAGTTGAATGCAGTCATCACAGGAAACATTCTGAGAATGCTTCTGTCTAGGTTTGATGTGAAGATATACCCGTTTCGAAGGAAGGCCACAAAGTGGTCCAAATATCCACTTGCAGATTCTACAAAAAGAGTGTTTGAAAGCTGAACTATGAAAGCAAGGTTCAACTCTGTGAGTTGAATGCAAACATCACAAAGAAGTTTCTCAGAATGCTTCCGTGTAGTTCTGGGAAGTTTATCCCTTTTCCAACGAAATCCTCAGAGAGGTCCAAATATCCACTTGCAGATTCTACAGAAAGTGGGTTTGGAAACTGCTCCATCTAAAGGAATGTTCAGCTCTGTTAGTTCAATCCAATGATCACTAAGTATTTTCTGTGAATGCTTCCGTTTGGTTTTTAGATGAAGTTATTTCCTTTACTACAGTAGGCCTCAAAGCAGTCCAAATCTCCAATCGCAGATTCCACAAAAAGATTGTTTACAACCTGCTCTATCTATAGGAATGTTCAACTGTGTGAGTCGAATGCAATCATCACAAAGTAGTTTCTGAGAATGCTTCCATCTAGTTTTTATGTGAAGATTTTCCTTTTCCACCACAGGCCTCAAAGCCCTCCAAATGTCCACTTGCAGATTCTAGAAAAAGAGGGTTTCAGAGCTGCTCTGTCAAGAGGAAAGTTCAATTCTTGAAGTGGAACACAAACATCACAAAGCAGTTTCTGAGAATGCTTCTGTTTAGTTTTTCTGTGAAGATGAACCCGTTTCCAACGAAATCTTCACAGAGGTCCACATATCCACTTGCAGAATCCAAAGAAAGAGAGTTTCAAAACTGCTCCATCAGCAGGATTGTTCACCTCTGTGAGTTGAATGCAGTCATCACAGGAAACATTCTGAGAATGCTTCTGTCTAGGTTTGATGTGAAGATATACCCGTTTCGAAGGAAGGCCACAAAGTGGTCCAAATATCCACTTGCAGATTCTACAAAAAGTGTGTTTGAAAGCTGAACTATAAAAGCAAGGTTCAACTCTGTGAGTTGAATGCAAACATCACAAAGAAGTTTCTCAGAATGCTTCCCTGTAGTTCTGGGAAGTTTATCCCTTTTCCAACGAAATCCTCAGAGAAGTCTAAATATCCACTTGCAGATTCTACAGAAAGTGGGTTTGGAAACTGCTCCATCTAAAGGAATGTTCAGCTCTGTTAGTTCAATGCAATGATCACTAAGAATTGTCTGTGAATGCTTCCGTTTGGTTTTTAGATGAAGTTATTTCCTTTACTACAGTAGGCCTCAAAGCAGTCCAAATCTCCAATCGCAGATTCTACAAAAAGATTGTTTACAACCTGCTCTATCTATAGGAATGTTCAACTCTGTGAGTCGAATGCAATCATCACAAAGGAGTTTCTGAGAATGCTTCCATCTAGTTTTTATGTGAAGATTTTCCTTTTCCACCACAGGCCTCAAACCCTCCAAATGTCCACTTGCAGATTCTAGAAAAAGAGGGTTTCAGAGCTGCTCTGTCAAGAGGAAAGTTCAATTCTTGAAGTGGAACACAAACATCACAAAGCAGTTTCTGAGAATGCTTCTGTTTAGTTTTTCTGTGAAGATGAACCCGTTTCCAACGAAATCTTCACAGAGGTCCACATATCCACTTGCAGAATCCAAAGAAAGAGAGTTTCAAAACTGCTCCATCAGCAGGATTGTTCACCTCTGTGAGTTGAATGCAGTCATCACAGGAAACATTCTGAGAATGCTTCTGTCTAGGTTTGATGTGAAGATATACCCGTTTCGAAGGAAGGCCACAAAGTGGTCCAAATATCCACTTGCAGATTCTACAAAAAGAGCGTTTGAAAGCTGAACTATGAAAGCAAGGTTCAACTCTGTGAGTTGAATGCAAACATCACAAAGAAGTTTCTCAGAATGCTTCCGTGTAGTTCTGGGAAGTTTATCCCGTTTCCAACGAAATCCTCAGAGAAGTCCAAATATCCACTTGCAGATTCTACAGAAAGTGTGTTTGGAAACTGCTCCATCTAAAGGAATGTTCAGCTCTGTTAGTTCAATGCAATGATCACTAAGAATTGTCTGTGAATGCTTCCGTTTGGTTTTTAGATGAAGTTATTTCCTTTACTACAGTAGGCCTCAAAGCAGTCCAAATCTCCAATCGCAGATTCTACAAAAAGATAGTTTACAACCTGCTCTATCTATAGGAATGTTCAACTCTGTGAGTCGAATGCAATCATCACAAAGTAGTTTCTGAGAATGCTTCCATCCAGTTTTTATGTGAAGATTTTCCTTTTCCACCACAGGCCTCAAAGCCCTCCAAATGTCCACTTGCAGATTGTAGAAAAAGAGGGTTTCAGAGCTGCTCTGTCAAGAGGAAAGTTCAATTCTTGAAGTGGAACACAAACATCACAAAGCAGTTTCTGAGAATGCTTCTGTTTAGTTTTTCTGTGAAGATGAACCCGTTTCCAACGAAATCTTCACAGAGGTCCACATATCAACCTGCAGAATCCAAGGAAAGAGAGTTTCAAAACTGCTCCATCAACAGGATTGTTCACCTCTGTGAGTTGAATGCAGTCATCACAGGAAACATTCTGAGAATGCTTCTGTCTAGGTTTGATGTGAAGATATACCCGTTTCGAAGGAAGGCCACAAAGTGGTCCAAATATCCACTTGCAGATTCTACAAAAAGAGTTTTTGAAAGCTGAACTATGAAAACAAGGTTCAACTCTGTGAGTTGAATGCAAACATCACAAAGAAGTTTCTCACAATGCTTCCGTGTAGTTCTGGGAAGTTTATCCCGTTTCCAACGAAATCCTCAGAGAAGTCCAAATATCCACTTGCAGATTCTACAGAAAGTGGGTTTGGAAACTGCTCCATCTAAAGGAATGTTCAGCTCTGTTAGTTCAATCCAATGATCACTAAGAATTGTCTGTGAATGCTTCCGTTTGGTTTTTAGATGAAGTTATTTCCTTTACTACAGTAGGCCTCAAAGCAGTCCAAATCTCCAATCGCAGATTCTACAAAAAGATTGTTTACAACCTGCTCTATCTATAGGAATGTTCAACTCTGTGAGTCGAATGCAATCATCACAAAGTAGTTTCTGAGAATGCTTCCATCTAGTTTTTATGTGAAGATTTTCCTTTTCCACCACAGGCCTCAAAGCCCTCCAAAGGTCCACTTGCAGATTCTAGAAAAAGAGGGTTTCAGAGCTGCTCTGTCAAGAGGAAAGCTCAATTCTTGAAGTGGAACACAAACATCACAAAGCAGTTTCTGAGAATGCCCCTGTTTAGTTTTTCTGTGAAGATGAACCCGTTTCCAACGAAATCTTCACAGAGGTCCACATATCCACTTGCAGAATCCAAAGAAAGAGAGTTTCAAAACTGCTCCATCAGCAGGATTGTACACCTCTGTGAGTTGAATGCAGTCATCACAGGAAACATTCTGAGAATGCTTCTGTCTAGGTTTGATGTGAAGATATACCCGTTTCAAAGGAAGGCCACAAAGTGGTCCAAATATCCACTTACAGATTCTACAAAAAGAGTGTTTGAAAGCTGAACTATGAAAGTAAGGTTCAACTCTGTGAGTTGAATGCAAACATCACAAAGAAGTTTCTCAGAATGCTTCCGTGTAGTTCTGGGAAGTTTATCCCGTTTCCAACGAAATCCTCAGAGAGGTCCAAATATCCACTTGCAGATTCTACAGAAAGTGTGTTTGGAAACTACGCCATCTAAAGGAATGTTCAGCTCTGTTAGATCAATGCAATGATCACTAAGAATTGTCTGTGAATGCTTCCGTTTGGTTTTTAGATGAAGTTATTTCCTTTACTACAGTAGGCCTCAAAGCAGTCCAAATCTCCAATCGCAGATTCTACAAAAAGATTGTTTACAACCTGCTCTATCTATAGGAATGTTCAACTCTGTGAGTCGAATGCAATCATCACAAAGTAGTTTCTGAGAATGCTTCCATCTAGTTTTTATGTGAAGATTTTCCTTTTCCACCACAGGCCTCAAAGCCCTCCAAATGTCCACTTGCAGATTCTAGAATAAGAGGGTTTTAGAGCTGCTCTGTCAAGAGGAAAGTTCAATTCCTGAAGTGGAACACAAACATCACAAAGCAGTTTCTGAGAATGCTTCTGTTTAGTTTTTCTGTGAAGATGAACCCGTTTCCAACGAAATCTTCACAGAGGTCCACATATCAACTTGCAGAATCCAAAGAAAGAGAGTTTCAAAACTGCTCCATCAACAGGATTGTTCACCTCTGTGAGTTGAATGCAGTCATCACAGGAAACATTCTGAGAATGCTTCTGTCTAGGTTTGATGTGAAGATATACCCGTTTCGAAGGAAGGCCACAAAGTGGTCCAAATATCCACTTGCAGATTCTACAAAAAGAGTGTTTGAAAGCTGAACTATGAAAGCAAGGTTCAACTCTGTGAGTTGAATGCAAACATCACAAAGAAGTTTCTCACAATGCTTCCGTGTAGTTCTGGGAAGTTTATCCCGTTTCCAACGAAATCCTCAGAGAAGTCCAAATATCCACTTGCAGATTCTACAGAAAGTGTGTTTGGAAACTGCGCCATCTAAAGGAATGTTCAGCTCTGTTAGTTCAATGCAATGATCACTAAGAATTGTCTGTGAATGCTTCCGTTTGGTTTTTAGATGAAGTTATTTCCTTTACTACAGTAGGCCTCAAAGCAGTCCAAATCTCCAATCGCAGATTCTACACAAAGATTGTTTACAACCTGCTCTATCTATAGGAATGTTCAACTCTGTGAGTCGAATGCAATCATCACAGAGTAGCTTCTGAGAATGCTTCCATCTAGTTTTTATGTGAAGATTTTCCTTTTCCACCACAGGCCTCAAAGCCATCCAAATGTCCACTTGCAGATTCTAGAAAAAGAGGGTTTCAGAGCTGTTCTGTCAAGAGGAAAGTTCAATTCTTGAAGTGGAACACAAACATCACAAAGCAGTTTCTGAGAATGCTTCTGTTTAGTTTTTCTGTGAAGATGAACCCGTTTAAAACGAAATCTTCACGGAGGTCCACATATCCACTTGCAGAATCCAAAGAAAGAGAGTTTCAAAACTGCTCCATCAGCAGGATTGTTCACCTCTGTGAGTTGAATGCAGTCATCACAGGAAACATTCTGAGAATGCTTCTGTCTAGGTTTGATGTGAAGATATACCCGTTTCGAAGGAAGGCCACAAAGTGGTCCAAATATCCACTTGCAGATTCTACAAAAGGAGTGTTTGAAAGCTGAACTATGAAAGCAAGGTTCAACTCTGTGAGTTGAATGCAAACATCACAAAGAAGTTTCTCAGAATGCTTTCCGTGTAGTTCTGGGAAGTTTATACCGTTTCCAATGAAATCCTCAGAGAGGTCCAAATATCCACTTGCAGATTCTACAGAAAGTGTGTTTGGAAACTACGCCATCTAAAGGAATGTTCAGCTCTGTTAGTTCAATGCAATGATCACTAAGAATTGTCTGTGAATGCTTCCGTTTGGTTTTTAGATGAAGTTATTTCCTTTACTACAGTAGGCCTCAAAGCAGTCCAAATCTCCAATCGCAGATTCTACAAAAAGATTGTTTACAACCTGCTCTACCTATAGGAATGTTCAACTCTGTGAGTCGAATGCAATCATCACAAAGTAGTTTCTGAGAATGCTTCCATCTAGTTTTTATGTGAAGATTTTCCTTTTCCACCACAGGCCTCAAAGCCCTCCAAATGTCCACTTGCAGATTCTAGAAAAAGAGGGTTTCAGAGCTGCTCTGTCAAGAGGAAAGTTCAATTCTTGAAGTGGAACACAAACATCACAAAGCAGTTTCTGAGAATGCTCCTGTTAATTTTTCTGTGAAGATGAACCCGTTTCCAACGAAATCTTCACAGAGGTCCACATATCCACTTGCAGAATCCAAAGAAAGAGAGTTTCAAAACTGCTCCATCAGCAGGATTGTTCACCTCTGTGAGTTGAATGCAGTCATCACAGGAAACATTCTGAGAATGCTTCTGTCTAGGTTTGATGTGAAGATATACCCTTTTCAAAGGAAGGCCACAAAGTGGTCCAAATATCCACTTGCAGATTCTACAAAAAGAGTGTTTGAAAGCTGAACTATGAAAGCAAGGTTCAACTCTGTGAGTTGAATGCAAACATCACAAAGAAGTTTCTCACAATGCTTCCGTGTAGTTCTGGGAAGTTTATCCCGTTTCCAACGAAATCCTCAGAGAAGTCCAAATATCCACTTGCAGATTCTACAGAAAGTGGGTTTGGCAACTGCTCCATCTAAAGGAATGTTCAGCTCTGTTAGTTCAATCCAATGATCCCTAAGAATTGTCTGTGAATGCTTCCGTTTGGTTTTTAGATGAAGTTATTTCCTTTACTACAGTAGGCCTCAAAGCAATCCAAATCTCCAATCGCAGATTCTACAAAAACATTGTTTACAACCTGCTCTATCTATAGGAATGTTCAACTCTGTGAGTCGAATGCAATCATCACAAAGTAGTTTCTGAGAATGCTTCCATCTAGTTTTTATGTGAAGATTTTCCTTTTCCACCACAGGCCTCAAAGCCCTCCAAATGTCCACTTGCAGATTCTAGAAAAAGAGGGTTTCAGAGCTGCTCTTTCAAGAGGAAAGTTCAATTCCTGAAGTGGAACACAAACATCACAAAGCAGTTTCTGAGAATGCTTCTGTTTAGTTTTTCTGTGAAGATGAACCTGTTTCCAACGAAATCTTCACAGAGGTCCACATATCCACTTGCAGAATCCAAAGAAAGAGAGTTTCAAAACTGCTCCATCAGCAGGATTCTTCACCTCTGTGAGTTGAATGCAGTCATCACAGGAAACATTCTGAGAATGCTTCTGTCTAGGTTTGATGTGAAGATATACCCGTTTCGAAGGAAGGCCACAAAGTGGTCCAAATATCCACTTGCAGATTCTACAAAAAGAGTGTTTGAAAGCTGAACTATGAAAGCAAGGTTCAACTCTGTGAGTTGAATGCAAACATCACAAAGAAGTTTCTCAGAATGCTTCCGTGTAGTTCTGGGAAGTTTATCCCGTTTCCAACGAAATCCTCAGAGAAGTCCAAATATCCAGTTGCAGATTCTACAGAAAGTGTGTTTGGAAACTGCTCCATCTAAAGGAATGTTCAGCTCTGTTAGTTCAATCCAATGATCACTAAGAATTGTCTGTGAATGCTTCCGTTTGGTTTTTAGATGAAGTTATTTCCTTTACTACAGTAGGCCTCAAAGCAGTCCAAATCTCCAATCGCAGATTCTACAAAAAGATTGTTTTCAACCTGCTCTATCTATAGGAATGTTCAACTCTGTGAGTCGAATGCAATCATCACAAAGTAGTTTCTGAGAATGCTTCCATCTAGTTTTTATGTGAAGATTTTCCTTTTCCACCACAGGCCTCAAAGCCCTCCAAATGTCCACTTGCAGATTCTAGAAAAAGAGGGTTTCAGAGCTGCTCTGTCAAGAGGAAAGTTCAATTCTTGAAGTGGAACACAAACATCACAAAGCAGTTTCTGAGAATGCTCCTGTTTAGTTTTTCTGTGAAGATGAACCCGTTTCCAACGAAATCTTCACAGAGGTCCACATATCCACTTGCAGAATCCAAAGAAAGAGAGTTTCAACACTGCTCCATCAGCAGGATTGTTCACCTCTGTGAGTTGAATGCAGTCATCAGAGGAAACATTCTGAGAATGCTTCTGTCTAGGTTTGATGTGAAGATATACCCGTTTCGAAGGAAGGCCACAAAGTGGTCCAAATATCCACTTGCAGATTCTACAAAAAGAGTGTTTGAAAGCTGAACTATGAAAGCAAGGTTCAACTCTGTGAGTTGAATGCAAACATCACAAAGAAGTTTCTCACAATGCTTCCGTGTAGTTCTGGGAAGTTTATCCCGTTTCCAACGAAATCCTCAGAGAAGTCCAAATATCCACTTGCAGATTCTACAGACAGTGGGTTTGGAAACTGCGCCATCTAAAGGAATGTTCAGCTCTGTTAGTTCAATCCAATGATCACTAAGAATTGTCTGTGAATGCTTCCGTTTGGTTTTTAGATGAAGTTATTTGCTTTACTACAGTAGGCCTCAAAGCAGTCCAAATCTCCAATCGCAGATTTTACAAAAAGATTGTTTACAACCTGCTCTATCTATAGGAATGTTCAACTCTGTGAGTCGATTGCAATCATCACAAAGTAGTTTCTGAGAATGCTTCCATCTAGTTTTTATGTGAAGATTTTCCTTTTCCACCACAGGCCTCAAAGCCCTCCAAATGTCCACTTGCAGATTCTAGAATAAGAGGGTTTCAGAGCTGCTCTGTCAAGAGGAAAGTTCAATTCCTGAAGTGGAAAACAAACATCACAAAGCAGTTTCTGAGAATGCTCCTGTTTACTTTTTCTGTGAAGATGAACCCGTTTCCAACGAAATCTTCACAGAGGTCCACATATCCACTTGCAGAATCCAAAGAAAGAGAGTTTCAAAACTGCTCCATCAGCAGGACTGTTCACCTCTGTGAGTTGAATGCAGTCATCACAGGAAACATTCTGAGAATGCTTCTGTCTAGGTTTGATGTGAAGATATACCCGTTTCGAAGGAAGGCCACAAAGTGGTCCAAATATCCACTTGCAGATTCTACAAAAAGAGTGTTTGAAAGCTGAACTATGAAAGCAAGGTTCAACTCTGTGAGTTGAATGCAAACATCACAAAGAAGTTTCTCAGAATGCTTCCGTGTAGTTCTGGGAAGTTTATCCCGTTTCCAACGAAATCCTCAGAGAGGTCCAAATATCCACTTGCAGATTCTACAGAAAGTGTGTTTGGAAACTGCTCCATCTAAAGGAATGTTCAGCTCTGTTAGTTCAATCCAATGATCACTAAGCATTGTCTGTGAATGCTTCCGTTTGGTTTTTAGATGAAGTTATTTCCTTTACTACAGTAGGCCTCAAAGCAGTCCAAATCTCCAATCGCAGATTCTACAAAAGATTGTTTACAACCTGCTCTATCTATAGGAATGTTCAACTCTGTGAGTCGAATGCAATCATCACAAAGTAGTTTCTGAGAATGCTTCCATCTAGTTTTTATGTGAAGATTTTCCTTTTCCACCACAGGCCTCAAAGCCCTCCAAATGTCCACTTGCAGATTCTAGAATAAGAGGGTTTCAGAGCTGCTCTTTCAAGAGGAAAGTTGAATTCCTGAAGTGGAACACAAACATCACAAAGCAGTTTCTGAGAATGCTTCTGTTTAGTTTTTCTGTGAAGATGAACCCGTTTCCAACGAAATCTTCACAGAGGTCCACATATCCACTTGCAGAATCCAAAGAAAGAGAGTTTCAAAACTGCTCCATCAGCAGGATTGTTCACCTCTGTGAGTTGAATGCAGGTCATCACAGGAAACATTCTGAGAATGCTTCTGTCTAGGTTTGATGTGAAGATATACCCTTTTCAAAGGAAGGCCACAAAGTGGTCCAAATATCCACTTGCAGATTCTACAAAAAGAGTGTTTGAAAGCTGAACTATGAAAGCAAGGTTCAACTCTGTGAGTTGAATGCAAACATCACAAAGAAGTTTCTCACAATGCTTCCGTGTAGTTCTGGGAAGTTTATCCCGTTTCCAACGAAATCCTCAGAGAAGTCCAAATATCCACTTGCAGATTCTACAGAAAGTGTGTTTGGAAACTGCTCCATCTAAAGGAATGTTCAGCTCTGTTAGTTCAATCCAATGATCACTAAGAATTGTCTGTGAATGCTTCCGTTTGGTTTTTAGATGAAGTTATTTCCTTTATTACAGTAGGCCTCAAAGCAGTCCAAATCTCCAATCGCAGATTCTACAAAAAGATTGTTTTCAACCTGCTCTATCTATAGGAATGTTCAACTCTGTGAGTCGAATGCAATCATCACAAAGTAGTTTCTGAGTATGCTTCCATCTAGTTTTTATGTGAAGATTTTCCTTTTCCACCACAGGCCTCAAAGCCCTCCAAATGTCCACTTGCAGATTCTAGAAAAAGAGGGTTTCAGAGCTGCTCTGTCAAGAGGAAAGTTCAATTCTTGAAGTGGAACACAGACATCACAAAGCAGTTTCTGAGAATGCTTCTGTTTAGTTTTTCTGTGAAGATGAACCCGTTTCCAACGAAATCTTCACAGAGGTCCACATATCAACTTGCGGAATCCAAAGAAAGAGAGTTTCAAAAGTGCTCCATCAACAGGATTGTTCACCTCTGTGAGTTGAATGCAGTCATCACAGGAAACATTCTGAGAATGCTTCTGTCTAGGTTTGATGTGAAGATATACCCGTTTCGAAGGAAGGCCACAAAGTGGTCCAAATATCCACTTGCAGATTCTACAAAAAGAGTGTTTGAAAGCTGAACTATGAAAGCAAGGTTCAACTCTGTGAGTTGAATGCAAACATCACAAAGAAGTTTCTCAGAATGCTTCCGTGTAGTTCTGGGAAGTTTATCCCGTTTCCAACGAAATCCTCAGAGAAGTCCAAATATCCACTTGCAGATTCTACAGAAAGTGTGTTTGGAAACTGCGCCATCTAAAGGAATGTTCAGCTCTGTTAGTTCAATGCAATGATCACTAAGAATTGTCTGTGAATGCTTCCGTTTGGTTTTTAGATGAAGTTATTTCCTTTACTACAGTAGGCCTCAAAGCAGTCCAAATCTCCAATCGCAGATTCTACAAAAAGATTGTTTACAACCTGCTCTATCTATAGGAATGTTCAACTCTGTGAGTCGAATGCAATCATCACAAAGTAGTTTCTGAGAATGCTTCCATCTAGTTTTTATGTGAAGATTTTCCTTTTCCACCACAGGCCTCAAAGCCCTCCAAATGTCCACTTGCAGATTCTAGAAAAAGAGGGTTTCAGAGCTGCTCTGTCAAGAGGAAAGTTCAATTCTTGAAGTGGAACACAAACATCACAAAGTAGTTTCTGAGAATGCTCCTGTTTAGTTTTTCTGTGAAGATGAACCTGTTTCCAACGAAATCTTCACAGAGGTCCACATATCCACCTGCAGAATCCAAAGAAAGAGAGTTTCAAAACTGCTCCATCAGCAGGATTGTTCACCTCTGTGAGTTGAATGCAGTCATCACAGGAAACATTCCGAGAATGCTTCTGTCTAGGTTTGATGTGAAGATATACCCGTTTCGAAGGAAGGCCACAAAGTGGTCCAAATATCCACTTGCAGATTCCACAAAAAGAGTGTTTGAAAGCTGAACTATGAAAGCAAGGTTCAACTCTGTGAGGTGAATGCAAACATCACAAAGAAGTTTCTCACAATGCTTCCGTGTAGTTCTGGGAAGTTTATCCCGTTTCCAACGAAATCCTCAGAGAAGTCCAAATATCCACTTGCAGATTCTACAGAAAGTGTGTTTGGAAACTGCTCCATCTAAAGGAATGTTCAGCTCTGTTAGTTCAATGCAATGATCACTAAGAATTGTCTGTGAATGCTTCCGTTTGGTTTTTAGATGAAGTTATTTCCTTTACTACAGTAGGCCTCAAAGCAGTCCAAATCTCCAATCGCAGATTCTACAAAAAGATTGTTTACAACCTGCTCTATCTATAGGAATGTTCAACTCTGTGAGTCGAATGCCATCATCACAAAGTAGTTTCTGAGAATGCTTCCATCTAGTTATTATGTGAAGATTTTCCTTTTCCACCACAGGCCTCAAAGCCCTCCAAATGTCCACTTGCAGATTCTAGAATAAGAGGGTTTCAGAGCTGCTCTGTCAAGAGGAAAGTTCAATTCCTGAAGTGGAACACAAACATCACAAAGCAGTTTCTGAGAATGCTTCTGTTTAGTTTTTCTGTGAAGATGAACCCGTTTCCAACGAAATCTTCACAGAGGTCCACATATCCACTTGCAGAATCCAAAGAAAGAGAGTTTCAAAAGTGCTCCATCAGCAGGATTGTTCACCTCTGTGAGTTGAATGCAGTCATCACAGGAAACATTCTGAGAATGCTTCTGTCTAGGTTTGATGTGAAGATATACCCGTTTCGAAGGAAGGCCACAAAGTGGTCTAAATATCCACTTGCAGATTCTACAAAAAGAGTGTTTGAAAGCTGAACTATGAAAGCAAGGTTCAACTCTGTGAGTTGAATGCAAACATCACAAAGAAGTTTCTCAGCATGCTTCCGTGTAGTTCTGGGAAGTTTATCCCGTTTCCAACGATATCCTCAGAGAGGTCCAAATATCCACTTGCAGATTCTACAGAAAGTGTGTTTGGAAACTGCTCCATCTAAAGGAATGTTCAGCTCTGTTAGTTCAATCCAATGATCACTAAGAATTGTCTGTGAATGCTTCCGTTTGGTTTTTAGATGAAGTTATTTCCTTTACTACAGTAGACCTCAAAGCAGTCCAAATCTCCAATCGCAGATTCTACAAAAAGATTGTTTACAACCTGCTCTATCTATAGGAATGTTCAACTCTGTGAGTCGAATGCAATCATCACAAAGTAGTTTCTGAGAATGCTTCCATGTAGTTCTTAAGTGAAGATTTTCCTTTTCCACCACAGGCCTCAAAGCTCTCCAAATGTCCACTTGCAGATTCTACAAAAAGAGGGTTTCAGAGCTGCTCTGTCAAGAGGAAAGTTCAATTCCTGAAGTGGAACACAAACATCACAAAGCAGTTTCTGAGAATGCTCCTGTTTAGTTTTTCTGTGAAGATGAACCCGTTTCTAACGAAATCTTCACAGAGGTCCACATATCCACTTGCAGAATCCAAAGAAACAGAGTTTCAAAACTGCTCCATCAGCAGGATTGTTCACCTCTGTGAGTTGAATGCAGTCATCACAGGAAACATTCTGAGAATGCTTCTGTCTAGGTTTGATGTGAAGATATACCCGTTTCGAAGGAAGGCCACAAAGTGGTCCAAATATCCACTTGCAGATTCTACAAAAAGAGTTTTTGAAAGCTGAACTATGAAAGCAAGGTTCAACTCTGTGAGTTGAATGCAAACATCACTAAGAAGTTTCTCAGAATACTTCCGTGTAGTTCTGGGAAGTTTATCCCGTTTCCAACGAAATCCTCAGAGAACTCCAAATATCCACTTACAGATTCTACAGAAAGTGGGTTTGGAAACTGCTCCATCTAAAGGAATGTTCAGCTCTGTTAATTCAATCCAATGATCACTAAGAATTGTCTGTGAATGCTTCCGTTTGGTTTTTAGATGAAGTTATTTCCTTTACTACAGTAGGCCTCAAAGCAGTCCAAATCTCCAATCGCAGATTCTACAAAAACATTGTTTACAACCTGCTCTATCTATAGGAATGTTCAACTCTGTGAGTCGAATGCAATCATCACAAAGTAGTTTCTGAGAATGCTTCCATCTAGTTTTTATGTGAAGATTTTCCTTTTCCACCACAGGCCTCAAAGCCCTCCAAATGTCCACTTGCAGATTCTAGAAAAAGAGGGTTTCAGAGCTGCTCTGTCAAGAGGAAAGTTCAATTCTTGAAGTGGAACACAAACATCACAAAGCAGTTTCTGAGAATGCTTCTGTTTAGTTTTTCTGTGAAGATGAACCCGTTTCCAACGAAATCTTCACAGAGGTCCACATATCAACTTGCAGAATCCAAAGAAAGAGAGTTTCAAAACTGCTCCATCAACAGGATTGTTCACCTCTGTGAGTTGAATGCAGTCATCACAGGAAACATTCTGAGAATGCTTCTGTCTAGGTTTGATGTGAAGATATACCCGTTTCGAAGGAAGGCCACAAAGTGGTCCAAATATCCACTTGCAGATTCTACAAAAAGAGTGTTTGAAAGCTGAACTATGAAAGCAAGGTTCAACTCTGTGAGTTGAATGCAAACATCACAAAGAAGTTTCTCAGAATGCTTCCCTGTAGTTCTGGGAAGTTTATCCCGTTTCCAACGAAATCCTCAGAGAAGTCCAAATATCCACTTGCAGATTCTACAGAAAGTGTGTTTGGAAACTGCTCCATCTAAAGGAATGTTCAGCTCTGTTAGTTCAATCCAATGATCACTAAGAATTGTCTGTGAATGCTTCCGTTTGGTTTTTAGATGAAGTTATTTCCTTTACTACAGTAGGCCTCAAAGCAGTCCAAATCTCCAATCGCAGATTCTACAAAAAGATTGTTTACAACCTGCTCTATCTATAGGAATGTTCAACTCTGTGAGTCGAATGCAATCATCACAAAGTAGTTTCTGAGAATGCTTCCATCTAGTTTTTATGTGAAGATTTTCCTTTTCCACCACAGGCCTCAAAGCCCTCCAAATGTCCACTTGCAGATTCTAGAATAAGAGGGTTTCAGAGCTGCTCTGTCAAGAGGAAAGTACAATTCCTGAAGTGGAACACAAACATCACAAAGCAGGTTCTGATAATGCTTCTGTTTAGTTTTTCTGTGAAGATGAACCCGTTTCCAACGAAATCTTCACAGAGGTCCACATATCCACTTGCAGAATCCAAAGAAAGAGAGTTTCAAAACTGCTCCATCAGCAGGATTGTTCACCTCTGTGAGTTGAATGCAGTCATCACAGGAAACATTCTGAGAATGCTTCTGTCTAGGTTTGATGTGAAGATATACCCGTTTCAAAGGAAGGCCACAAAGTGGTCCAAATATCCACTTGCAGATTCTACAAAAAGAGTGTTTGAAAGCTGAACTATGAAAGCAAGGTTCAACTCTGTGAGTTGAATGCAAACATCACAAAGAAGTTTCTCAGAATGCTTCCGTGTAGTTTTGGGAAGTTTATCCCGTTTCAACGAAATCCTCAGAGAGGTCCAAATATCCACTTGCAGATTCTACAGAAAGTGTGTTTGGAAACTGCGCCATCTAAAGGAATGTTCAGCACTGTTAGTTCAATGCAATGATCACTAAGTATTGTCTGTGAATGCTTCCGTTTGGTTTTTAGATGAAGTTATTTCCTTTACTACAGTAGGCCTCAAAGCAGTCCAAATCTCCAATCGCAGATTCTACAAAAACATTGTTTACAACCTGCTCTATCTATAGGAATGTTCAACTCTGTGAGTCGAATGCAATCATCACAAAGTAGTTTCTGAGAATGCTTCCATCTAGTTTTTATGTGAAGATTTTCCTTTTCCACCACAGGCCTCAAAGCCCTCCAAATGTCCACTTGCAGATTCTAGAAAAAGAGGGTTTCAGAGCTGCTCTGTCAAGAGGAAAGTTCAATTCTTGAAGTGGAACACAAACATCACAAAGCAGTTTCTGAGAATGCTTCTGTTTAGTTTTTCTGTGAAGATGAACCCGTTTCCAACGAAATCTTCACAGAGGTCCACATATCCACTTGCAGAATCCAAAGAAAGAGAGTTTCAAAACTGCTCCATCAGCAGGATTGTTCACCTCTGTGAGTTGAATGCAGTCATCACAGGAAACATTCTGAGAATGCTTCTGTCTAGGTTTGATGTGAAGATATACCCGTTTCGAAGGAAGGCCACAAAGTGGTCCAAATATCCACTTGCACATTCTACAAAAAGAGTGTTTGAAAGCTGAACTATGAAAGCAAGGTTCAACTCTGTGAGTTGAATGCAAACATCACAAAGAAGTTTCTCAGAATGCTTCCGTGTAGTTCTGGGAAGTTTATCCCGTTTCCAACGAAATCCTCAGAGAGGTCCAAATATCCACTTGCAGATTCTACAGAAAGTGTGTTTGGAATCTGCGCCATCTAAAGGAATGTTCAGCTCTGTTAGTTCAATCCAATGATCACTAAGAATTGTCTGTGAATGCTTCCGTTTGGTTTTTAGATGAAGTTATTTCCTTTACTACAGTAGGCCTCAAAGCAGTCCAAATCTCCAATCGCAGATTCCACAAAAAGATTGTTTTCAACCTGCTCTATCTATAGGAATGTTCAACTCTGTGAGTCGAATACAATCATCACAAAGTAGTTTCTGAGAATGCTTCCATCTAGTTTTTATGTGAAGATTTTCCTTTTCCACCACAGGCCTCAAAGCCCTCCAAATGTCCACTTGCAGATTCTAGAAAAAGAGGGTTTCAGAGCTGCTCTGTCAAGAGGAAAGTTCAATTCTTGAAGTGGAACACAAACATCACAAAGCAGTTTCTGAGAATGCTCCTGTTTAGTTTTTCTGTAAAGATGAACCCGTTTCCAACGAAATCTTCACAGAGGTCCACATATCCACTTGCAGAATCCAAAGAAAGAGAGTTTCAAAACTGCTCCATCAGCAGGATTGTTCACCTCTGTGAGTTGAATGCAGTCATCACAGGAAACATTCTGAGAATGCTTCTGTCTAGGTTTGATGTGAAGATATACCCGTTTCGAAGGAAGGCCACAAAGTGGTCCAAATATCCACTTGCAGATTCTACAAAAAGAGTGTTTGAAAGCTGAACTATGAAACCAAGGTTCAACTCTGTGAGTTGAATGCAAACTTCACAAAGAATTTTCTCACAATGCTTCCGTGTAGTTCTGGGAAGTTTATCCCGTTTCCAAAGAAATCCTCAGAGAGGTCCAAATATCCACTTGCAGATTCTACAGAAAGTGTGTTTGGAAACTACGCCATCTAAAGGAATGTTCAGCTCTGTTAGTTCAATCCAATGATCACTAAGAATTGTCTGTGAATGCTTCCGTTTGGTTTTTAGATGAAGTTATTTCCTTTACTACAGTAGGCCTCAAAGCAGTCCAAATCTCCAATCGCAGATTCTACAAAAAGATTGTTTACAACCTGCTCTATCTATAGGAATGTTCAACTCTGTGAGTCGAATGCAATCATCACAAAGTAGTTTCTGAGAATGCTTCCATCTAGTTTTTATGTGAAGATTTTCCTTTTCCACCACAGGCCTCAAAGCCCTCCAAATGTCCACTTGCAGATTCTAGAATAAGAGGGTTTTAGAGCTGCTCTGTCAAGAGGAAAGTTCAATTCCTGAAGTGGAACACAAACATCACAAAGCAGTTTCTGAGAATGCTTTTGTTTAGTTTTTCTGTGAAGATGAACCCGTTTCCAACGAAATCTTCACAGAGGTCCACATATCCACTTGCAGAATCCAAAGAAAGAGAGTTTCAAAACTGCTCCATCAACAGGATTGTTCACCTCTGTGAGTTGAATGCAGTCATCACAGGAAACATTCTGAGAATGCTTCTGTCTAGGTTTGATGTGAAAATATACCCGTTTCGAAGGAAGGCCACAAAGTGGTCCAAATATCCACTTGCAGATTCCACAAAAAGAGTGTTTGAAAGCTGAACTATGACAGCAAGGTTCAACTCTGTGAGTTGAATGCAAACATCACAGAGAAGTTTCTCACAATGCTTCCGTGTAGTTCTGGGAAGTTTATCCCGTTTCCAACGAAATCCTCAGAGAAGTCCAAATATCCACTTGCAGATTCTACAGAAAGTGTGTTTGGAAACTGCTCCATCTAAAGGAATGTTCAGCTCTGTTAGTTCAATCCAATGATCACTAAGAATTGTCTGTGAATGCTTCCGTTTGGTTTTTAGATGAAGTTATTTCCTTTACTACAGTAGGCCTCAAAGCAGTCCAAATCTCCAATCGCAGATTCTACAAAAAGATTGTTTACAACCTGCTCTATCTATAGGAATGTTCAACTCTGTGAGTCGAATGCAATCATCACAAAGTAGTTTCTGAGAATGCTTCCATCTAGTTTTTATGTGAATATTTTCCTTTTCCACCACAGGCCTCAAAGCCCTCCAAAGGTCCACTTGCAGATTCTAGAAAAAGAGGGTTTCAGAGCTGCTCTGTCAAGAGGAAAGCTCAATTCTTGAAGTGGAACACAAACATCACAAAGCAGTTTCTGAGAATGCTCCTGTTTAGTTTTTCTGTGAAGATGAACCCGTTTCCAACGAAATCTTCACAGAGGTCCACATATCCACTTGCAGAATCCAAAGAAAGAGAGTTTCAAAACTGCTCCATCAGCAGGATTGTTCACCTCTGTGAGTTGAATGCAGTCATCACAGGAAACATTCTGAGAATGCTTCTGTCTAGGTTTGATGTGAAGATATACCCGTTTCGAAGGAAGGCCACAAAGTGGTCCAAGTATCCACTTGCAGATTCTACAAAAAGAGTGTTTGAAAGCTGAACTATGAAAGCAAGGTTCAACTCTGTGAGTTGAATGCAAACATCCAAAGAAGTTTCTCAGAATGCTTCCGTGTAGTTCTGGGAAGTTTATCCCGTTTCCAACGAAATCCTCAGAGAGGTCCAAATATCCACTTGCAGATTCTACAGAAAGTGGGTTTGGAAACTGCGCCATCTAAAGGAATGTTCAGCTCTGTTAGTTCAATGCAATGATCACTAAGAATTGTCTGTGAATGCTTCCGTTTGGTTTTTAGATGAAGTTATTTCCTTTACTACAGTAGGCCTCAAAGCAGTCCAAATCTCCAATCGCAGATTCTACAAAAAGATTGTTTACAACCTGCTCTATGTATAGGAATGTTCAACTCTGTGAGTCGAATGCAATCATCACAAAGTAGTTTCTGAGAATGCTTCCATCTAGTTTTTATGTGAAGATTTTCCTTTTCCACCACAGGCCTCAAAGCCCTCCAAATGTCCACTTGCAGATTCTAGAATAAGAGGGTTTTAGAGCTGCTCTGTCAAGAGGAAAGTTCAATTCCTGAAGTGGAACACAAACATCACAAAGCAGTTTCTGAGAATGCTTCTGTTTAGTTTTTCTGTGAAGATGAACCCGTTTCCAACGAAATCTTCACAGAGGTCCACATATCCACTTGCAGAATCCAAAGAAAGAGAGTTTCAAAACTGCTCCATCAGCAGGATTGTTCACCTCTGTGAGTTGAATGCAGTCATCACAGGAAACATTCTGAGAATGCTTCTGTCTAGGTTTGATGTGAAGATATACCCGTTTCGAAGGAAGGCCACAAAGTGGTCCAAATATCCACTTGCAGACTCTACAAAAAGAGTGTTTGAAAGCTGAACAATGAAAGCAAGGTTCAACTCTGTGAGTTGAATGCAACATCACAAAGAAGTTTCTGAGAATGCTTCCGTGTAGTTCTGGGAAGTTTATCCCGTTTCCAGCGAAATCCTCAGAGAGGTCCAAATATCCACTTGCAGATTCTACAGAAAGTGTGTTTGGAAACTGCGCCATCTAAAGGAATGTTCAGCTCTGTTAGTTCAATGCAATGATCACTAAGAATTGTCTGTGAATGCTTCCGTTTGGTTTTTAGATGAAGTTATTTCCTTTACTACAGTAGGCCTCAAAGCAGTCCAAATCTCCAATCGCAGATTCTACAAAAAGATTGTTTACAACCTGCTCTATCTATAGGAATGTTCAACTCTGTGAGTCGAATGCAATCATTCCAAAGTAGTTTCTGAGAATGCTTCCATCTAGTTTTTATGTGAAGATTATCCTTTTCAACCACAGGCCTCAAAGCCCTCCAAATGTCCACTTGCAGATTCTAGAATAAGAGGGCTTCAGAGCTGCTCTGTCAAGAGGAAAGTTCAATTCCTGAAGTGGAACAAAAACATCACAAAGCAGTTTCTGAGAATGCTTCTGTTTAGTTTTTCTGTGAAGATGAACCCGTTTCCAACGAAATCTTCACAGAGGTCCACATATCCACTTGCAGAATCCAAAGAAAGAGAGTTTCAAAACTGCTCCATCAGCAGGATTGTTCACCTCTGTGAGTTGAATGCAGTCATCACAGGAAACATCCTGAGAATGCTTCTGTCTAGGTTTGATGTGAAGATATGCCCGTTTCGAAGGAAGGCCACAAAGTGGTCCAAATATCCACTTGCAGATCCTAAAAAAGAGTGTTTGAAAGCTGAACTGTGAAAGCAAGGTTCAACTCTGTGAGTTGAATGCAAACATCACAAAGAAGATTCTCACAATGCTTCCCTGTAGTTCTGGGAAGCATATCCCGTTTCCAACGAAATCCTCAGAGAAGTCCAAATATCCACTTGCTGATTCTACAGAAAGTGGGTTTGGAAACTGCTCCATCTAAAGGAATGTTCAGCTCTGTTAGTTCAATCCAATGATCACTAAGAATTGTCTGTGAATGCTTCCGTTTGGTTTTTAGATGAAGTTATTTCCTTTACTACAGTAGGCCTCAAAGCAGTCCAAATCTCCAATCGCAGATTCTACAAAAAGATTGTTTACAACCTGCTCTATCTATAGGAATGTTCAACTCTGTGAGTCGAATGCAATCATCACAAAGTAGTTTCTGAGAATGCTTCCATCTAGTTTTTATGTGAAGAGTTTCCTTTTCCACCACAGTCCTCAAAGCCTCCAAATGTCCACTTGCAGATTCTAGAAAAAGAGGGTTTCAGAGCTGTTCTGTCAAGAGGAAAGTTCAATTCCTGAAGTGGAACACAAACATCACAAAGCAGTTTCTGAGAATGCTCCTGTTTAGTTTTTCTGTGAAGATGAACCCGTTTCCAACGAAATCTTCACAGAGGTCAACATATCCACTTGCAGAATCCAAAGAAAGAGAGTTTCAAAACTGCTCCATCAGCAGCATTGTTCACCTCTGTGAGTTGAATGCAGTCATCACAGGAAACATTCTGAGAATGCTTCTGTCTAGGTTTGATGTGAAGATATACCCGTTTCGAAGGAAGGCCACAAAGTGGTCCAAATATCCACTTGCAGATTCTACAAAAAGAGTGTTTGAAAGCTGAACAATGAAAGCAAGTTTCAACACTGTGAGTTGAATGCAAACATCACAAAGAAGTTTCTCAGAATGCTTCCGTGTAGTTCTGGGAAGTTTATCCCGTTTCCAACGAAATCCTCAGAGAGGTCCAAATATCCACTTGCAGATTCTACAGAAAGTGTGTTTGGAAACTGCTCCATCTAAAGGAATGTTCAGCTCTGTTAGTTCAATCCAATGATCACTAAGAATTGTCTGTGAATGCTTCCGTTTGGTTTTTAGATGAAGTTATTTCCTTTACTACAGTAGGCCTCAAAGCAGTCCAAATCTCCAATCGCAGATTCTACAAAAAGATTGTTTACAACCTGCTCTATCTATAGGAATGTTCAACTCTGTGAGTCGAATGCAATCATCACAAAGTAGTTTCTGAGAATGCTTCCATCTAGTTTTTATGTGAAGATTTTCCTTTTCCACCACAGGCCTCAAAGCCCTCCAAATGTCCACTTGCAGATTCTACAAAAAGAGGGTTTCAGAGCTGCTCTGTCAAGAGGAAAGTTCAATTCCTGAAGTGGAACACAAACATCACAAAGCAGTTTCTGAGAATGCTCCTGTTTAATTTTTCTGTGAAGATGAACCCGTTTCCAACGAAATCTTCACAGAGGTCCACATATCCACTTGCAGAATCCAAAGAAAGAGAGTTTCAAAACTGCTCCATCAGCAGGATTGTTCACCTCTGTGAGTTGAATGCAGTCATCACAGGAAACATTCTGAGAATGCTTCTGTCTAGGTTTGATGTGAAGATATACCCGTTTCGAAGGAAGGCCACAAAGTGGTCCAAATATCCACTTGCAGATTCTACAAAAAGAGTGTTTGAAAGCTGAACTATGAAAGCAAGGTTCAACTCTGTGAGTTGAATGCAAACATCCCAAAGAAGTTTCTGAGAATGCTTCCATGTAGTTCTGGGATGTTTATCCCGTTTCCAACGAAATCCTCAGAGAGGTCCAAATATCCACTTGCAGACTGTACAGAAAGTGTGTTTGGAAACTGCGCCATCTAAAGGAATGTTCAGCTCTCTTAGTTCAATCCAATGATCACAAAGAATTGTCTGTGAATGCCTCCGTTTGGTTTTTAGATGAAGTTATTTCCTTTACTACAGTAGGCCTCAAAGCAGTCCAAATCTCCAATCGCAGATTCTACAAAAAGATTGTTTACAACCTGCTCTATCGATAGGAATGTTCAACTCTGTGAGTCGAATGCAATCATCACAGAGTAGTTTCTGAGAATGCTTCCGTCTAGTTTTTATGTGAAGATTTTCCTTTTCCACCACAGGCCTCAAAGCCCTCCAAATGTCCACTTGCAGATTCTAGAAAAAGAGGGTTTCAGAGCTGCTCTGTCAAGAGGAAAGTTCAATTCTTGAAGTGGAACACAAACATCACAAAGCAGTTTCTGAGAATGCTCCTGTTTAGTTTTTCTGTGAAGATGAACCCGTTTCCAACGAAATCTTCACAGAGGTCCACATATCCACTTGCAGAATCCAAAGAAAGAGAGTTTCAAAACTGCTCCATCAGCAGGATTGTTCACCTCTGTGAGTTGAATGCAGTCATCACAGGAAACATTCTGAGAATGCTTCTGTCTAGGTTTGATGTGAAGATATACCCGTTTCGAAGGAAGGCCACAAAGTGGTCCAAATATCCACTTGCAGATTCTACAAAAAGAGTGTTTGAAAGCTGAACTATGAAAGCAAGGTTCAACTCTGTGAGTTGAATGCAAACATCACAAAGAAGTTTCTCAGAATGCTTCCGTGTAGTTCTGGGAAGTTTATCCCGTTTCCAACGAAATCCTCAGAGAGGTCCAAATATCCACTTGCAGATTCTACAGAAAGTGTGTTTGGAAACTACGCCATCTAAAGGAATGTTCAGCTCTGTTAGATCAATGCAATGATCACTAAGAATTGTCTGTGAATGCTTCCGTTTGGTTTTTAGATGAAGTTATTTCCTTTACTACAGTAGGCCTCAAAGCAGTCCAAATCTCCAATCGCAGATTCTACAAAAAGATTGTTTACAACCTGCTCTATCTATAGGAATGTTCAACTCTGTGAGTCGAATGCAATCATCACAAAGTAGTTTCTGAGAATGCTTCCATCTAGTTTTTATGTGAAGATTTTCCTTTTCCACCACAGGCCTCAAAGCCCTCCAAATGTCCACTTGCAGATTCTAGAAAAAGAGGGTTTCAGAGCTGCTCTGTCAAGAGGAAAGTTCAATTCTTGAAGTGGAACACAAACATCACAAAGTAGTTTCTGAGAATGCTTCTGTTTAGTTTTTCTGTGAAGATGAACGCGTTTCCAACGAAATCTTCACAGAGGTCCACATATCCACTTGCAGAATCCAAAGAAAGAGAGTTTCAAAACTGCTCCATCAGCAGGATTGTTCACCTCTGTGAGTTGAATGCAGTCATCACAGGAAACATTCTGAGAATGCTTCTGTCTAGGTTTGATGTGAAGATATACCCGTTTCGAAGGAAGGCCAGAAAGTGGTCCAAATATCCACTTGCAGATTCTACAAAAAGAGTGTTTGAAAGCTGAACTATGAAAGCAAGGTTCAACTCTGTGAGTTGAATGCAAACATCACAAAGAAGTTTCTCAGAATGCTTCCGTGTAGTTCTGGGAAGTTTATCCCGTTTCCAACGAAATCCTCAGAGAAGTCCAAATATCCACTTGCAGATTCTACAGAAAGTGGGTTTGGCAACTGCTCCATCTAAAGGAATGTTCAGCTCTGTTAGTTCAATCCAATGATCACTAAGAATTGTCTGTGAATGCTTCCGTTTGGTTTTTAGATGAAGTTATTTCCTTTACTACAGTAGGCCTCAAAGCAGTCCAAATCTCCAATCGCAGATTCTACAAAAAGATTGTTTACAACCTGCTCTATCTATAGGAATGTTCAACTCTGTGAGTCGAATGCAATCATCACAAAGTAGTTTCTGAGAATGCTTCCATCTAGTTTTTATGTGAAGATTTTCCTTTTCCACCACAGGCCTCAAAGCCCTCCAAATGTCCACTTGCAGATTCTAGAAAAAGAGGGTTTCAGAGCTGCTCTTTCAAGAGAAAAGTTCAATTCCTGAAGTGGAACACAAACATCACAAAGCAGTTTCTGAGAATGCTTCTGTTTAGTTTTTCTGTGAAGATGAACCCGTTTCCAACGAAATCTTCACAGAGGTCCACATATCCACTTGCAGAATCCAAAGAAAGAGAGTTTCAAAACTGCTCCATCAACAGGATTGTTCACCTCTGTGAGTTGAATGCAGTCATCACAGGAAACATTCTGAGAATGCTTCTGTCTAGGTTTGATGTGAAGATATACCCGTTTCGAAGGAAGGCCACAAAGTGGTCCAAATATCCACTTTCTGTAGATTCTACAAAAAGAGTGTTTGAAAGCTGAACTATGAAAGCAAGGTTCAACTCCTGTGAGTTGAATGCAAACATCACAAAGAAGTTTCTCAGAATGCTTCCGTGTAGTTCTGGGAAGTTTATCCCGTTTCCAACGAAATCCTCAGAGAAGTCCAAATATCCACTTGCAGATTCTGCAGAAAGTGTGTTTGGAAACTGCTCCATCTAAAGGAATGTTCAGCTCTGTTAGTTCAATCCAATGATCACTAAGAATTGTCTGTGAATGCTTCCGTTTGGTTTTTAGATGAAGTTATTTCCTTTACTACAGTAGGCCTCAAAGCAATCCAAATCTCCAATCGCAGATTCTACAAAAACATTGTTTACAACCTGCTCTATCTATAGGAATGTTCAACTCTGTGAGTCGAATGCAATCATCACAAAGTAGTTTCTGAGAATGCTTCCATCTAGTTTTTATGTGAAGATTTTCCTTTTCCACCACAGGCCTCAAAGCCCTCCAAATGTCCACTTGCAGATTCTAGAATAAGAGGGTTTTAGAGCTGCTCTGTCAAGAGGAAAGTTCAATTCCTGAAGTGGAACACAAACATCACAAAGCAGTTTCTGAGAATGCTTCTTTTTAGTTTTTCTGGGAAGATGAACCCGTTTCCAACCAAATCTTCACAGAGGTCCACATATCCACTTGCAGAATCCAAAGAAAGAGAGTTTCAAAACTGCTCCATCAACAGGATTGTTCACCTCTGTGAGTTGAATGCAGTCATCACAGGAAACATTCTGAGAATTCTTCTGTCTAGGTTTGATGTGAAGATATACCCGTTTCGAAGGAAGGCCAGAAAGTGGTCCAAATATCCACTTGCAGATTCTACAAAAAGAGTGTTTGAAAGCTGAACTATGAAAGCAAGGTTCAACTCTGTGAGTTGAATGCAAACATCACAAAGAAGTTTCTCAGAATGCTTCCGTGTAGTTCTGGGAAGTTTATCCCGTTTCCAACGAAATCCTCAGAGAAGTCCAAATATCCACTTGCAGATTCTACAGAAAGTGTGTTTGGAAACTGCTCCATCTAAAGGAATGTTCAGCTCTGTTAGTTCAATCCAATGATCACTAAGAATTGTCTGTGAATGCTTCCGTTTGGTTTTTAGATGAAGTTATTTCCTTTACTACAGTAGGCCTCAAAGCAGTCCAAATCTCCAATCGCAGATTGTACAAAAACATTGTTTACAACCTGCTCTATCTATAGGAATGTTCAACTCTGTGAGTCGAATGCAATCATCACAAAGTAGTTTCTGAGAATGCTTCCATCTAGTTTTTATGGGAAGATTTTCCTTTTCCACCACAGGCCTCAAAGCCCTCCAAATGTCCACTTGCAGATTCTAGAAAAAGAGGGTTTCAGAGCTGCTCTGTCAAGAGGAAAGTTCAATTCTTGAAGTGGAACACAAACATCACAAAGCAGTTTCTGAGAATGCTTCTGTTTAGCTTTTCTGTGAAGATGAACCCGTTTCCAACGAAATCTTCACAGAGGTCCACATATCCACTTGCAGAATCCAAAGAAAGAGAGTTTCAAAACTGCTCCATCAACAGGACTGTTCACCTCTGTGAGTTGAATGCAGTCATCACAGGAAACATTCTGAGAATGCTTCTGTCTAGGTTTGATGTGAAGATATACTCGTTTCGAAGGAAGGCCACAAAGTGGTCCAAATATCCACTTGCAGATTCCACAAAATGAGTGTTTGAAAGCTGAACTATGAAAGCAAGGTTCAACTCTGTGAGTTGAATGCAAACATCACAGAGAAGTTTCTCACAATGCTTCCGTGTAGTTCTGGGAAGTTTATCCCGTTTCCAACGAAATCCTCAGAGAAGTCCAAATATCCACTTGCAGATTCTACAGAAAGTGTGTTTGGAAACTGCTCCATCTAAAGGAATGTTCAGCTCTGTTAGTTCAATCCAATGATCACTAAGAATTGTCTGTGAATGCTTCCGTTTGGTTTTTAGATGAAGTTATTTCCTTTACTACAGTAGGCCTCAAAGCAGTCCAAATCTCCAATCGCAGATTGTACAAAAACATTGTTTACAACCTGCTCTATCTATAGGAATGTTCAACTCTGTGAGTCGAATGCAATCATCACAAAGTAGTTTCTGAGAATGCTTCCATCTAGTTTTTATGGGAAGATTTTCCTTTTCCACCACAGGCCTCAAAGCCCTCCTAATGTCCACTTGCAGATTCTAGAAAAAGAGGGTTTCAGAGCTGCTCTGTCAAGAGGAAAGTTCAATTCTTGAAGTGGAACACAAACATCACAAAGCAGTTTCTGAGAATGCTCCTGTTTAGTTTTTCTGTGAAGATGAACACGTTTCCAACGAAATCTTCACAGAGGTCCACATATCCACTTGCAGAATCCAAAGAAAGAGAGTTTCAAAACTGCTCCATCAGCAGGATTGTTCACCTCTGTGAGTTGAATGCAGTCATCACAGGAAACATTCTGAGAATGCTTCTGTCTAGGTTTGATGTGAAGATATACCCGTTTCGAAGGAAGGCCACAAAGTGGTCCAAATATCCACTTGCAGATTCTACAAAAAGAGTGTTTGAAAGCTGAACTATGAAAGCAAGGTTCAACTCTGTGAGTTGAATGCCAACATCACAAAGAAGTTTCTCAGCATGCTTCCGTGTAGTTCTGGGAAGTTTCTCCCGTTTCCAACGATATCCTCAGAGAGGTCCAAATATCCACTTGCAGATTCTACAGAAAGTGTGTTTGGAAACTGCTCCATCTAAAGGAATGTGCAGCTCTGTTAGTTCAATCCAATGATCACTAAGAATTGTCTGTGAATGCTTCCGTTTGGTTTTTAGATGAAGTTATTTCCTTTACTACAGTAGGCCTCAAAGCAGTCCAAATCTCCAATCGCAGATTCTACAAAAAGATTGTTTACAACCTGCTCTATCTATAGGAATGTTCAACTCTGTGAGTCGAATGCAATCATCACAAAGTAGTTTCTGAGAATGCTTCCATCTAGTTTTTATGTGAAGATTTTCCTTTTCCACCACAGGCCTCAAAGCCCTCCAAATGTCCACTTGCAGATTCTAGAAAAAGAGGGTTTCAGAGCTGCTCTGTCAAGAGGAAAGTTCAATTCTTGAAGTGGAACACAAACATCACAAAGCAGTTTCTGAGAATGCTTCTGTTTAGTTTTTCTGTGAAGATGAACCCGTTTCCAACGAAATCTTCACATAGGTCCACATATCAACTTGCAGAATCCAAAGAAAGAGAGTTTCAAAACTGCTCCATCAACAGGATTGTTCACCTCTGTGAGTTGAATGCAGTCATCACAGGAAACATTCTGAGAATGCTTCTGTCTAGGGTTGATGTGAAGATATACCCGTTTCGAAGGAAGGCCACAAATTGGTCCAAATATCCACTTGCAGATTCTACAAAAAGAGTGTTTGAAAGCTGAACTATGAAAGCAAGGTTCAACTCTGTGAGTTGAATGCAAACATCACAAAGAAGTTTCTCACAATGCTTCCGTGTAGTTCTGGGAAGTTTATCCCGTTTCCAACGATATCCTCAGAGAAGTCCAAATATCCACTTGCAGATTCTACAGAAAGTGTGTTTGGAAACTGCTCCATCTAAAGGAATGTTCAGCTCTGTTAGTTCAATCCAATGATCACTAAGAATTGTCTGTGAATGCTTCCGTTTGGTTTTTAGATGAAGTTATTTCCTTTACTACAGTAGGCCTCAAAGCAGTCCAAATCTCCAATCGCAGATTCTACAAAAAGATTGTTTACAACCTGCTCTATCTATAGGAATGTTCAACTCTGTGAGTCGAATGCAATCATCACAAAGTAGTTTCTGAGAATGCTTCCATCTAGTTTTTATGTGAAGATTTTCCTTTTCCACCACAGGCCTCAAAGCCCTCCAAATGTCCACTTGCAGATTCTAGAATAAGAGGGTTGCAGAGCTGCTCTGTCAAGAGGAAAGTTCAATTCCTGAAGTGGAACACAAACATCACAAAGCAGTTTCTGAGAATGCTTCTGTTTAGTTTTTCTGTGAAGATGAACCCGTTTCCAACGAAATCTTCACAGAGGTCCACATATCAACTTGCAGAATCCAAAGAAAGAGAGTTTCAAAACTGCTCCATCAACAGGATTGTTCACCTCTGTGAGTTGAATGCAGTCATCACAGGAAACATTCTGAGAATGCTTCTGTCTAGGTTTGATGTGAAGATATACCCGTTTCGAAGGAAGGCCACAAAGTGGTCCAAATATCCAATTGCAGATTCTACAAAAAGAGTGTTTGAAAGCTGAACTATGAAAGCAAGGTTCAACTCTGTGAGTTGAATGCAAACATCACAAAGAATTTTCTCAGAATGCTTCCGTGTAGTTCTGGGAAGTTTATCCCGTTTCCAACGAAATCCTCAGAGAGGTCCAAATATCCACTTGCAGATTCTACAGAAAGTGTGTTTGGAAACTGCTCCATCTAAAGGAATGTTCAGCTCTGTTAGTACAATCCAATGATCACTGAGAATTGTCTGTGAATGCTTCCGTTTGGTTTTTAGATGAAGTTATTTCCTTTACTACAGTAGGCCTCAAAGCAGTCCAAATCTCCAATCGCAGATTCTACAAAAAGATTGTTTACAACCTGCTCTATCTATAGGAATGTTCAACTCTGTGAGTCGAATGCAATCATCACAAAGTAGTTTCTGAGAATGCTTCCATCTAGTTTTTATGTGAAGATTTTCCTTTTCCACCACAGGCCTCAAAGCCCTCCAAATGTCCACTTGCAGATTCTAGAATAAGAGGGTTTCAGAGCTGCTCTGTCAAGAGGAAAGTTCAATTCCTGAAGTGGAACACAAACATCACAAAGCAGTTTCTGAGAATGCTTCTGTTTAGTTTTTCTGTGAAGATGAACCCGTTTCCAACGAAATCTTCACAGAGGTCCACATATCCACTTGCAGAATCCAAAGAAGGAGAGTTTCAAAACTGCTCCATCAGCAGGATTGTTCACCTCTGTGAGTTGAATGCAGTCATCACAGGAAACATTCTGGGAATGCTTCTGTCTAGGTTTGATGTGAAGATATACCCCTTTCGAAGGAAGGCCACAAAGTGGTCCAAATATCCACTTGCAGATTCTACAAAAAGAGTGTTTGAAAGCTTAACTATGAAAGCAAGGTTCAACTCTGTGAGTTGAATGCAAACATCACAAAGAAGTTTCTCAGAATACTTCCGTGTAGTTCTGGGAAGTTTATCCCGTTTCCAACGAAATCCTCAGAGAGGTCCAAATATCCACTTGCAGATTCTACAGAAAGTGGGTTTGGAAACTGCTCCATCTAAAGGAATGTTCAGCTCTGTTAGTTCAATCCAATGATCACTAAGAATTGTCTGTGAATGCTTCCGTTTGGTTTTTAGATGAAGTAATTTCCTTTACTACAGTAGGCCTCAAAGCAGTCCAAATCTCCAATCGCAGATTCTACAAAAAGATTGTTTACAACCTGCTCTATCTATAGGAATGTTCAACTCTGTGAGTCGAATGCAATCATCACAAAGAAGTTTCTGAGAATGCTTCCATCTAGTTTTTATGTGAAGATTTTCCTTTTCCACCACAGGCCTAAAAGCCCTCCAAATGTCCACTTGCAGATTCTAGAAAAAGAGGGTTTCAGAGCTGCTCTGTCAAGAGGAAAGTTCAATTCCTGAAGTGGAACACAAACATCACAAAGCAGTTTCTGGGAATGCTCCTGTTTAGTTTTTCTGTGAAGATGAACCCGTTTCCAACGAAATCTTCACAGAGGTCCACATATCCACTTGCAGAATCCAAAGAAAGAGAGTTTCAAAACTGCTCCATCAGCAGGATTGTTCACCTCTGTGAGTTGAATGCAGTCATCACAGGAAACATTCTGAGAATGCTTCTGTCTAGGTTTGATGTGAAGATATACCCGTTTCGAAGGAAGGCCAGAAAGTGGTCCAAATATCCACTTGCAGATTCTACAAAAAGAGTGTTTGAAAGCTGAACTATGAAAGCAAGGTTCAACTCTGTGAGTTGAATGCAAACATCACAAAGAAGTTTCTCAGAATGCTTCCCTGTAGTTCTGGGAAGTTTATCCCGTTTCCAACGAAATCCTCAGAGAAGTCCAAATATCCACTTGCAGATTCTACAGAAAGTGGGTTTGGAAACTGCGCCATCTAAAGGAATGTTCAGCTCTGTTAGTTCAATCCAATGATCACTAAGAATTGTCTGTGAATGCTTTCCGTTTGGTTTTTAGATGAAGTTATTTCCTTTACTACAGTAGGCCTCAAAGCAGTCCAAATCTCCAATCGCAGATTCTACAAAAAGATTGTTTACAACCTGCTCTATCTATAGGAATGTTCAACTCTGTGAGTCGAATGCAATCATCACAAAGTAGTTTCTGAGAATGCTTCCATCTAGTTTTTATGTGAAGATTTTCCTTTTCCACCACAGGCCTCAAAGCCCTCCCAAATGTCCACTTGCAGATTCTAGAATAAGAGGGTTTCAGAGCTGCTCTGTCAAGAGGAAAGTTCAATTCCTGAAGTGGAACACAAACATCACAAAGCAGTTTCTGAGAATGCTTCTGTTTAGTTTTTCTGTGAAAATGAACCCGTTTCCAACGAAATCTTCACAGAGGTCCACATATCCACTTGCAGAATCCAAAGAAAGAGAGATTCAAAAGTGCTCCATCAACAGGATTGTTCACCTCTGTGAGTTGAATGCAGTCATCACATGAAACATTCTGAGAATGCTTCTGTCTAGGTTTGATGTGAAGATATACCCGTTTCGAAGGAAGGCCACAAAGTGGTCCAAATATCCACTTGCAGATTCTACAAAAAGAGTATTTGAAAGCTGAACTATGAAAGCAAGGTTCAACTCTGTGAGTTGAATGCAAACATCACAAAGAAGTTTCTCAGAATGCTTCCGTGTAGTTCTGGGAAGTTTATCCCGTTTCCAACGAAATCCTCAGAGAGGTCCAAATATCCACTTGCAGATTCTACAGAAAGTGTGTTTGGAAACTGCGCCATCTAAAGGAATGTTCAGCTCTGTTAGTTCAATGCCATGATCACTAAGAATTGTCTGTGAATGCTTCCGTTTGGTTTTTAGATGAAGTTATTTCCTTTACTACAGTAGGCCTCAAAGCAGTCCAAATCTCCAATCGCAGATTCTACAAAAAGATTGTTTACAACCTGCTCTATGTATAGGAATGTTCAACTCTGTGAGTCGAATGCAATCATCACAAAGTAGTTTCTGAGAATGCTTCCATCTAGTTTTTATGTGAAGATTTTCCTTTTCCACCACAGGCCTCAAAGCCCTCCAAATGTCCACTTGCAGATTCTAGAAAAAGAGGGTTTCAGAGCTGCTCTGTCAAGAGGAAAGTTCAATTCTTGAAGTGGAACACAAACATCACAAAGTAGTTTCTGAGAATGCTTCTGTTTAGTTTTTCTGTGAAGATGAACCCGTTTCCAACGAAATCTTCACAGAGGTCCACATATCCACTTGCAGAATCCAAAGAAAGAGAGTTTCAAAACTGCTCCATCAGCAGGATTGTTCACCTCTGTGAGTTGAATGCAGTCATCACAGGAAACATTCTGAGAATGCTTCTGTCTAGGTTTGATGTGAAGATATACCCGTTTCGAAGGAAGGCCACAAAGTGGTCCAAATATCCACTTGCAGATTCTACAAAAGGAGTGTTTGAAAGCTGAACTATGAAAGCAAGGTTCAACTCTATGAGTTGAATGCAAACATCACAAAGAAGTTTCTCACAATGCTTCCGTGTAGTTCTGGGAAGTTTATCCCCTTTATAACGAAATCCTCAGAGAAGTCCAAATATCCACTTGCAGATTCTACAGAAAGTGGGTTTGGAAACTGCTCCATCTAAAGGAATGTTCAGCTCTGTTAGTTCAATCCAATGATCACTAAGAATTGTCTGTGAATGCTTCCGTTTGGTTTTTAGATGAAGTTATTTCCTTTACTACAGTAGGCCTCAAAGCAGTCCAAATCTCCAATCGCAGATTCTACAAAAAGATTGTTTACAACCTGCTCTATGTATAGGAATGTTCAACTCTGTGAGTCGAATGCAATCATCACAAAGTAGTTTCTGAGAATGCTTCCATCTAGTTTTTATGTGAAGATTTTCCTTTTCCACCACAGGCCTCAAAGCCCTCCAAATGTCCACTTGCAGATTCTAGAAAAAGAGGGTTTCAGAGCTGCTCTGTCAAGAGGAAAGTTCAATTCTTGAAGTGGAACACAAACATCACAAAGTAGTTTCTGAGAATGCTTCTGTTTAGTTTTTCTGTGAAGATGAACCCGTTTCCAACGAAATGTTCTCAGAGGTCCACATATCAACTTGCAGAATCCAAAGAAAGAGAGTTTCAAAAGTGCTCCATCAACAGGATTGTTCACCTCTGTGAGTTGAATGCAGTCATCACAGGAAACATTCTGAGAATGCTTCTGTCTAGGTTTGATGTGAAGATATACCCGTTTCGAAGGAAGGCCACAAAGTGGTCCAAATATCCACTTGCAGATTCTACAAAAAGAGTGTTTGAAAGCTGAACTATGAAAGCAAGGTTCAACTCTGTGAGTTGAATGCAAACATCACAAAGAAGTTTCTCAGAATGCTTCCGTGTAGTTCTGGGAAGTTTATCCCGTTTCCAACGAAATCCTCAGAGAAGTCCAAATATCCACTTGCAGATTCTACAGAAAGTGGGTTTGGAAACTGCTCCATCTAAAGGAATGTTCAGCTCTGTTAGTTCAATCCAATGATCACTAAGAATTGTCTGTGAATGCTTCCGTTTGGTTTTTAGATGAAGTAATTTCCTTTACTACAGTAGGCCTCAAAGCAGTCCAAATCTCCAATCGCAGATTCTACAAAAAGATTGTTTACAACCTGCTCTATCTATAGGAATGTTCAACTCTGTGAGTCGAATGCAATCATCACAAAGAAGTTTCTGAGAATGCTTCCATCTAGTTTTTATGTGAAGATTTTCCTTTTCCACCACAGGCCTCAAAGCCCTCCAAATGTCCACTTGCAGATTCTAGAATAAGAGGGTTTCAGAGCTGCTCTGTCAAGAGGAAAGTTCAATTCTTGAAGTGGAACACAAACATCACAAAGCAGTTTCTGAGAATGCTTCTGTTTATTTTTTCTGTGAAGATGAACCCGTTTCCAACGAAATCTTCACAGAGGTCCACATATCCACTTGCAGAATCCAAAGAAAGAGAGTTTCAAAACTGCTCCATCAACAGGATTGTTCACCTCTGTGAGTTGAATGCAGTCATCACAGGAAACATTCTGAGAATGCTTCTGTCTAGGTTTGATGTGAAGATATACCCGTTTCGAAGGAAGGCCACAAAGTGGTCCAAATATCCACTTGCAGATTCCACAAAAAGAGTGTTTGAAAGCTGAACTATGAAAGCAAGGTTCAACTCTGTGAGTTGAATGCAAACATCACAAAGAAGTTTCTCACAATGCTTCCGTGTAGTTCTGGGAAGTTTATCCCGTTTCCAACGAAATCCTCAGAGAAGTCCAAATATCCAGTTGCAGATTCTACAGAAAGTGTGTTTGGAAACTGCTCCATCTAAAGGAATGTTCAGCTCTGTTAGTTCAATCCAATGATCACTAAGAATTGTCTGTGAATGCTTCCGTTTGGTTTTTAGATGAAGTTATTTCCTTTACTACAGTAGGCCTCAAAGCAGTCCAAATCTCCAATCGCAGATTCTACAAAAAGATTGTTTACAACCTGCTCTATCTATAGGAATGTTCAACCCTGTGAGTCGAATGCAATCATCACAAAGTAGTTTCTGAGAATGCTTCCATCTAGTTTTTATGTGAAGATTTTCCTTTTCCACCACAGGCCTCAAAGCCCTCCAAATGTCCACTTGCAGATTCTTGAATAAGAGGATTTCAGAGCTGCTCTGTCAAGAGGAAAGTTCAATTCCTGAAGTGGAACACAAACATCACAAAGCAGTTTCTGAGAATGTTTCTGTTTAGTTTTTCTGTGAAGATGAACCCGTTTCCAACGAAATCTTCACAGAGGTCCACATATCCACTTGCAGAATCCAAAGAAAGAGAGTTTCAAAACTGCTCCATCAGCAGGATTGTTCACCTCTGTGAGTTGAATGCAGTCATCACAGGAAACATTCTGAGAATGCTTCTGTCTAGGTTTGATGTGAAGATATACCCTTTTCGAAGGAAGGCCACAAAGTGGTCCAAATATCCACTTGCAGATTCTACAAAAAGAGTGTTTGAAAGCTGAACTATGAAAGCAAGGTTCAACTCTGTGAGTTGAATGCAAACATCACAAAGAAGTTTCTCAGAATGCTTCCGTGTAGTTCTGGGAAGTTTATCCCGTTTCCAACGAAATCCTCAGAGAGGTCCAAATATCCACTTGCAGATTCTACAGAAAGTGTGTTTGGAAACTACGCCATCTAAAGGAATGTTCAGCTCTGTTAGATCAATGCAATGATCACTAAGAATTGTCTGTGAATGCTTCCGTTTGGTTTTTAGATGAAGTTATTTCCTTTACTACAGTAGGCCTCAAAGCAGTCCAAATCTCCAATCGCAGATTCTACAAAAAGATTGTTTACAACCTGCTCTATCTATAGGAATGTTCAACTCTGTGAGTCGAATGCAATCATCACAAAGTAGTTTCTGAGAATGCTTCCATCTAGTTTTTATGTGAAGATTTTCCTTTTGCACCACAGGCCTCAAAGCCCTCCAAATGTCCACTTGCAGATTCTAGAAAAAGAGGGTATCAGAGCTGCTCTGTCAAGAGGAAAGTTCAATTCTTGATGTGGAACACAAACATCACAAAGCAGTTTCTGAGAATGCTCCTGTTTAGTTTTTATGTGAAGATGAACCCGTTTCCAACGAAATCTTCAAACAGGTCCACACATCCATTTGCAGATTCCAAAGAAAGAGAGTTTCAAAACTGCTCCATCAACAGGATTGTTCACCTCTGTGAGTTGAATGCAGTCATCACAGGAGACATTCTGAGAATGCTTCTGTCTAGGTTTGATGTGAAGATATACCCGTTTCGAAGGAAGGCCACAAAGTGGTCCAAATATCCACTTGCAGACTCTACAAAAAGAGTGTTTGAAAGCTGAACAATGAAAGCAAGGTTCAACTCTGTGAGTTGAATGCAACATCACAAAGAAGTTTCTGAGAATGCTTCCGTGTAGTTCTGGGAAGTTTATCCCGTTTCCAACGAAATCCTCAGAGAAGTCCAAATATCTACTTGCAGATTCCACAGAAAGTGGGTTTGGAAACTGCTCCATCTAAAGGAATGTTCAGCTCTGTTAGTTCAATCCAATGATCACTAAGAATTGTCTGTGAATGCTTCCGTTTGGTTTTTAGATGAAGTAATTTCCTTTACTACATTAGGCCTCAAAGCAGTCCAAATCTCCAATCGCAGATTCTACAAAAAGATTGTTTACAACCTGCTCTATCTATAGGAATGTTCAACTCTGTGAGTCGAATGCAATCATCACAAAGTAGTTTCTGAGAATGCTTCCATCTAGTTTTTATGTGAAGATTTTCCTTTTCCACCACAGGCCTCAAAGCCCTCCAAATGTCCACTTGCAGATTCTAGAAAAAGAGGGTTTCAGAGCTGCTCTGTCAAGAGGAAAGTTCAATTCTTGAAGTGGAACACAAACATCACAAAGCAGTTTCTGAGAATGCTTCTGTTTAGTTTTTCTGTGAAGATGAACCCGTTTCCAACGAAATCTTCACAGAGGTCCACATATCCACTTGCAGAATCCAAAGAAAGAGAGTTTCAAAACTGCTCCATCAGCAGGATTGTTCACCTCTGTGAGTTGAATGCAGTCATCACAGGAAACATTCTGAGAATGCTTCTGTCTAGGTTTGATGTGAAGATATACCCGTTTCGAAGGAAGGCCACAAAGTGGTCCAAATATCCTCTTGCAGATTCTACAAAAAGAGTGTTTGAAAGCTGAACTATGAAAGCAAGGTTCAAATCTGTGAGTTGAATGCAAACATCACAAAGAAGTTTCTCAGAAGGCTTCCGTGTAGTTCTGGGAAGTTTATCCCGTTTCCAACGAAATCCTCAGAGAAGTCCAAATATCCACTTGCAGATTCTACAGAAAGTGTGTATGGAAACTGCTCCATCTAAAGGAATGTTCAGCTCTGTTAGTTCAATCCAATGATCACTAAGAATTGTCTGTGAATGCTTCCGTTTGGTTTTTAGATGAAGTTATTTCCTTTACTACAGTAGGCCTCAAAGCAGTCCAAATCTCCAATCGCAGATTCTACAAAAAGATTGTTTACAACCTGCTCTATCTATAGGAATGTTCAACTCTGTGAGTCGAATGCAATCATCACAAAGTAGTTTCTGAGAACGCTTCCATCTAGTTTTTATGTGAAGATTTTCCTTTTCCACCACAGGCCTCAAAGCCCTCCAAATGTCCACTTGCAGATTCTAGAAAAAGAGGGTTTCAGAGCTGCTCTGTCAAGAGGAAAGTTCAATTCTTGAAGTGGAACACAAACATCACAAAGTAGTTTCTGAGAATGCTTCTGTTTAGTTTTTCTGTGAAGATGAACCCGTTTCCAACGAAATCTTCACAGAGGTCCTCATATCAACTTGCAGAATCCAAAGAAAGAGAGTTTCAAAAGTGCTCCATCAACAGGATTGTTCACCTCTGTGAGTTGAATGCAGTCATCACAGGAAACATTCTGAGAATGCTTCTGTCTAGGTTTGATGTGAAGATATACCCGTTTCGAAGGAAGGCCACAAAGTGGTCCAAATATCCACTTGCAGATTCTACAAAAAGAGTGTTTGAAAGCTGAACTATGAAAGCAAGGTTCAACTCTGTGAGTTGAATGCAAACATCACAAAGAAGTTTCTCAGAATGCTTCCGTGTAGTTCTGGGAAGTTTATCCCATTTCCAACGAAATCCTCAGAGAGGTCCAAATATCCACTTGCAGATTCTACAGAAAGTGTGTTTGGAAACTGCGCCATCTAAAGGAATGTTCAGCTCTGTTAGTTCAATCCAATGATCACTAAGAATTGTCTGTGAATGCTTCCGTTTGGTTTTTAGATGAAGTTATTTCCTTTACTACAGTAGGCCTCAAAGCAGTCCAAATCTCCAATCGCAGATTCTACAAAAAGATTGTTTACAACCTGCTCTATCTGTAGGAATGTTCAACTCTGTGAGTCGAATGCAATCATCACAAAGTAGTTTCTGCGAATGCTTCCATCTAGTTTTTATGTGAAGATTTTCCTTTTCCACCACAGGCCTCAAAGCCCTCCAAATGTCCACTTGCAGATTCTAGAAAAAGAGGGTTTCAGAGCTGCTCTGTCAAGAGGAAAGTTCAATTCTTGAAGTGGAACACAAACATCACAAAGCAGTTTCTGAGAATGCTCCTGTTTAGTTTTTCTGTGAAGATGAACCCGTTTCCAACGAAATCTTCACAGAGGTCCACATATCCACTTGCAGAATCCAAAGAAAGAGAGTTTCAAAACTGCTCCATCAGCAGGATTTTTCACCTCTGTGAGTTGAATGCAGTCATCACAGGAAACATTCTGAGAATGCTTCTGTCTAGGTTTGATGTGAAGATATACCCGTTTCGAAGGAAGGCCAGAAAGTGGTCCAAATATCCACTTGCAGATTCTACAAAAAGAGTGTTTGAAAGCTGAACTATGAAAGCAAGGTTCAACTCTGTGAGTTGAATGCAAACATCACAAAGAAGTTTCTCAGAATGCTTCCGTGTAGTTCTGGGAAGTTTATCCCGTTTCCAACGAAATCCTCAGAGAGGTCCAAATATCCACTTGCAGATTCTACAGAAAGTGTGTTTGGAAACTGCTCCATCTAAACGAATGTTCAGCTCTGTTAGTTCAATCCAATGATCACTAAGAATTGTCTGTGAATGCTTCCGTTTGGTTTTTAGATGAAGTTATTTCCTTTACTACAGTAGGCCTCAAAGCAGTCCAAATCTCCAATCGCAGATTCTTCAAAAAGATTGTTTACAACCTGCTCTATCTATAGGAATGTTCAACTCTGTGAGTCGAATGCAATCATCACAAAGTAGTTTCTGAGAATGCTTCCATCTAGTTTTTATGTGAAGATTTTCCTTTTCCACCACAGGCCTCAAAGCCCTCCAAATGTCCACTTGCAGATTCTAGAAAAAGAGGGTTTCAGAGCTGCTCTGTCAAGATGAAAGTTCAATTCTTGAAGTGGAACACAAACATCACAAAGTAGTTTCTGAGAATGTTTCTGTTTAGTTTTTCTGTGAAGATGAACCCGTTTCCAACGAAATCTTCACAGAGGTCCACATATCAACTTGCAGAATCCAAAGAAAGAGAGTTTCAAAAGTGCTCCATCAGCAGGATTGTTCACCTCTGTGAGTTGAATGCAGTCATCACAGGAAACATTCTGAGAATGCTTCTGTCTAGGTTTGATGTGAAGATATACCCGTTTCGAAGGAAGGCCACAAAGTGGTCCAAATATCCACTTGCAGATTCTACAAAAAGAGTGTTTGAAAGCTGAACTATGAAAGCAAGGTTCAACTCTGTGAGTTGAATGCAAACATCACAAAGAAGTTTCTCAGAATGCTTCCGTGTAGTTCTGGGAAGTTTAGCCCGTTTCCAACGAAATCCTCAGAGAGGTCCAAATATCCACTTGCAGATTCTACAGAAAGTGTGTTTGGAAACTGCTCCATCTAAAGGAATGTTCAGCTCTGTTAGTTCAATGCAATGATCACTAAGAATTCTCTGTGAATGCTTCCGTTTGGTTTTTAGATGAAGTTATTTCCTTTACTACAGTAGGCCTCAAAGCAGTCCAAATCTCCAATCGCAGATTCTACAAAAAGATTGTTTACAACCTGCTCTATCTATAGGAATGTTCAACTCTGTGAGTCGAATGCAATCATCACAAAGTAGTTTCTGAGAATGCTTCCATCTAGTTTTTATGTGAAGATTTTCCTTTTCCACCACAGGCCTCAGAGCCCTCCAAATGTCCACTTGCAGATTCTAGAAAAAGAGGGTTTCAGAGCTGCTCTGTCAAGAGGAAAGTTCAATTCTTTAAGTGGAACACAAACATCACAAAGCAGTTTCTGAGAATGCTCCTGTTTAGTTTTTCCGCGAAGATGAACCCGTTTCCAACGAAATCTTCACAGAGGTCCACATATCCACTTGCAGAATCCAAAGAAAGAGAGTTTCAAAACTGCTCCATCAGCAGGATTGTTCACCTCTGTGAGTTGAATGCAGTCATCACAGGAAACATTCTGAGAATGCTTCTGTCTAGGTTTGATGTGAAGATATACCCGTTTCGAAGGAAGGCCACAAAGTGGTCCAAATATCCACTTGCAGTTTCTACAAAAAGAGTGTTTGAAAGCTGAACTATGAAAGCAAGGTTCAACTCTGTGAGTTGAATGCAAACATAACAAAGAATTTTCTCACAATGCTTCCGTGTAGTTCTGGGAAGTTTATCCCGTTTCCAACGAAATCCTCAGAGAGGTCCAAATATCCAGTTGCAGATTCTACAGAAAGTGTGTTTGGAAGCTACGCCATCTAAAGGAATGTTCAGCTCTGTTAGTTCAATCCAATGATCACTAAGAATTGTCTGTGAATGCTTCCGTTTGGTTTTTAGATGAATTTATTTCCTTTACTACAGTAGGCCTCAAAGCAGTCCAAATCTCCAATCGCAGATTCTACAAAAAGATTGTTTACAACCTGCTCTATCTATAGGAATGTTCAACTCTGTGAGTCGAATGCAATCATCACAAAGTAGTTTCTGAGAATGCTTCCATCTAGTTTTTATGTGAAGATTTTCCTTTTCCACCACAGGCCTCAAAGCCCTCCAAATGTCCACTTGCAGATTCTAGAAAAAGAGGGTTTCAGAGCTGCTCTGTCAAGAGGAAAGTTCAATTCCTGAAGTGGAACACAAACATCACAAAGCAGTTTCTGAGAATGCTCCTGTTTAGTTTTTCTGTGAAGATGAAACCGTTTCCAACGAAATCTTCACAGAGGTCCACATATCCACTTGCAGAATCCAAAGAAAGAGAGTTTCAAAACTGCTCCATCAGCAGGATTGTTCACCTCTGTGAGTTGAATGCAGTCATCACAGGAAACATTCTGAGAATGCTTCCATCTAGTTTTTATGTGAAGATTTTCCTTTTCCACCACAGGCCTCAAAGCCCTCCAAATATCCACTTGCAGATTCTACAAAAAGAGTGTTTGAAAGCTGAACTATGAAAGCAAGGTTCAACTCTGTGAGTTGAATGCAAACATCACAAAGAAGTTTCTCACAATGCTTCCGTGTAGTTCTGGGAAGTTTATCCCGTTTCCAACGAAATCCTCAGAGAAGTCCAAATATCCACTTGCAGATTCTACAGAAAGTGGGTTTGGCAACTGCTCCATCTAAAGGAATGTTCAGCTCTGTTAGTTCAATCCAATGATCACTAAGAATTGTCTGTGAATGCTTCCGTTTGGTTTTTAGATGAAGTTATTTCCTTTACTACAGTAGGCCTCAAAGCAATCCAAATCTCCAATCGCAGATTCTACAAAAACATTGTTTACAACCTGCTCTATCTATAGGAATGTTCAACTCTGTGAGTCGAATGCAATCATCACAAAGTAGTTTCTGAGAATGCTTCCATGTAGTTTTTATGTGAAGATTTTCCTTTTCCACCACAGGCCTCAAAGCCCTCCAAATGTCCACTTGCAGATTCTAGAAAAAGAGGGTTTCAGAGCTGCTCTGTCAAGAGGAAAGTTCAATTCTTGAAGTGGAACACAAACATCACAAAGCAGTTTCTGAGAATGCTCCTGTTTAGTTTTTCTGTGAAGATGAACCCGTTTCCAACGAAATCTTCACAGAGGTCCACATATCCACTTGCAGAATCCAAAGAAAGAGAGTTTCAAAACTGCTCCATCAGCAGGATTGTTCACCTCTGTGAGTTGAATGCAGTCATCACAGGAAACATTCTGAGAATGCTTCTGTCTAGGTTTGATGTGAAGATATACCCGTTTCGAAGGAAGGCCACAAAGTGGTCCAAATATCCACTTGCAGATTCTACAAAAAGAGTGTTTGAAAGCTGAACTATGAAAGCAAGGTTCAACTCTGTGAGTTGAATGCAAACATCACAAAGAAGTTTCTCACAATGCTTCCGTGTAGTTCTGGGAAGTTTATCCCGTTTCCAACGAAATCCTCAGAGAGGTCCAAATATCCACTTGCAGATTCTACAGAAAGTGTGTTTGGAAACTGCTCCATCTAAAGGAATGTTCAGCTCTGTTAGTTCAATCCAATGATCACTAAGAATTGTCTGTGAATGCTTCCGTTTGGATTTTAGATGAAGTTATTTCCTTTAGTACCGTAGGCCTCAATGCAGTCCAAATCAGCAATCACAGATTCTACAAAAAGAGTGTTTACAAACTGCTCTATCCATTGGAAGGTTCAAGTCTGTGAGTCTAATGCAATCATCCCAAAGTAGTTTCTGAGAATGCTTCTATCTAGGTTTTATGTGAAGATATTTCCTTTTCCACCACAGGCCTCAAAGCCCTCCAAATGTCCACTTGCGGATTCTAGACAAAGAGGGTTTCAGAGCTGCTCTGTCAAGAGGAAAGTTCAATTCTTGAAGTGGAACACAAACATCACAAAGCAGTTTCTGAGAATGCTCCTGTTTAGTTTTTCTGTGAAGATGAACCCGTTTCCAACGAAATCTTCACAGAGGTCCACATATCCACTTGCAGAATCCAAAGAAAGGGAGTTTCAAAACTGCTCCATCAACAGGATTGTTCACCTCTGTGAGTTGAATGCAGTTATCACAGGAAACATTCTGAGAATGCTTCTGTCTAGGTTTGATGTGAAGATATACCCGTTTCGAAGGAAGGCCACAAAGTGGTCCAAATATCCACTTGCAGATTCTACAAAAAGAGTGTTTGAAAGCTGAACAATGAAAGCAAGTTTCAACACTGTGAGTTGAATGCAAACATCACAAAGAAGTTTCTCAGAATGCTTCCGTGTAGTTCTGGGAAGTTTATCCCGTTTCCAACGAAATCCTCACAGAGGTCCAAATATCCACTTGCAGATTCTACAGAAAGTGTGTTTGGAAACTGCTCCATCTAAAGGAATGTTCAGCTCTGTTAGTTCAATGCAATGATCACTAAGAATTGTCTGTGAATGCTTCCGTTTGGTTTTTAGATGAAGTTATTTCCTTAACTACAGTAGGCCTCAAAGCAGTCCAAATCTCCAATCGCAGATTCTACAAAAAGATTGTTTACAACCTGCTCTATATATAGGAATGTTCAACTCTGTGAGTCGAATGCAATCATCACAAAGTAGTTTCTGAGAATGCTTCCATCTAGTTTTTATGTGAAGATTTTCCTTTTCCACCACAGGCCTCAAAGCCCTCCAAATGTCCACTTGCAGATTCTAGAAAAAGAGGGTTTCAGAGCTGCTCTGTCAAGAGGAAAGTTCAATTCTTGAAGTGGAACACAAACATCACAAAGCAGTTTCTGAGAATGCTCCTGTTTAGTTTTTCTGTGAAGATGAACCCGTTTCCAACGAAATCTTCACAGAGGTCCACATATCCACTTGCAGAATCCAAAGAAAGAGAGTTTCAAAACTGCTCCGTCAGCAGGATTGTTCACCTCTGTGAGTTGAATGCAGTCATCACAGGAAACATTCTGAGAATGCTTCTGTCTAGGTTTGATGTGAAGATATACCCGTTTCGAAGGAAGGCCACAAAGTGGTCCAAATATCCACTTGCAGATTCTACATAAAGAGTGTTTGAAAGCTGAACTATGAAAGCAAGGTTCAACTCTGTGAGTTGAATGCAAACTTCCAAAGAATTTACTCAGAATGCTTCCGTGTAGTTCTGGGAAGTTTATCCCGTTTCCAAAGATATCCTCAGAGAGGTCCAAATATCCACTTGCAGATTCTACAGAAAGTGTGTTTGGAAACTGCGCCATATAAAGGAATGTTCAGCTCTGTTAGTTCAATGCAATGATCACTAAGAATTGTCTGTGAATGCTTCCGTTTGGTTTTTAGATGAAGTTATTTCCGTTACTACAGTAGGCCTCAATGCAGTCCAAATATCCAATCGCAGATTCTACAAAAAGATTGTTTACAACCTGCTCTATCTATAGGAATGTTCAACTCTGTGAGTCGAATGCAATCATCACAAAGTAGTTTCTGAGAATGCTTCCATCTAGTTTTTATGTGAAGATTTTCCTTTTCCACCACAGGCCTCAAAGCCCTCCAAATGTCCACTTGCAGATTCTAGAAAAAGAGGGTTTCAGAGCTGCTCTGTCAAGAGGAAAGTTCAATTCTTGAAGTGGAACACAAACATCACATAGCAGTTTCTGAGAATGCTCCTGTTTAGTTTTTCTGTGAAGATGAACCCGTTTCCAACGAAATCTTCACAGAGGTCCACATATCCACTTGCAGAATCCAAAGAAAGAGAGTTTCAAAACTGCTCCATCAGCAGGATTGTTCACCTCTGTGAGTTGAATGCAGTCATCACAGGAAACATTCTGAGAATGCTTCTGTCTAGGTTTGATGTGAAGATATACCCGTTTCGAAGGAAGGCCACAAAGTGGTCCAAATATCCACTTGCAGATTCTACAAAAAGAGTGTTTGAAAGCTGAACTATGAAAGCAAGGTTCAACTCTGTGAGTTGAATGCAAACATCACAAAGAAGTTTCTCAGAATGCTTCCGTGTAGTTCTGGGAAGTTTATCCCGTTTCCAACGAAATCCTCAGAGAGGTCCAAATATCCACTTGCAGATTCTACAGAAAGTGTGTTTGGAAACTGCTCCATCTAAAGGAATGTTCAGCTCTGTTAGTTCAATCCAATGATCACTAAGAATTGTCTGTGAATGCTTCCGTTTGGTTTTTAGATGAAGTTATTTCCTTTACTACAGTAGGCCTCAAAGCAGTCCAAATCTCCAATCGCAGATTCTACAAAAAGATTGTTTACAACCTGCTCTATCTATAGGAATGTTCAACTCTGTGGGTCGAATGCAATCATCACAAAGTAGTTTCTGAGAATGCTTCCATCTAGTTTTTATGTGAAGATTTTCCTTTTCCACCACAGGCCTCAAAGCCCTCCAAATGTCCACTTGCAGATTCTAGAATAAGAGGGTTTCAGAGCTGCTCTGTCAAGAGGAAAGTTCAATTCCTGAAGTGGAACACAAACATCACAAAGCAGTTTCTGAGAATGCTCCTGTTTAGTTTTTCGGTGAAGATGAACCCGTTTCCAACGAAATCTTCACAGAGGTCCACATATCCACTTGCAGAATTCAAAGAAAGAGAGTTTCAAAACTGCTCCATCAGCAGGATTGTTCACCTCTGTGAGTTGAATGCAGTCATCACAGGAAACATTCTGAGAATGCTTCTGTCTAGGTTTGATGTGAAGATATACCCGTTTCGAAGGAAGGCCACAAAGTGGTCCAAATATCCACTTGCAGATTCTACAAAAAGAGTGTTTGAAAGCTGAACTATGAAAGCAAGGTTCAACTCTGTGAGTTGAATGCAAACATCACAAAGATGTTTCTCAGAATGCTTCCCTGTAGTTCTGGGAAGTTTATCCCTTATCCAACGAAATCCTCAGAGAAGTCCAAATATCCACTTGCAGATTCTACAGAAAGTGTGTTTGGAAACTGCTCCATCTAAAGGAATGTTCAGCTCTGTTAGTTCAATGCAATGATCACTAAGAATTGTCTGTGAATGCTTCCGTTTGGTTTTTAGATGAAGTTATTTCCTTTACTACAGTAGGCCTCAAAGCAGTCCAAATCTCCAATCGCAGATTCTACAAAAAGATTGTTTACAACCTGCTCTATCTATAGGAATGTTCAACTCTGTGAGTCGAATGCAATCATCCCAAAGTAGTTTCTGAGAATGCTTCCATCTAGTTTTTATGTGAAGATTTTCCTTTTCCACCACAGGCCTCAAAGCCCTCCAAATGTCCACTTGCAGATTCTAGAAAAAGAGGGTTTCAGAGCTGCTCTGTCAAGAGGAAAGTTCAATTCTTGAAGTGGAACACAAACATCACAAAGCAGTTTCTGAGAATGCTCCTGTTTAGTTTTTCTGTGAAGATGAACCCGTTTCCAACGAAATCTTCACAGAGGTCCACATATCAACTTGCAGAATCCAAAGAAAGAGAGTTTCAAAACTGCTCCATCAGCAGGATTGTTCACCTCTGTGAGTTGAATGCAGTCATCACAGGAAACATTCTGAGAATGCTTCTGTCTAGGTTTGAAGTGAAGATATACCCGTTTCGAAGGAAGGCCACAAAGTGGTCCAAATATCCACTTGCAGATTCTACAAAAAGAGTGTTTGAAAGCTGAACTATGAAAGCAAGGTTCAACTCTGTGAGTTGAATGCAAACATCACAAATAAGTTTCTCAGCATGCTTCCGTGTAGTTCTGGGAAGTTTATCCCGTTTCCAACGAAATCCTCAGAGAAGTCCAAATATCCACTTGCAGATTCTACAGAAAGTGTGTTTGGAAACTGCGCCATCTAAAGGAATGTTCAGCTCTGTTAGTTCAATGCAATGATCACTAAGAATTGTCTGTGAATGCTTCCGTTTGGTTTTTAGATGAAGTTATTTCCTTTACTACAGTAGGCCTCAAAGCAGTCCAAATCTCCAATCGCAGATTCTACAAAAAGATTGTTTACAACCTGCTCTATCTATAGGAATGTTCAACTCTGTGAGTCGAATGCAATCATCACAAAGTAGTTTCTGAGAATGCTTCCATCTAGTTTTTATGTGAAGATTTTCCTTTTCCACCACAGGCCTCAAAGCCCTCCAAATGTCCACTTGCAGATTCTAGAAAAAGAGGGTTTCAGAGCTGCTCTGTCAAGAGGAAAGTTCAATTCCTGAAGTGGAACACAAACATCACAAAGCAGTTTCTGAGAATGCTTCTGTTTAGTTTTTCTGTGAAGATGAACCCGTTTCCAACGAAATCTTCACAGAGGTCCACATATCCACTTGCAGAATCCAAAGAAGGAGAGTTTCAAAACTGCTCCATCAGCAGGATTGTTCACCTCTGTGAGTTGAATGCAGTCATCACAGGAAACATTCTGAGAATGCTTCTGTCTAGGTTTGATGTGAAGATATACCCGTTTCGAAGGAAGGCCACAAAGTGGTCCAAATATCCACTTGCAGATTCTACAAAAAGAGTGTTTGAAAGCTGAACTATGAAAGCAAGGTTCAACTCTGTGAGTTGAATGCAAACATCACAAAGAAGTTTCTCACAATGCTTCCGTGTAGTTCTGGGAAGTTTATCCCGTTTCCAACGAAATCCTCAGAGAGGTCCAAATATCCACTTGCAGATTCTACAGAAAGTGTGTTTGGAAACTGCTCCATCTAAAGGAATGTTCAGCTCTGTTAGTTCAATGCAATGATCACTAAGAATTGTCTGTGAATGCTTCCGTTTGGTTTTTAGATGAAGTTATTTCCTTTACTACAGTAGGCCTCAAAGCAGTCCAAATCTCCAATCGCAGATTCTACAAAAAGATTGTTTACAACCTGCTCTATCTATAGGAATGTTCAACTCTGTGAGTCGAATGCAATCATCACAAAGTAGTTTCTGAGAATGCTTCCATCTAGTTTTTATGTGAAGATTTTCCTTTTCCACCACAGGCCTCAAAGCCCTCCAAATGTCCACTTGCAGATTCTAGAAAAAGAGGGTTTCAGAGCTGCTCTGTCAAGAGGAAAGTTCAATTCTTGAAGTGGAACACAAACATCACAAAGTAGTTTCTGAGAATGCTTCTGTTTAGTTTTTCTGTGAAGATGAACCCGTTTCCAACGAAATCTTCACAGAGGTCCACATATCCACTTGCAGAATCCAAAGAAAGAGAGTTTCAAAACTGCTCCATCAACAGGATTCTTCACCTCTGTGAGTTGAATGCAGTCATCACAGGAAACATTCTGAGAATGCCTCTGTCTAGTTTTGAAGTGAAGATATACCCGTTTCGAAGGAATGCCACAAAGTGGTCCAAATATCCACTTGCAGATTCTACAAATACAGTGTTTGAAAGCTGAACTATGAAAGCAAGGTTCAACTCTGTGAGTTGAATGCAATCATCACAAAGAAGTTTCTGAGAATGCTTCCGTGTAGTTCTGGGAAGTTTATCCCGTTTCCAACGAAATCCTCAGAGAGGTCCAAATATCCACTTGCAGATTCTACAGAAAGTGTGTTTGGAAACTGCGCCATCTAAAGGAATGTTCAGCTCTGTTAGTTCAATGCAATGATCACTAAGAATTGTCTGTGAATGCTTCCGTTTGGTTTTTAGATGAAGTTATTTCCTTTACTACAGTAGGCCTCAAAGCAGTCCAAATTTCCAATCGCAGATTCTACAAAAAGATTGTTTACAACGTGCTCTATCTATAGGAATGTTCAACTCTGTGAGTCGAATGCAATCATCACAAAGTAGTTTCTGAGAATGCTTCCATCTAGTTTTTATGTGAAGATTTTCCTTTTCCACCACAGGCCTCAAAGCCCTCCAAATGTCCACTTGCAGATTCTAGAATAAGAGGGTTTCAGAGCTGCTCTGTCAAGAGGAAAGTTCAATTCCTGAAGTGGAACACAAACATAACAAAGCAGTTTCTGAGAATGCTCCTGTTTAGTTTTTCTGTGAAGATGAACCCGTTTCCAACGAAATCTTCACAGAGGTCCACATATCCACTTGCAGAATCCAAAGAAAGAGAGTTTCAAAACTGCTCCATCAGCAGGATTGTTCACCTCTGTGAGTTGAATGCAGTCATCACAGGAAACATTCTGAGAATGCTTCTGTCTAGGTTTGATGTGAAGATATACCCGTTTCGAAGGAAGGCCACAAAGTGGTCCAAATATCCACTTGCAGATTCTACAAAAAGAGTGTTTGAAAGCTGAACTATGAAAGCAAGGTTCAACTCTGTGAGTTGAATGCAAACCTCACAAAGAAGTTTCTCAGAATGCTACCGTGTAGTTCTGGGAATTTTATCCCGTTTCCAACGAAATCCTCAGAGAAGTCCAAATATCCACTTGCAGATTCTACAGAAAGTGTGTTTGGAAACTGCTCTATCTAAAGGAATGTTCAGCTCTGTTTGTTCAATCCAATGATCACTAAGTATTGTCTGTGAATGCTTCCGTTTGGTTTTTAGATGAAGTTATTTCCTTTACTACAGTAGGCCTCAAAGCAGTCCAAATCTCCAATCGCAGATTCTACAAAAAGATTGTTTACAACCTGCTCTATCTATAGGAATGTTCAACTCTGTGAGTCGAATGCAATCATCACAAAGTAGTTTCTGAGAATGCTTCCATCTAGTTTTTATGTGAAGATTTTCCTTTTCCACCACAGGCCTCAAAGCCCTCCAAATGTCCACTTGCAGATTCTAGAAAAAGAGGGTTTCAGAGCTGCTCTGTCAAGAGGAAAGTTCAATTCTTGAAGTGGAACACAAACATCACAAAGCAGTTTCTGAGAATGCTTCTGTTTAGTTTTTCTGTGAAGATGAACCCGTTTCCAACGAAATCTTCACAGAGGTCCACATATCAACTTACAGAATCCAAAGAAAGAGAGTTTCAAAACTGCTCCATCAACAGGATTGTTCACCTCTGTGAGTTGAATGCAGTCATCACAGGAAACATTCTGAGAATGCTTCTGTCTAGGTTTGATGTGAAGATATACCCGTTTCGAAGGAAGGCCACAAAGTGGTCCAAATATCCACTTGCAGATTCTACAAAAAGAGTGTTTGAAAGCTGAACTATGAAAGCAAGGTTCAACTCTGTGAGTTGAATGCAAACATCACAAAGAAGTTTCTCACAATGCTTCCGTGTAGTTCTGGGAAGTTTATCCCGTTTCCAACGAAATCCTCAGAGAAGTCCAAATATCCACTTGCAGATTCTACAGAAAGTGTGTTTGGAAACTGCTCCATCTAAAGGAATGTTCAGCTCTGTTAGTTCAATCCAATGATCACTAAGAATTGTCTGTGAATGCTTCCGTTTGGTTTTTAGATGAAGTTATTTCCTTTACTACAGTAGGCATCAAAGCAGTCCAAATCTCCAATCGCAGATTCTACAAAAAGATTGTTTACAACCTGCTCTATCTATAGGAATGTTCAACTCTGTGAGTCGAATGCAATCATCACAAAGTAGTTTCTGAGAATGCTTCCATCTAGTTTTTATGTGAAGAGTTTCCTTTTCCACCACAGGCCTCAAAGCCCTCCAAATGTCCACTTGCAGATTCTAGAAAAAGAGGGTTTCAGAGCTGCTCTCTCAAGAGGAAAGTTCAATTCCTGAAGTGGAACACAAACATCACAAAGCAGTTTCTGAGAATGCTCCTGTTTAGTTTTTCTGTGAAGATGAACCCGTTTCCAACGAAATCTTCACAGAGGTCCACATATCCACTTGCAGAATCCAAAGAAAGAGAGTTTCAAAACTGCTCCATCATCAGGATTGTTCACCTCTGTGAGTTGAATGCAGTCATCACAGGAAACATTCTGAGAATGCTTCTGTCTAGGTTTGATGTGAAGATATACCCGTTTCGAAGGAAGGCCACAAAGTGGTCCAAATATCCACTTGCAGATTCTACAAAAAGAGTGTTTGAAAGCTGAACTATGAAAGCAAGGTTCAACTCTGTTAGTTGAATGCAAACATCACAAAGAAGTTTCTCAGAATGCATCCGTGTAGTTCTGGGAAGTTTATCCCGTTTCCAACGAAATCCTCAGAGAGGTCCAAATATCCACTTGCAGATTCTACAGAAAGTGTGTTTGGAAACTGCGCCATCTAAAGGAATGTTCAGCTCTGTTAGTTCAATGCAATGATCACTAAGAATTGTCTGTGAATGCTTCCGTTTGGTTTTTAGATGAAGTTATTTCCTTTACTACAGTAGGCCTCAAAGCAGTCCAAATCTCCAATCGCAGATTCTACAAAAAGATTGTTTACAACCTGCTCTATCTATAGGAATGTTCAACTCTGTGAGTGGAATGCAATCATCACAAAGTAGTTTCTGAGAATGCTTCCATCTAGTTTTTATGTGAAGATTTTCCTTTTCCACCACAGGCCTCAAAGCCCTCCAAATGTCCACTTGCAGATTCTAGAAAAAGAGGGTTTCAGAGCTGCTCAGTCAAGAGGAAAGTTCAATTCCTGAAGTGGAACACAAACATCACAAAGCAGTTTCTGAGAATGCTTCTGTTTAGTTTTTCTGTGAAGATGAACACGTTTCCAACGAAATCTTCACAGAGGTCCACATATCCACTTGCAGAATCCAAAGAAAGAGAGTTTCAAAACTGCTCCATCAACAGGATTGTTCACCTCTGTGAGTTGAATGCAGTCATCACAGGAAACATTCTGAGAATGCTTCTGTCTAGGTTTGATGTGAAGATATACCCGTTTCGAAGGAAGGCCACAAAGTGGTCCAAATATCCACTTGCAGATTCTACAAAAAGAGTGTTTGAAAGCTGAACTATGAAAGCAAGGTTCAACTCTGTGAGTTGAATGCAAACATCACAAAGAAGTTTCTCAGAATGCTTCCGTGTAGTTCTGGGAAGTTTATCCCGTTTCCAACGAAATCCTCAGAGAGGTCCAAATATCCACTTGCAGATTCTACAGAAAGTGTGTTTGGAAACTGCGCCATCTAAAGGAATGTTCAACTCTGTTAGTTCAATCCAATGATCACTAAGAATTGTCTGTGAATGCTTCCGTTTGGTTTTTAGATGAAGTTATTTCCTTTACTACAGTAGGCCTCAAAGCAGTCGAAATCTCCAATCGCAGATTCTACAAAAAGATTGTTTACAACCTGCTCTATCTATAGGAATGTTCAACTCTGTGAGTCGAATGCAATCATCACAAAGGAGTTTCTGAGAATGCTTCCATCTAGTTTTTATGTGAAGATTTTCCTTTTCCACCACAGGCCTCAAAGCCCTCCAAATGTCCACTTGCAGATTCTAGAATAAGAGGGTTTCAGAGCTGCTCTGTCAAGAGGAAAGTTCAATTCTTGAAGTGGAACACAAACATCACAAAGCAGTTTCTGAGAATGCTCCTGTTTAGTTTTTCTGTGAAGATGAACCCGTTTCCAACGAAATCTTCACAGAGGTCCACATATCCACTTGCAGAATCCAAAGAAAGAGAGTTTCAAAACTGCTCCATCAGCAGGATTGTTCACCTCTGTGAGTTGAATGCAGTCATCACAGGAAACATTCTGAGAATGCTTCTGTCTAGGTTTGATGTGAAGATATACCCGTTTCGAAGGAAGGCCACAAAGTGGTCCAAATATCCACTTGCAGATTCTACAAAAAGAGTGTTTGAAAGCTGAACTATGAAAGCAAGGTTCAACCCTGTGAGTTGAATGCAAACATCACAAAGAAGTTTCTCAGAATGCTCCGTGTAGTTCTGGGAAGTTTATCCCGTTTCCAACGAAATCCTCAGAGAAAGTCCAAATATCCACTTGCAGATTCTACAGAAAGTGTGTTTGGAAACTGCGCCATCTAAAGGAATGTTCCGCTCTGTTAGTTCAATGCAATGATCACTAAGAATTGTCTGTGAATGCTTCCGTTTGGTTTTTAGATGAAGTTATTTCCTTTTCTACAGTAGGCCCCAATGCAGTCCAAATTTCCAATCGCAGATTCTACAAAAAGATTGTTTACAACCTGCTCTATCTATAGGAATGTTCAACTCTGTGAGTCGAATGCAATCATCACAAAGTAGTTTCTGAGAATGCTTCCATCTAGTTTTTATGTGAAGATTTTCCTTTTCCACCACAGGCCTCAAAGCCCTCCAAATGTCCACTTGCAGATTCTAGAAAAAGAGGGTTTCAGAGCTGCTCTGTCAAGAGGAAAGTTCAATTCTTGAAGTGGAACACAAACATCACAAAGCAGTTTCTGAGAATGCTCCTGTTTAGTTTTCCTGTGAAGATGAACCCGTTTCCAACGAAATCTTCACAGAGGTCCACATATCCACTTGCAGAATCCAAAGAAAGAGAGTTCCAAAACTGCTCCATCAGCAGGATTGTTCACCTCTGTGAGTTGAATGCAGTCATCACAGGAAACATTCTGAGAATGCTTCTGTCTAGGTTTGATGTGAAGATATACCCGTTTCGAAGGAAGGCCACAAAGTGGTCCAAATATCCACTTGCAGATTCTACAAAAAGAGTGTTTGAAAGCTGAACTATGAAAGCAAGGTTCAACTCTGTGAGTTGAATGCAAACATCACAAAGAAGTTTCTCACAATGCTTCCGTGTAGTTCTGGGAAGTTTATCCCGTTTCCAACGAAATCCTCAGAGTAGTCCAAATATCCACTTGCAGATTCTACAGAAAGTGTGTTTGGAAAATGCTCCATCTAAAGGAATGTTCAGCTCTGTTAGTTCAATGCAATGATCACTAAGAATTGTCTGTGAATGCTTCCGTTTGGTTTTTAGATGAAGTTATTTCCTTTACTACAGTAGGCCTCAAAGCAGTCCAAATCTCCAATCGCAGATTCTACAAAAAGATTGTTTACAACCTGCTCTATCTATAGGAATGTTCAACTCTGTGAGTCGAATGCAATCATCACAAAGTAGTTTCTGAGAATGCTTCCATCTAGTTTTTATGTGAAGATTTTCCTTTTCCACCACAGGCCTCAAAGCCCTCCAAATGTCCACTTGCAGATTCTAGAAAAAGAGGGTTTCAGAGCTGCTCTGTCAAGAGGAAAGTTCAATTCTTGAAGTGGAACACAAACATCACAAAGCAGCTTCTGAGAATGCTCCTGTTTAGTTTTTCTGTGAAGATGAACCCGTTTCCAACGAAATCTTCACAGAGGTCCACATATCCACTTGCAGAATCCAAAGAAAGAGAGTTTCAAAACTGCTCCATCAGCAGGATTGTTCACCTCTGTGAGTTGAATGCAGTCATCACAGGAAACATTCTGAGAATGCTTCTGTCTAGGTTTGATGTGAAGATATACCCGTTTCGAGGGAAGGCCACAAAGTGGTCCAAATATCCACTTGCAGATTCTACAAAAAGAGTGTTTGAAAGCTGAACTATGAAAGCAAGGTTCAACTCTGTGAGTTGAATGCAAACATCAGAAAGAAGTTTCTCACAATGCTTCCGTGTAGTTCTGGGAAGTTTATCCCGTTTCCAACGAAATCCTCAGAGAAGTCCAAATATCCACTTGCAGATTCTTCAGAAAGTGGGTTTGGAAACTGCTCCATCTAAAGGAATGTTCAGCTCTGTTAGTTCAATCCAATGATCACTAAGAATTGTCTGTGAATGCTTCCGTTTGGTTTTTAGATGAAGTTATTTCCTTTACTACAGTAGGCCTCAAAGCAGTCCAAATCTCCAATCGCAGATTCTACAAAAAGATTGTTTACAACCTGCTCTATCTATAGGAATGTTCAACTCTGTGAGTCGAATGCAATCATCACAAAGTAGTTTCTGAGAATGCTTCCATCTAGTTTTTATGTGAAGATTTTCCTTTTCCACCACTGGCCTCAAAGCCCTCCAAATGTCCACTTGCAGATTCTAGAAAAAGAGGGTTTCAGAGCTGCTCTGTCAAGAGGAAAGTTCAATTCTTTAAGTGGAACACAAACATCACAAAGCAGTTTCTGAGAATGCTTCTGTTTAGTTTTTCTGTGAAGATGAACCCGTTTCCAACGAAATCTTCACAGAGGTCCACATATCCACTTGCAGAATCCAAAGAAAGAGAGTTTCAAAACTACTCCATCAACAGGATTGTTCACCTCTGTGAGTTGAATGCAGTCATCACAGGAAACATTCTGAGAATGCTTCTGTCTAGGTTTGATGTGAAGATATACCCGTTTCGAAGGAAGGCCACAAAGTGGTCCAAATATCCACTTGCAGATTCTACAAAAAGAGTGTTTGAAAGCTGAACTATGAAAGCAAGGTTCAACTCTGTGAGTTGAATGAAAACATCACAAAGAAGTTTCTCACAATGCTTCCCTGTAGTTCTGGGAAGTTTATCCCGTTTCCAACGAAATCCTCAGAGAGGTCCAAATATCCACTTGCAGATTCTACAGAAAGTGTGTTTGGAAACTGCGCCATCTAAAGGAATGTTCAGCTCTGTTAGTTCAATCCAATGATCACTAAGAATTGTCTGTGAATGCTTCCGTTTGGTTTTTAGATGAAGTTATTTCCTTTACTACAGTAGGCCTCAAAGCAGTCCAAATCTCCAATCGCAGATTCTACAAAAAGATTGTTTACAACCTGCTCTATCTATAGGAATGTTCAACTCTGTGAGTCGAATGCAATCATCACAAAGTAGTTTCTGAGAATGCTTCCATCTAGTTTTTATGTGAAGATTTTCCTTTTCCACCACAGGCCTCAAAGCCCTCCAAATGTCCACTTGCAGATTCTAGAATAAGAGGGTTTCAGAGCTGCTCTTTCAAGAGGAAAGTTCAATTCCTGAAGTGGAACACAAACATCACAAAGCAGTTTCTGAGAATGCTTCTGTTTAGTATTTCTGTGAAGATGAACCCGTTTCCAACGAAATCTTCACAGAGGTCCACATATCCACTTGCAGAATCCAAAGAAAGAGAGTTTCAAAACTGCTCCATCAGCAGGATTGTTCACGTCTGTGAGTTGAAAGCAGTCATCACAGGAAACATTCTGAGAATGCTTCTGTCTAGGTTTGATGTGAAGATATACCCGTTTCGAAGGAAGGCCACAAAGTGGTCCAAATATCCACTTGCAGATTCCACAAAAAGAGTGTTTGAAAGCTGAACTATGAAAGCAAGGTTCAACTCTGTGAGTTGAATGCAAACATCACAAAGAAGTTTCTCACAATGCTTCCGTGTAGTTCTGGGAAGTTTATCCCGTTTCCAACGAAATCCTCAGAGAAGTCCAAATATCCACTTGCAGATTCTACAGAAAGTGTGTTTGGAAACTACGCCATCTAAAGGAATGTTCAGCTCTGTTAGATCAATGCAATTATCACTAAGAATTGTCTGTGAATGCTTCCGTTTGGTTTTTAGATGAAGTTATTTCCTTTACTACAGTAGGCCTCAAAGCAGTCCAAATCTCCAATCGCAGATTCTACAAAAAGATTGTTTACAACCTGCTCTATCTATAGGAATGTTCAACTCTGTGAGTCGAATGCAATCATCACAAAGTAGTTTCTGAGAATGCTTCCATCTAGTTTTTATGTGAAGATTTTCCTTTTCCACCACAGGCCTCAAAGCCCTCCAAATGTCCACTTGCAGATTCTAGAAAAAGAGGGTTTCAGAGCTGCTCTGTCAAGAGGAAAGTTCAATTCTTGAAGTGGAACACAAACATCACAAAGTAGTTTCTGAGAATGCTCCTGTTTAGTTTTTCTGTGAAGATGAACCCGTTTCCAACGAAATCTTCACAGAGGTCCACATATCCACTTGCAGAATCCAAAGAAAGAGAGTTTCAAAACTGCTCCATCAGCAGGATTGTTCACCTCTGTGAGTTGAATGCAGTCATCACAGGAAACATTCTGAGAATGCTTCTGTCTAGGTTTGATGTGAAGATATACCCGTTTCGAAGGAAGGCCTCAAAGTGGTCAAAATATCCACTTGCAGATTCTACAAAAAGAGTGTTTGAAAGCTGAACTATGAAAGCAAGGTTCAACTCTGTGAGTTGAATGCAAACATCACAAAGAAGTTTCTCAGAATGCTTCCGTGTAGTTCTGGGAAGTTTATCCCGTTTCCAACGAAATCCTCAGAGAAGTCCAAATATCCACTTGCAGATTCTGCAGAAAGTGTGTTTGGAAACTGCTCCATCTAAAGGAATGTTCAGCTCTGTTAGTTCAATCCAATGATCACTAAGAATTGTCTGTGAATGCTTCCGTTTGGTTTTTAGATGAAGTTATTTCCTTTACTACAGTAGGCCTCAAAGCAGTCCAAATCTCCAATCGCAGATTCTACAAAAAGATTGTTTACAACCTGCTCTATCTATAGGAATGTTCAACTCTGTGAGTCGAATGCAATCATCACAAAGTAGTTTCTGAGAATGCTTCCATCTAGTTTTTATGTGAAGATTTTCCTTTTCCACCACAGGCCTCAAAGCCCTCCAAATGTCCACTTGCAGATTCTAGAAAAAGAGGGTTTCAGAGCTGCTCTGTCAAGAGGAAAGTTCGATTCCTGAAGTGGAACACAAACATCACAAAGCAGTTTCTGAGAATGCTTCTGTTTAGTTTTTCTGTGAAGATGAACCCGTTTCCAACGAAATCTTCACAGAGGTCCACATATCCACTTGCAGAATCCAAAGAAAGAGAGTTTCAAAACTGCTCCATCAGCAGGATTGTTCACCTCTGTGAGTTGAATGCAGTCATCACAGGAAACATTCTGAGAATGCTTCTGTCTAGGTTTGATGTGAAGATATACCCGTTTCGAAGGAAGGCCACAAAGTGGTCCAAATATCCACTTGCAGATTCTACAAAAAGAGTGTTTGAAAGCTGAACTATGAAAGCAAGGTTCAACTCTGTGAGTTGAATGCAAACATCACAAAGAAGTTTCTCACAATGCTTCCCTGTAGTTCTGGGAAGTTTATCCCGTTTCCAACGAAATCCTCAGAGAAGTCCAAATATCCACTTGCAGATTCTACAGAAAGTGGGTTTGGAAACTGCTCCATCTAAAGGAATGTTCAGCTCTGTTAGTTCAATCCAATGATCACTAAGAATTGTACTGTGAATGCTTCCGTTTGGTTTTTAGATGAAGTTATTTCCTTTACTACAGTAGGCCTCAAAGCAGTCCAAATCTCCAATCGCAGATTCTACAAAAAGATTGTTTACAACCTGCTCTATCTATAGGAATGTTCAACTCTGTGAGTCGAATGCAATCATCACAAAGTAGTTTCTGAGAATGCTTCCATCTAGTTTTTATGTGAAGATTTTCCTTTTCCACCACAGGCCTCAAAGCCCTCCAAATGTCCACTTGCAGATTCTAGAATAAGAGGGTTTCAGAGCTGCTCTGTCAAGAGGAAAGTTCAATTCTTGAAGTGGAACACAAACATCACAAAGCAGTTTCTGAGAATGCTCCTGTTTAGTTTTTCTGTGAAGATGAACCCGTTTCCAACGAAATCTTCACAGAGGTCCACATATCCACTTGCAGAATCCAAAGAAAGAGAGTTTCAAAACTGCTCCATCAACAGGATTGTTCACCTCTGTGAGTTGAATGCAGTCATCACAGGAAACATTCTGAGAATGCTTCTGTCTAGGTTTGATGTGAAGATATACCCGTTTCGAAGGAAGGCCACAAAGTGGTCCAAATATCCACTTGCAGATTCTACAAAAAGAGTGTTTGAAAGCTGAACTATGAAAGCAAGGTTCAACTCTGTGAGTTGAATGCAAACATCACAAAGAAGTTTCTCAGAATGCTTCCGTGTAGTTCTGGGAAGTTTATCCCGTTTCCAACGAAATCCTCAGAGAAGTCCAAATATCCACTTACAGATTCTGCAGAAAGTGTGTTTGGAAACTGCTCCATCTAAAGGAATGTTCAGCTCTGTTAGTTCAATCCAATGATCACTAAGAATTGTCTGTGAATGATTCCGTTTGGTTTTTAGATGAAGTTATTTAATTTACTACAGTAGGCCTCAAAGCAGTCCAAATCTCCAATCGCAGATTCTACAAAAAGATTGTTTACAACCTGCTCTATCTATAGGAATGTTCAACTCTGTGAGTCGAATGCAATCATCACAAAGTAGTTTCTGAGAATTCTTCCATCTAGTTTTTATGGGAAGATTTTCCTTTTCCACCACAGGCCTCAAAGCCCTCCAAATGTCCACTTGCAGATTCTAGAATAAGAGGGTTTCAGAGCTGCTCTGTCAAGAGGAAAGTTCAATTCCTGAAGTGGAACACAAACATCACAAAGCAGTTTCTGAGAATGCTTCTGTTTAGTTTTTCTGTGAAGATGAACCCGTTTCCAACGAAATCTTCACAGAGGTCCACATATCCACTTGCAGAATCCAAAGAAAGAGAGTTTCAAAACTGCTCCATCAGCAGGATTGTTCACCTCTGTGAGTTGAATGCAGTCATCACAGGAAACATTCTGAGAATGCTTCTGTCTAGGTTTGATGTGAAGATATACCCGTTTCGAAGGAAGGCCAAAAAGTGGTCCAAATATCCACTTGCAGATTCTACAAAAAGAGTGTTTGAAAGCTGAACTATGAAATCAAGGTCCAACTCTGTGAGTTGAATGCAAACATCACAAAGAAGTTTCTCAGAATGCTTCCCTGTAGTTCTGGGAAGTTTATCCCGTTTCCAACGAAATCCTCAGAGAAGTCCAAATATCCACTTGCAGATTCTACAGAAAGTGTGTTTGGAAACTGCTCCATCTAAAGGAATGTTCACCTCTGTTAGTTCAATCCAATGATCACTAAGAATTGTCTGTGAATGCTTCCGTTTGGTTTTTAGATGAAGTTATTTCCTTTACTACAGTAGGCCTCAAAGCAGTCCAAATCTCCAATCGCAGATTCTACAAAAAGATTGTTTACAACCTGCTCTATCTGTAGGAATGTTCAACTCTGTGAGTCGAATGCAATCATCACAAAGGAGTTTCTGAGAATGCTTCCATCTAGTTTTTATGTGAAGATTTTCCTTTTCCACCACAGGCCTCAAAGCCCTCCAAATGTCCACTTGCAGATTCTAGAAAAAGAGGGTTTCAGAGCTGCTCTGTCAAGAGGAAAGTTCAATTCTTGAAGTGGAACACAAACATCACAAAGCAGTTTCTGAGAATGCTTCTGTTTAGTTTTTCTGTGAAGATGAACCCGTTTCCAACGAAATCTTCACAGAGGTCCACATATCCACTTGCAGAATCCAAAGAAAGAGAGTTTCAAAACTGCTCCATCAACAGGATTGTTCACCTCTGTGAGTTGAATGCAGTCATCACAGGACACATTCTGAGAATGCTTCTGTCTAGGTTTGATGTGAAGATATACCCGTTTCGAAGGAAGGCCACAAAGTGGTCCAAATATCCACTTGCAGATTCTACAAAAAGAGTGTTTGAAAGCTGAACTATCAAAGCAAGGTTCAACTCTGTGAGTTGAATGCAAACATCACAAAGAAGTTTCTCAGAATGCTTCCGTGTAGTTCTGGGAAGTTTATCCCGTTTCCAACGAAATCCTCAGAGAGGTCCAAATATCCACTTGCAGATTCTACAGAAAGTGGGTTTGGAAACTGCGCCATCTAAAGCAATGTTCAGCTCTGTTAGTTCAATGCAATGATCACTAAGAATTGTCTGTGAATGCTTCCGTTTGGTTTTTAGATGAAGTTATTTCCTTTACTACAGTAGGCCTCAAAGCAGTCCAAATCTCCAATCGCAGATTCTACAAAAAGATTGTTTACAACCTGCTCTATCTATAGGAATGTTCAACTCTGTGAGTCGAATGCAATCATCACAAAGTAGTTTCTGAGAATGCTTCCATCTAGTTTTTATGTGAAGATTTTCCTTTTCCACCACAGGCCTCAAAGCCCTCCAAATGTCCACTTGCAGATTCTAGAAAAAGAGGGTTTCAGAGCTGCTCTGTCAAGAGGAAAGTTCAATTCCTGAAGTGGAACACAAACATCACAAAGCAGTTTCTGAGAATGCTCCTGTTTACTTTTTCTGTGAAGATGAACCCGTTTCCAACGAAATCTTCACAGAGGTCCACATATCCACTTGCAGAATCCAAAGAAAGAGAGTTTCAAAACTGCTCCATCAGCAGGATTGTTCACCTCTGTGAGTTGAATGCAGTCATCACAGGAAACATTCTGAGAATGCTTCTGTCTAGGTTTGATGTGAAGATATACCCGTTTCGAAGGAAGGCCACAAAGTGGTCCAAATATCCACTTGCAGATTCTACAAAAAGAGTGTTTGAAAGCTGAACTATGAAAGCAAGGTTCAACTCTGTGAGTTGAATGCAAACATCACAAAGAAGTTTCTCAGAATGCTTCCGTGTAGTTCTGGGAAGTTTATCCCGTTTCCAACGAAATCCTCAGAGAGGTCCAAATATCCACTTGCAGATTCTACAGAAAGTGTGTTTGGAATCTGCTCCATCTAAAGGAATGTTCAGCTCTGTTATTTCAATCCAATGATCACTAAGAATTGTCTGTGAATGCTTCCGTTTGGTTTTTAGATGAAGTTATTTCCTTTACTACAGTAGGCCTCAAAGCAGTCCAAATCTCCAATCGCAGATTCTACAAAAAGATTGTTTACAACCTGCTCTATCTATAGGAATGTTCAACTCTGTGAGTCGAATGCAATCATCACAAAGTAGTTTCTGAGAATGCTTCCATCTAGTTTTTATGTGAAGATTTTCCTTTTCCACCACAGGCCTCAAAGCCCTCCAAATGTCCACTTGCAGATTCTAGAAAAAGAGGGTTTCAGAGCTGCTCTGTCAAGAGGAAAGTTCAACTCTTGAAGTGGAACACAAACATGATAATGCAGTTTCTGAGAATGCTCCTGTTTAGTTTTTCTGTGAAGATGAACCCGTTTCCAACGAAATCTTCACAGAGGTCCACATATCCACTTGCAGAATCCAAAGAAAGAGAGTTTCAAAACTGCTCCATCAGCAGGATTGTTCACCTCTGTGAGTTGAATGCAGTCATCACAGGAAACATTCTGAGAATGCTTCTGTCTAGGTTTGATGTGAAGATATACCCGTTTCGAAGGAAGGCCACAAAGTGGTCCAAATATCCACTTGCAGATTCTACAAAAAGAGTGTTTGAAAGCTGAACTATGAAAGCAAGGTTCAACTCTGTGAGTTGAATGCAAACATCACAAAGAAGTTTCTCAGAATACTTCCGTGTAGTTCTGGGAATTTTATCCCGTTTCCAACGAAATCCTCAGAGAGGTCCAAATATCCACTTGCAGATTCTACAGAAAGTGTGTTTGGAAACTGCTCCATCTAAAGCAATGTTCAGCTCTGTTAGTTCAATGCAATGATCACTAAGAATTGTCTGTGAATGCTTCCGTTTGGTTTTTAGATGAAGTTATTTCCTTTACTACAGTAGGCCTCAAAGCAGTCCAAATCTCCAATCGCAGATTCTACAAAAAGATTGTTTACAACCTGCTCTATCTATAGGAATGTTCAACTCTGTGAGTCGAATGCAATCATCACAAAGTAGTTTCTGAGAATGCTTCCATCTAGTTTTTATGTGAAGATTTTCCTTTTCCACCACAGGCATCAAAGCCCTCCAAATGTCCACTTGCAGATTCTAGAATAAGAGGGTTTCAGAGCTGCTCTGTCAAGAGGAAAGTTCAATTCCTGAAGTGGAACACAAACATCACAAAGCAGTTTCTGAGAATGCTTCTTTTTAGTTTTTCTGTGAAGATGAACCCGTTTCCAACGAAATCTTCACAGAGGTCCACATATCCACTTGCAGAATCCAAAGAAAGAGAGTTTCAAAACTGCTCCATCAGCAGGATTGTTCACCTCTGTGAGTTGAATGCAGTCATCACAGGAAACATTCTGAGAATGCTTCTGTCTAGGTTTGATGTGAAGATATACCCGTTTCGAAGGAAGGCCACAAAGTGGTCCAAATATCCACTTGCAGATTCTACAAAAAGAGTGTTTGAAAGCTGAACTATGAAAGCAAGGTTCAACTCTGTGAGTTGAATGCAAACATCACAAAGAAGTTTCTCAGAATGCTTCCGTGTAGTTCTGGGAAGTTTATCCCGTTTCCAACGAAATCCTCAGAGAGGTCCAAATATCCACTTGCAGATTCTACAGAAAGTGTGTTTGGAAACTGCGCCATCTAAGGGAATGTTCAGCTCTGTTAGTTCAATCCAATGATCACTAAGAATTGTCTGTGGATGCTTCCGTTTGGTTTTTAGATGAAGTTATTTCCTTTACTACAGTAGGCCTCAAAGCAGTCCAAATCTCCAATCGCAGATTCTACAAAAAGATTGTTTACAACCTGCTCTATCTATAGGAATGTTCAACTCTGTGAGTCGAATGCAATCATCACAAAGTAGTTTCTGAGAATGCTTCCATCTAGTTTTTATGTGAAGATTTTCCTTTTCCACCACAGGCCTCAAAGCCCTCCAAATGTCCACTTGCAGATTCTAGAAAAAGAGGGTTTCAGAGCTGCTCTGTCAAGAGGAAAGTTCAATTCTTGAAGTGGAACAGAAACATCACAAAGCAGTTTCTGGGAATGCTTCTGTTTAGTTTTTCTGTGAAGATGAACCCGTTTCCAACGAAATCTTCACAGAGGTCCACATATCCACTTGCAGAATCCAAAGAAAGAGAGTTTCAAAACTGCTCCATCAGCAGGATTGTTCACCTCTGTGAGTTGAATGCAGTCATCACAGGAAACATTCTGAGAATGCTTCTGTCTAGGTTTGATGTGAAGATATACCCGTTTCGAAGGAAGGCCACAAAATGGTCCAAATATCCACTTGCAGATTCTACAAAAAGAGTGTTTGAAAGCTGAACTATGAAAGCAAGGTTCAACTCTGTGAGTTGAATGCAAACATCACAAAGAAGTTTCTCAGAATGCTTCCGTGTAGTTCTGGGAAGTTTATCCCGTTTCCAACGAAATCCTCAGAGAAGTCCAAATATCCACTTGCAGATTCTACAGAAAGTGGGTTTGGAAACTGCTCCATCTAAAGGAATGTTCAGCTCTGTTAGTTCAATGCAATGATCATTAAGAATTGTCTGTGAATGCTTCCGTTTGGTTTTTAGATGAAGTTATTTCCTTTACTACAGTAGGCCTCAAAGCAGTCCAAATCTCCAATCGCAGATTCTACAAAAAGATTGTTTACAACCTGCTCTATCTATAGGAATGTTCAACTCTGTGAGTCGAATGCAATCATCACAAAGTAGTTTCTGAGAATGCTTCCATCTAGTTTTTATGTGAAGATTTTCCTTTTCCACCACAGGCCTCAAAGCCCTCCAAATGTCCACTTGCAGATTCTAGAAAAAGAGGGTTTCAGAGCTGCTCTGTCAAGAGGAAAGTTCAATTCTTGAAGTGGAACACAAACATCACAAAGCAGTTTCTGAGAATGCTTCTGTTTAGTTTTTCTGTGAAGATGAACCCGTTTCCAACGAAATCTTCACAGAGGTCCACATATCCACTTGCAGAATCCAAAGAAAGAGAGTTTCAAAACTGCTCCATCAGCAGGATTGTTCACCTCTGTGAGTTGAATGCAGTCATCACAGGAAACATTCTGAGAATGCTTCTGTCTAGGTTTGATGTGAAGATATACCCGTTTCGAAGGAAGGCCACAAAGTGGTCCAAATATCCACTTGCAGATTCTACAAAAAGAGTGTTTGAAAGCTGAACTATGAAAGCAAGGTTCAACTCTGTGAGTTGAATGCAAACATCACAAAGAAGTTTCTCACAATGCTTCCGTGTAGTTCTGGGAAGTTTATCCCGTTTCCAACGAAATCCTCAGAGAAGTCCAAATATCCACTTGCAGATTCTACAGAAAGTGTGTTTGGAAACTGCTCCATCTAAAGGAATGTTCAGCTCTGTTAGTTCAATCCAATGATCACTAAGAATTGTCTGTGAATGCTTCCGTTTGGTTTTTAGATGAAGTTATTTCCTTTACTACAGTAGGCCTCAAAGCATTCCAAATCTCCAATCGCAGATTCTACAAAAAGATTGCTTAAAACCTGCTCTATCTATAGGAATGTTCAACTCTGTGAGTCGAATGCAATCATCACAAAGTAGTTTCTGAGAATGCTTCCATAAAATTTTTATGTGAAGATTTTCCTTTTCCACCACAGGCCTCAAAGCCCTCCAAATGTCCACTTGCAGATTCTAGAAAAAGAGGGTTTCAGAGCTGCTCTGTCAAGAGGAAAGTTCAATTCTTTAAGTGGAACACAAACATCACAAAGCAGTTTCTGAGAATGCTCCTGTTTAGTTTTTCTGTGAAGATGAACCCGTTTCCAACGAAATCTTCACAGGGGTCCACATATCCACTTGCAGAATCCATAGAAAGAGAGTTTCAAAACTGCTCCATCAGCAGGATTGTTCACCTCTGTGAGTTGAATGCAGTCATCACAGGAAACATTCTGAGAATGCTTCTGTCTAGGTTTGATGTGAAGATATACCCGTTTCGAAGGAAGGCCACAAAGTGGTCCAAATATCCACTTGCAGATTCTACAAAAAGAGTGTTTGAAAGCTGAACTATGAAAGCAAGGTTCAACTCTGTGAGTTGAATGCAAACATCACAAAGAAGTTTCTCACAATGCTTCCCTGTAGTTCTGGGAAGTTTATCCCGTTTCCAACGAAATCCTCAGAGAAGTCCTAATATCCACTTGCAGATTCTACAGAAAGTGTGTTTGGAAACTGCTCCATCTAAAGGAATGTTCAGCTCTGTTAGTTCAATCCAATGATCACTAAGAATTGTCTGTGAATGCTTTCCGTTTGGTTTTTAGATGAAGTTATTTCCTTTACTACAGTAGGCCTCAAAGCAGTCCAAATCTGCAATCGCAGATTCTACAAAAAGATTGTTTACAACCTGCTCTATCTATAGGAATTTTCAACTCTGTGAGTCGAATGCAATCATCACAAAGTAGTTTCTGAGAATGCTTCCATCTAGTTTTTATGTGAAGATTTTCCTTTTCCACCACAGGCCTCAAAGCCCTCCAAATGTCCACTTGCAGATTCTAGAAAAAGAGGGTTTCAGAGCTGCTCTGTCAAGAGGAAAGTTCAATTCTTGAAGTGGAACACAAACATCACAAAGCAGTTTCTGAGAATGCTTCTGTTTAGTTTTTCTGTGAAGATGAACCCGTTTCCAACGAAATCTTCACAGAGGTCCACATATCCACTTGCAGAATCCAAAGAAAGAGAGTTTCAAAACTGCTCCAACAGCAGGATTGTTCACCTCTGTGAGTTGAATGCAGTCATCACAGGAAACATTCGGAGAATGCTTCTGTCTAGGTTTGATGTGAAGATATACCCGTTTCGAAGGAAGGCCACAAAGTGGTCCAAATATCCACTTGCAGATTCCACAAAAAGAGTGTTTGAAAGCTGAACTATGAAAGCAAGGTTCAACTCTGTGAGTTGAATGCAAACATCACAAAGAAGTTTCTCACAATGCTTTCCGTGTAGTTCTGGGAAGTTTATCCCTTTTCCAATGAAATCCTCAGAGAGGTCCAAATATCCACTTGCAGATTCTACAGAAAGTGTGTTTGGAAACTGCTCCATCTAAAGGAATGTTCAGCTCTGTTACTTCAATCCAATGATCACTAAGAATTGTCTGTGAATGCTTCCGTTTGGTTTTTAGATGAAGTTATTTCCTTTACTACAGTAGGCCTCAAAGCAGTCCAAATCTCCAATCGCAGATTCTACAAAAAGATTGTTTACAACCTGCTCTATCTATAGGAATGTTCAACTCTGTGAGTCGAATGCAATCATCACAAAGTAGTTTCTGAGAATGCTTCCATCTAGTTTTTATGTGAAGATTTTCCTTTTCCACCACAGGCCTCAAAGCCCTCCAAATGTCCACTTGCAGATTCTAGAAAAAGAGGGTTTCAGAGCTGCTCTGTCAAGAGGAAAGTTCAATTCTTGAAGTGGAACACAAACATCACAAAGCAGTTTCTGAGAATGTTTCTGTTTAGTTTTTCTTTGAAGATGAACCCGAATCCAACCAAATCTTCAAAGAGGTCCACACATCCACTTGCAGATTCCAAAGAAAGAGAGTTTCAAAACTGCTCCATCAACACGATTGTTCACCTCTGTGAGTTGAATGCAGTCATCACAGGAAACATTCTGAGAATGCTTCTGTCTAGGTTTGATGTGAAGATATACCCGTTTCGAAGGAAGGCCACAAAGTGGTCCAAATATCCACTTGCAGATTCTACAAAAAGAGTGTTTGAAAGCTGAGCTATGAAAGCAAGGTTCAACTCTGTGAGTTGAATGCAAACATCACAAAGAAGTTTCTCACAATGCTTCCGTGTAGTTCTGGGAAGTTTATCCCGTTTCCAAAGAAATCCTCAGAGAAGTCCAAATATCCACTTGCAGATTCTACAGAAAGCGGGTTTGGAAACTGCTCCATCTAAAGGAATGTTCAGCTCTGTTAGTTCAATCCAATGATCACTAAGAATTGTCTGTGAATGCTTCCGTTTGGTTTTTAGATGAAGTTATTTCCTTTACTACAGTAGGCCTCAAAGCAGTCCAAATCTCCAATCGCAGATTCTACAAAAAGATTGTTTACAACCTGCTCTATCTATAGGAATGTTCAACTCTGTGAGTCGAATGCAATCATCACAAAGTAGTTTCTGAGAATGCTTCCATCTAGTTTTTATGTGAAGATTTTCCTTTTCCACCACAGGCCTCAAAGCCCTCCAAATGTCCACTTGCAGATTCTAGAAAAAGAGGGTTTCAGAGCTGCTCTGTCAAGAGGAAAGTTCAATTCTTGAAGTGGAACACAAACATCACAAAGCAGTTTCTGAGAATGCTTCTGCTTAGTTTTTCTGTGAAGATGAACCCGTTTCCAACGAAATCTTCACAGAGGTCCACATATCAACTTGCAGAATCCAAAGAAAGAGAGTTTCAAAACTGCTCCATCAACAGGATTGTTCACCTCTGTGAGTTGAATGCAGTCATCACAGGAAACATTCTGAGAATGCTTCTGTCTAGGTTTGATGTGAAGATATACCCGTTTCGAAGGAAGGCCACAAAGTGGTCCAAATATCCACTTGCAGATTCTACAAAAAGAGTGTTTGAAAGCTGAACTATGAAAGCAAGGTTCAACTCTGTGAGTTGAATGCAAACATCACAAAGAAGTTTCTCAGAATGCTTCCGTGTAGTTCTGGGAAGTTTATCCCGTTTCCAACGAAATCCTCAGAGAAGTCCAAATATCCACTTGCAGATTCTACAGAAAGTGTGTTTGGAAACTGCGCCATCTAAAGGAATGTTCAGCTCTGTTAGTTCAATCCAATGATCACTAAGAATTGTCTGTGAATGCTTCCGTTTGGTTTTTAGATGAAGTTATTTCCTTTACTACAGTAGGCCTCAAAGCAGTCCAAATCTCCAATCGCAGATTCTACAAAAACATTGTTTACAACCTGCTCTATCTATAGGAATGTTCAACTCTGTGAGTCGAATGCAATCATCACAAAGTAGTTTCTGAGAATGCTTCCATCTAGTTTTTATGTGAAGATTTTCCTTTTCCACCACAGGCCTCAAAGCCCTCCAAATGTCCACTTGCAGATTCTAGAAAAAGAGGGTTTCAGAGCTGCTCTGTCAAGAGGAAAGTTCAATTCCTGAAGTGGAACACAAACATCACAAAGCAGTTTCTGAGAATGCTCCTGTTTAGTTTTTCTGTGAAGATGAACCCGTTTCCAACGAAATCTTCACAGAGGTCCACATATCCACTTGCAGAATCCAAAGAAAGAGAGTTTCAAAACTGCTCCATCAGCAGGATTGTTCACCTCTGTGAGTTGAATGCAGTCATCACAGGAAACATTCTGAGAATGCTTCTGTCTAGGTTTGATGTGAAGATATACCCGTTTCGAAGGAAGGCCAGAAAGTGGTCCAAATATCCACTTGCAGATTCTACAAAAAGAGTGTTTGAAAGCTGAACTATGAAAGCAAGGTTCAACTCTGTGAGTTGAATGCAAACATCACAAAGAAGTTTCTCAGAATGCTTCCGTGTAGTTCTGGGAAGTTTATCCCGTTTCCAACGAAATCCTCAGAGAAGTCCAAATATCCACTTGCAGATTCTACAGAAAGTGTGTTTGGAAAATGCTCCATCTAAAGGAATGTTCAGCTCTGTTAGTTCAATCCAATGATCACTAAGAATTGTCTGTGAATGCTTCCGTTTGGTTTTTAGATGAAGTTATTTCCTTTACTACAGTAGGCCTCAAAGCAGTCCAAATCTCCAATCGCAGATTCTACAAAAAGATTGTTTACAACCTGCTCTATCTATAGGAATGTTCAACTCTGTGAGTCGAATGCAATCATCACAAAGTAGTTTCTGAGAATGCTTCCATCTAGTTTTTATGTGAAGATTTTCCTTTTCCACCACAGGCCTCAAAGCCCTCCAAATGTCCACTTGCAGATTCTAGAAAAAGAGGGTTTCAGAGCTGCTCTGTCAAGAGGAAAGTTCAATTCCTGAAGTGGAACACAAACATCACAAAGCAGTTTCTGAGAATGCTCCTGTTTAGTTTTTCTGTGAAGATGAACCCGTTTCCAACGAAATCTTCACAGAGGTCCACATATCCACTTGCAGAATCCAAAGAAAGAGAGTTTCAAAACTGCTCCATCAGCAGGATTGTTCACCTCTGTGAGTTGAATGCAGTCATCACAGGAAACATTCTGAGAATGCTTCTGTCTAGGTTTGATGTGAAGATATACCCGTTTCGAAGGAAGGCCACAAAGTGGTCCAAATATCCACTTGCAGATTCTACAAAAAGAGTGTTTGAAAGCTGAACTATGAAAGCAAGGTTCAACTCTGTGAGTTGAATGCAAACATCACAAAGAAGTTTCTCACAATGCTCCGTGTAGTTCTGGGAAATTTATCCCGTTTCCAACGAAATCCTCAGAGAGGTCCAAATATCCACTTGCAGATTCTACAGAAAGTGTGTTTGGAAACTGCGCCATCTAAAGGAATGTTCAGCTCTGTTAGTTCAATGCAATGATCACTAAGAATTGTCTGTGATTGCTTCCGTTTGGTTTTTAGATGAAGTTATTTCCTTTACTACAGTAGGCCTCAAAGCAGTCCAAATCTCCAATCGCAGATTCTACAAAAAGATTGTTTACAACCTGCTCTATCTATAGGAATGTTCAACTCTGTGAGTCGAATGCAATCATCACAAAGTAGTTTCTGAGAATGCTTCCATCTAGTTTTTATGTGAAGATTTTCCTTTTCCACCACAGGCCTCAAAGCCCTCCAAATGTCCACTTGCAGATTCTAGAATAAGAGGGTTTCAGAGCTGCTCTGTCAAGAGGAAAGTTCAATTCTTGAAGTGGAACACAAACATCACAAAGCAGTTTCTGAGAATGCTTCTGTTTAGTTTTTCTGTGAAGATGAACCCGTTTCCAACGAAATCTTCACAGAGGTCCACATATCCACTTGCAGAATCCAAAGAAAGAGAGTTTCAAAACTCCTCCATCAGCAGGATTGTTCACCTCAGTGAGTTGAATGCAGTCATCACAGGAAACATTCTGAGAATGCTTCTGTCTAGGTTTGATGTGAAGATATACCCGTTTCGAAGGAAGGCCAGAAAGTGGTCCAAATATCCACTTGCAGATTCTACAAAAAGAGTGTTTGAAAGCTGAACTATGAAAGCAAGGTTCAACTCTGTGAGTTGAATGCAAACATCACAAAGAAGTTTCTCAGAATGCTTCCGTGTAGTTCTGGGAAGTTTATCCCGTTTCCAACGAAATCCTCAGAGAAGTCCAAATATCCACTTGCAGATTCTACAGAAAGTGTGTTTGGAAAATGCTCCATCTAAAGGAATGTTCAGCTCTGTTAGTTCAATCCAATGATCACTAAGAATTGTCTGTGAATGCTTCCGTTTGGTTTTTAGATGAAGTTATTTCCTTTACTACAGTAGGCCTCAAAGCAGTCCAACTCTCCAATCGCAGATTCTACAAAAAGATTGTTTACAACCTGCTCTATCTATAGGAATGTTCAACTCTGTGAGTCGAATGCAATCATCACAAAGTAGTTTCTGAGAATGCTTCCATCTAGTTTTTATGTGAAGATTTTCCTTTTCCACCACAGGCCTCAAAGCCCTCCAAATGTCCACTTGCAGATTCTAGAAAAAGAGGGTTTCAGAGCTGCTCTGTCAAGAGGAAAGTTCAATTCTTGAAGTGGAACACAAACATCACAAAGCAGTTTCTGAGAATGCTTCTGTTTAGTTTTTCTGTGAAGATGAACCCGTTTCCAACGAAATCTTCACAGAGGTCCACATATCAACTTGCAGAATCCAAAGAAAGAGAGTTTCAAAAGTGCTCCATCAACAGGATTGTTCACCTCTGTGAGTTGAATGCAGTCATCACAGGAAACATTCTGAGAATGCTTCTGTCTAGGTTTGATGTGAAGATATACCCGTTTCGAAGGAAGGCCACAAAGTGGTCCAAATATCCACTTGCAGATTCTACAAAAAGAGTGTTTGAAAGCTGAACTATGAAAGCAAGGTTCAACTCTGTGAGTTGAATGCAAACATCACAAAGAAGTTTCTCAGAATGCTTCCCTGTAGTTCTGGGAAGTTTATCCCGTTTCCAACGAAATCCTCAGAGAAGTCCAAATATCCACTTGCAGATTCTACAGAAAGTGGGTTTGGAAACTGCTCCATCTAAAGGAATGTTCAGCTCTGTTAGTTCAATCCAATGATCACTAAGAATTGTCTGTGAATGCTTCCATTTGGTTTTTAGATGAAGTTATTTCCTTTACTACAGTACGCCTCAAAGCAGTCCAAATCTCCAAACGCAGATTCTACGAAAAGATTGTTTACAACCTGCTCTATCTATAGGAATGTTCAACTCTGTGAGTCGAATGCAATCATCACAAAGTAGTTTCTGAGAATGCTTCCATCTAGTTTTTATGTGAAGATTTTCCTTTTCCACCACAGGCCTCAAAGCCCTCCAAATGTCCACTTGCAGATTCTAGAAAAAGAGGGTTTCAGAGCTGCTCTGTCAAGAGGAAAGTTCAATTCCTGAAGTGGAACACAAACATCACAAAGCAGTTTCTGAGAATGCATTTGTTTAGTTTTTCTGTGAAGATGAACCCGTTTCCAACGAAATCTTCACAGAGGTCCACATATCCACTTGCAGAATCCAAAGAAAGAGAGTTTCAAAAGTGCTCCATCAGCAGGATTGTTCACCTCTGTGAGTTGAATGCAGTCATCACAGGAAACATTCTGAGAATGCTTCTGTCTAGGTTTGATGTGAAGATATACCCGTTTCGAAGGAAGGCCACAAAGTGGTCCAAATATCCACTTGCAGATTCTACAAAAAGAGTGTTTGAAAGCTGAACTATGAAAGCAAGGTTCAACTCTGTGAGTTGAATGCAAACATCACAAAGAAGTTTCTCACAATGCTTCCCTGTAGTTCTGGGAAGTTTATCCCGTTTCCAAAGAAATCCTCAGAGAAGTCCAAATATCCACTTGCAGATTCTACAGAAAGTGGGTTTGGAAACTGCTCCATCTAAAAGAATGTTCAGCTCTGTTAGTTCAATCCAATGATCACTAAGAATTGTCTGTGAATGCTTCCGTTTGGTTTTTAGATGAAGTTATTTCCTTCACTACAGTAGGCCTCAAAGCAGTCCAAATCTCCAATCGCAGATTCTACAAAAAGATTGTTTACAACCTACTATATCTATAGGAATGTTCAACTCTGTGAGTCGAATGCAATCATCACAAAGTAGTTTCTGAGAATGCTTCCATCTAGTTTTTATGTGAAGATTTTTCCTTTTCCACCACAGGCCTCAAATCCCTCCAAATGTCCACTTGCAGATTCTAGAAAAAGAGGGTTTCAGAGCTGCTCTGTCAAGAGGAAATTTCAATTCTTGAAGTGGAACACAAACATCACAAAGCAGTTTCTGAGAATGCTTCTGTTTAGTTTTTCTGTGAAGATGAACCCGTTTCCAACGAAATCTTCACAGAGGTCCACATATCCACTTGCAGAATCCAAAGAAGGAGAGTTTCAAAACTGCTCCATCAGCAGGATTGTTCACCTCTGTGAGTTGAATGCAGTCATCACAGGTAACATTCTGAGAATGCTTCTGTCTAGGTTTGATGTGAAGATATACCCGTTTCGAAGGAAGGCCACAAAGTGGTCCAAATATCCACTTGCAGATTCTACAAAAAGAGTGTTTGAAAGCTGAACTATGAAAGCAAGGTTCAACTCTGTGAGTTGAATGCAAACATCACAAAGAAGTTTCTCAGAATGCTTCCGTGTAGTTCTGGGAAGTTTATCCCGTTTCCAACGAAATCCTCAGAGAAGTCCAAATATCCACTTGCAGATTCTACAGAAAGTGTGTTTGGAAAATGCTCCATCTAAAGGAATGTTCAGCTCTGTTAGTTCAATCCAATGATCACTAAGAATTGTCTGTGAATGCTTCCGTTTGGTTTTTAGATGAAGTTATTTCCTTTACTACAGTAGGCCTCAAAGCAGTCCAAATTTCCAATCGCAGATTCTACAAAAAGATTGTTTACAACCTGCTCTATCTATAGGAATGTTCAACTCTGTGAGTCGAATGCAATCATCACAAAGTAGTTTCTGAGAATGCTTCCATCTAGTTTTTATGTGAAGATTTTCCTTTTCCACCACAGGCCTCAAAGCCCTCCAAATGTCCACTTGCAGATTCTAGAATAAGAGGGTTTTAGAGCTGCTCTGTCAAGAGGAAAGTTCAATTCCTGAAGTGGAACACAAACATCACAAAGCAGTTTCTGAGAATGCTTCTGTTTAGTTTTTCTGTGAAGATGAACCCGTTTCCAACGAAATCTTCACAGAGGTCCACATATCCACTTGCAGAATCCAAAGAAGGAGAGTTTCAAAACTGCTCCATCAGAAGGATTGTTCACCTCTGTGGGTTGAATGCAGTCATCACAGGAAACATTCTGAGAATGCTTCTGTCTAGGTTTGATGTGAAGATACACCCTTTTCAAAGGAAGGCCACAAAGTGGTCCAAATATCCACTTGCAGATTCTACAAAAAGAGTGTTTGAAAGCTGAACTATGAAAGCAAGGTTCAACTCTGTGAGTTGAATGCAAACATCACAAAGAAGTTTCTCACAATGCTTCCGTGTAGTTCTGGGAAGTTTATCCCGTTTCCAACGAAATCCTCAGAGAAGTCCAAATATCCACTTGCAGATTCTACAGAAAGTGGGTTTGGCAACTGCTCCATCTAAAGGAATGTTCAGCTCTGTTAGTTCAATCCAATGATCACTAAGAATTGTCTGTGAATGCTTCCGTTTGGTTTTTAGATGAAGTTATTTCCTTTACTACAGTAGGCCTCAAAGCAATCCAAATCTCCAATCGCAGATTCTACAAAAACATTGTTTACAACCTGCTCTATCTATAGGAATGTTCAACTCTGTGAGTCGAATGCAATCATCACAAAGTAGTTTCTGAGAATGCTTCCATCTAGTTTTTATGTGAAGATTTTCCTTTTCCACCACAGGCCTCAAAGCCCTCCAAATGTCCACTTGCAGATTCTAGAAAAAGAGGGTTTCAGAGCTGCTCTGTCAAGAGGAAAGTTCAATTCTTGAAGTGGAACACAAACATCACAAAGCAGTTTCTGAGAATGCTTCTGTTTAGTTTTTCTGTGAAGATGAACCCGTTTCCAACGAAATCTTCACAGAGGTCCACATATCAACTTGCAGAATCCAAAGAAAGAGAGTTTCAAAACTGCTCCATCAACAGGATTGTTCACCTCTGTGAGTTGAATGCAGTCATCACAGGAAACATTCTGAGAATGCTTCTGTCTAGGTTTGATGTGAAGATATACCCGTTTCGAAGGAAGGCCACAAAGTGGTCCAAATATCCACTTGCAGATTCTACAAAAAGAGTGTTTGAAAGCTGAACTATGAAAGCAAGGTTCAACTCTGTGAGTTGAATGCAAACATCACAAAGAAGTTTCTCAGAATGCTTCCGTGTAGTTCTGGGAAGTTTATCCCGTTTCCAACGAAATCCTCAGAGAGGTCCAAATATCCACTTGCAGATTCTACAGAAAGTGTGTTTGGAAACTGCTCCATCTAAAGGAATGTTCAGCTCTGTTAGTTCAATCCAATGATCACTAAGAATTGTCTGTGAATGCTTCCGTTTGGTTTTTAGATGAAGTTATTTCCTTTACTGCAGTAGGCCTCAAAGCATTCCAAATCTCGAATCGCAGATTCTACAAAAAGATTGTTTACAACCTGCTCTATCTATAGGAATGTTCAACTCTGTGAGTCGAATGCAATCATCACAAAGTAGTTTCTGAGAATGCTTCCATCTAGTTTTTATGTGAAGATTTTCCTTTTCCACCACAGGCCCCAAAGCCCTCCAAATGTCCACTTGCAGATTCTAGAATAAGAGGGTTTCAGAGCTGCTCTGTCAAGAGGAAAGTTCAATTGCTGAAGTGGAACACAAACATCACAAAGCAGTTTCTGAGAATGCTTCTGTTTAGTTTTTCTGTGAAGATGAACCCGTTTCCAACGAAATCTTCACAGAGGTCCACATATCCACTTGCAGAATCCAAAGAAAGAGAGTTTCAAAACTGCTCCATCAGCAGGATTGTTCACCTCTGTGAGTTGAATGCAGTCATCACAGGAAACATTCTGAGAATGCTTCTGTCTAGGTTTGATGTGAAGATATACCCGTTTCAAAGGAAGGCCACAAAGTGTTCCAAATATCCACTTGCAGATTCTACAAAAAGAGTGTTTGAAAGCTGAACTATGAAAGCAAGGTTCAACTCTGTGAGTTGAATGCAAACATCACAAAGAAGTTTCTCACAATGCTTCCGTGTAGTTCTGGGAAGTATATCCCGTTTCCAACGAAATCCTCAGAGAATTCCAAATATCCACTTGCAGATTCTACAGAAAGTGGGTTTGGAAACTGCTCCATCTAAAGGAATGTTCAGCTCTGTTAGTTCAATGCAATGATCACTAAGAATTGTCTGTGAATGCTTCCGTTTGGTTTTTAGATGAATTTATTTCCTTTACTACAGTAGGCCTCAAAGCAGTCCAAATCTCCAATCGCAGATTCTACAAAAAGATTGTTTACAACCTGCTCTATCTATAGGAATGTTCAACTCTGTGAGTCGAATGCAATCATCACAAAGTAGTTTCTGAGAATGCTTCCATCTAGTTTTTATGTGAAGGTTTTCCTTTTCCACCACAGGCCTCAAAGCCCTCCAAATGTCCACTTGCAGATTCTAGAAAAAGAGGGTTTCAGAGCTGCTCTGTCAAGAGGAAAGTTCAATTCCCTGAAGTGGAACAAAAACATCACAAAGCAGTTTCTGAGAATGCTTCTGTTTAGTTTTTCTGTGAAGATGAACCCGTTTCCAACGAAATCTTCACAGAGGTCCACATATCCACTTGCAGAATCCAAAGAAAGAGAGTTTCAAAACTGCTCCATCAGCAGGATTGTTCACCTCTGTGAGTTGAATGCAGTCATCACAGGAAACATTCTGAGAATGCTTCTGTCTAGGTTTGATGTGAAGATATACCCGTTTCGAAGGAAGGCCACAAAGTGGTCCAAATATCCACTTGCAGATTCTACAAAAAGAGTGTTTGAAAGCTGAACTATGAAAGCAAGGTTCAACTCTGTGAGTTGAATGCAAACATCACAAAGAAGTTTCTCACAATGCTTCCGTGTAGTTCTGGGAAGTTTATCCCGTTTCCAACGATATCCTCAGAGAAGTCCAAATATCCACTTGCAGATTCTACAGAAAGTGTGTTTGGAAACTGCGCCATCTAAAGGAATGTTCAGCTCTGTTAGTTCAATGCAATGATCACTAAGAATTGTCTGTGAATGCTTCCGTTTGGTTTTTAGATGAAGTTATTTCCTTTACTACAGTAGGCCTCAAAGCAGTCCAAATCTCCAATCGCAGATTCTACAAAAAGATTGTTTACAACCTGCTCTATGTATAGGAATGTTCAACTCTGTGAGTCGAATGCAATCATCACAAAGTAGTTTCTGAGAATGCTTCCATCTAGTTTTTATGTGAAGATTTTCCTTTTCCACCACAGGCCTCAAAGCCCTCCAAATGTCCACTTGCAGATTCTAGAAAAAGAGGGTTTCAGAGCTGCTCTGTCAAGAGGAAAGCTCAATTCCTGAAGTGGAACACAAACATCACAAAGCAGTTTCTGAGAATGCTTCTGTTTAGTTTTTCTGTGAAGATGAACCCGTTTCCAACGTAATTTTCACAGAGGTCCACATATCCACTTGCAGAATCCAAAGAAAGAGAGTTTCAAAACTGCTCCATCAGAAGGATTGTTCACCTCTGTGAGTTGAATGCAGTCATCACAGGAAACATTCTGAGAATGCTTCTGTCTAGGTTTGATGTGAAGATATACCCTTTTCGAAGGAAGGCCACAAAGTGGTCCAAATATCCACTTGCAGATTCTACAAAAAGAGTGTTTGAAAGCTGAACTTTGAAAGCAAGTTTCAAATCTGTGAGTTGAATGCAAACATCACAAAGAAGTTTCTCAGAATGCTTCCGTGTAGTTCTGGGAAGTATATCCCGTTTCCAACGAAATCCTCAGAGAGGTCCAAATATCCACTTGCCGATTCTACAGAAAGTGTGTTTGGAAACTGCTCCATCTAAAGGAATGTTCAGCTCTGTTAGTTTAATCCAATGATCACTAAGCATTGTCTGTGAATGCTTCCGTTTGGTTTTTAGATGAAGTTATTTCCTTTACTACAGTAGGCCTCAAAGCAGTCCAAATCTCCAATCGCAGATTCTACAAAAAGATTGTTTACAACCTGCTCTATCTATAGGAATGTTCAACTCTGTGAGTCGAATGCAATCATCACAAAGGAGTTTGTGAGAATGCTTCCATCTAGTTTTTATGTGAAGATTTTCCTTTTCCACCACAGGCCTCAAAGCCCTCCAAATGTCCACTTGCAGATTCTAGAAAAAGAGGGTTTCAGAGCTGCTCTGTCAAGAGGAAAGTTCAATTCTTGAAGTGGAACACAAACATCACAAAGCAGTTTCTGAGAATGCTCCTGTTTAGTTTTTCTGTGAAGATGAACCCGTTTCCAACGAAATCTTCACAGAGGTCCACATATCCACTTGCAGAATCCAAAGAAAGAGAGTTTCAAAACTGCTCCATCAGCAGGATTGTTCACCTCTGTGAGTTGAATGCAGTCATCACAGGAAACATTCTGAGAATGCTTCTGTCTAGGTTTGATGTGAAGATATACCCGTTTCGAAGGAAGGCCACAAAGTGGTCCAAATATCCACTTGCAGATTCCACAAAAAGAGTGTTTGAAAGCTGAAGTATGAAAGCAAGGTTCAACTCTGTGAGTTGAATGCAAACATCACAAAGAAGTTTCTCACAATGCTTCCGTGTAGTTCTGGGCAGTTTATCCCGTTTCCAACGAAATCCTCAGAGAAGTCCAAATATCCACTTGCAGATTCTACAGAAAGTGTGTTTGGAAACTGCGCCATCTAAAGGAATATTCAGCTCTGTTAGTTCAATGCAATGGTCACTAAGAATTGTCTGTGAATGCTTCCGTTTGGTTTTTAGATGAAGTTATTTCCTTTACTACAGTAGGCCTCAAAGCAGTCCAAATCTCCAATCGCAGATTCTACAAAAAGATTGTTTACAACCTGCTCTATCTATAGGAATGTTCAACTCTGTGAGTCGAATGCAATCATCACAAAGTAGTTTCTGAGAATGCTTCCATCTAGTTTTTATGTGAAGATTTTCCTTTTCCACCACAGGCCTCAAAGCCCTCCAAATGTCCACTTGCAGATTCTAGAAAAAGAGGGTTTCAGAGCTGCTCTGTCAAGAGGAAAGTTCAATTCCTGAAGTGGAACACAAACATCACAAAGCAGTTTCTGAGAATGCTTCTTTTTAGTTTTTCTGTGAAGATGAACCCGTTTCCAACGAAATCTTCACAGAGGTCCACATATCCACTTGCAGAATCCAAAGAAAGAGAGTTTCAAAACTGCTCCATCAGCAGGATTGTTCACCTCTGTGAGTTGAATGCAGTCATCACAGGAAACATTCTGAGAATGCTTCTGTCTAGGTTTGATGTGAAGATATACCCGTTTCGAAGGAAGGCCACAAAGTGGTCCAAATATCCACTTGCAGATTCTACAAAAAGAGTGTTTGAAAGCTGAACTATGAAAGCAAGGTTCAACTCTGTGAGTTGAATGCAAACATCACAAAGAAGTTTCTCACAATGCTTCCGTGTAGTTCTGGGAAGTTTATCCCGTTTCCAACGAAATCCTCAGAGAAGTCCAAATATCCACTTGCAGATTCTACAGAAAGTGTGTTTGGAAACTGCGCCATCTAAAGGAATGTTCAGCTCTGTTAGTTCAATGCAATGATCACTAAGAATTGTCTGTGAATGCTTCCGTTTGGTTTTTAGATGAAGTTATTTCCTTTACTACAGTAGGCCTCAAAGCAGTCCAAATCTCCAATCGCAGATTCTACAAAAAGATTGTTTACAACCTGCTCTATCTATAGGAATGTTCAACTCTGTGAGTCGAATGCAATCATCACAAAGTAGTTTCTGAGAATGCTTCCATCTAGTTTTTATGTGAAGATTTTCCTTTTCCACCACAGGCCTCAAAGCCCTCCAAATGTCCACTTGCAGATTCTAGAAAAAGAGGGTTTCAGAGTTGCTCTGTCAAGAGGAAAGTTCAATTCCTGAAGTGGAACACAAACATCACAAAGCAGTTTCTGAGAATGCTCCTGTTTAGTTTTTCTGTGAAGATGAACCCTTTTCCAACGAAATCTTCACAGAGGTCCACATATCCACTTGCAGAATCCAAAGAAAGAGAGTTTCAAAACTGCTCCATCAGCAGGATTGTTCACCTCTGTGAGTTGAATGCAGTCATCACAGGAAACATTCTGAGAATGCTTCTGTCTAGGGTTTGATGTGAAGATATACCCGTTTCGAAGGAAGGCCACAAAGTGGTCGAAATATCCACTTGCAGATTCTACAAAAAGAGTGTTTGAAAGCTGAACTATGAAAGCAAGGTTCAACTCTGTGAGTTGAATGCAAACATCACAAAGAAGTTTCTCAGAATGCTTCCGTGTAGTTCTGGGAAGTTTATCCCGTTTCCAACGAAATCCTAAGAGAGGTCGAAATATCCACTTGCAGATTCTACAGAAAGTGTGTTTGGAAACTGCGCCATCTAAAGGAATGTTCAGCTCTGTTAGTTCAATGCAATGATCACTAAGAATTGTCTGTGAATGCTTCCGTTTGGTTTTTAGGTGAAGTTATTTCCTTTACTACAGTAGGCCTCAAAGCAGTCCAAATCTCCAATCGCAGATTCTACAAAAAGATTGTTTACAACCTGCTCTATCTATAGGAATGTTCAACTCTGTGAGTCGAATGCAATCATCACAAAGTAGTTTCTGAGAATGCTTCCATCTAGTTTTTATGGGAAGATTTTCCTTTTCCACCACAGGCCTCAAAGCCCTCCAAATGTCCACTTGCAGATTCTAGAAAAAGAGGGTTTCAGAGCTGCTCTGTCAAGAGGAAAGTTCAATTCTTGAAGTGGAACACAAACATCACAAAGCAGTTTCTGAGAATGCTCCTGTTTAGTTTTTCTGTGAAGATGAACCCGTTTCCAACGAAATCTACACAGAGGTCCACATATCCACTTGCAGAATCCAAAGAAAGAGAGTTTCAAAACTGCTCCATCAGCAGGATTGTTCACCTCTGTGAGTTGAATGCAGTCATCACAGGAAACATTCTGAGAATGCTTATGTCTAGGTTTGATGTGAAGATATACCCGTTTCGAAGGAAGGCCACAAAGTGGTCCAAATATCCACTTGCAGATTCTACAAAAAGAGTGTTTGAAAGCTGAACTATGAAAGCAAGGTTCAACTCTGTGAGTTGAATGCAAACATCACAAAGAAGTTTCTCACAATGCTTCCGTGTAGTTCTGGGAAGTTTATCCCGTTTCCAACGAAATCCTCAGAGAGGTCCAAATATCCACTTGCAGATTCTACAGAAAGTGTGTTTGGAAAATGCTCCATCTAAAGGAATGTTCAGCTCTGTTAGTTCAATCCAATGATCACTAAGAATTGTCTGTGAATGCTTCCGTTTGGTTTTTAGATGAAGTTATTTCCTTTACTACAGTAGGCCTCAAAGCAGTCCAAATCTCCAATCGCAGATTCTACAAAAAGATTGTTTACAACCTGCTCTATCTATAGGAATGTTCAACTCTGTGAGTCGAATGCAATCATCACAAAGTAGTTTCTGAGAATGCTTCCATCTAGTTTTTATGTGAAGATTTTCCTTTTCCACCACAGGCCTCAAAGCCCTCCAAATGTCCACTTGCAGATTCTAGAAAAGGAGGGTTTCAGAGCTGCTCTGTCAAGAGGAAAGTTCAATTCTTTAGGTGGAACACAAACATCACAAAGCAGTTTCTGAGAATGCTCCTGTTTAGTTTTTCTGTGAAGATGAACCCGTTTCCAACGAAATCTTCACAGAGGTCCACATATCCACTTGCAGAATCCAAAGAAAGAGAGTTTCAAAACTGCTCCATCAGCAGGATTGTTCACCTCTGTGAGTTGAATGCAGTCATCACAGGAAACATTCTGAGAATGCTTCTGTCTAGGTTTGATGTGAAGATATACCCGTTTCGAAGGAAGGCCACAAAGTGGTCCAAATATCCACTTGCAGATTCCACAAAAAGAGTGTTTGAAAGCTGAACTATGAAAGCAAGGTTCAACTTTGTGAGTTGAATGCAAACATCACAGAGAAGTTTCTCACAATGCTTCCGTGTAGTTCTGGGAAGTTTATCCCGTTTCCAACGAAATCCTCAGAGTAGGTCCAAATATCCACTTGCAGATTCTACAGAAAGTGTGTTTGGAAACTGCGCCATCTAAAGGAATGTTCAGCTCTGTTAGTTCAATGCAATGATCACTAAGAATTGTCTGTGATTGCTTCCGTTTGGTTTTTAGATGAAGTTATTTCCTTTACTACAGTAGGCCTCAAAGCAGTCCAAATCTCCAATCGCAGATTCTACAAAAAGATTGTTTACAACCTGCTCTATCTATAGGAATGTTCAACTCTGTGAGTCGAATGCAATCATCACAAAGTAGTTTCTGAGAATGCTTCCATCTAGTTTGTATGTGAAGATTTTCCTTTTCCACCACAGGCCTCAAAGCCTTCCAAATGTCCACTTGCAGATTCTAGAATAAGAGGGTTTCAGAGCTGCTCTGTCAAGAGGAAAGTTCAATTCTTGAAGTGGAACACAAACATCACAAAGCAGTTTCTGAGAATGCTTCTGTTTAGTTTTTCTGTGAAGATGAACCCGTTTCCAACGAAATCTTCACAGAGGTCCACATATCCACTTGCAGAATCCAAAGAAAGAGAGTTTCAAAACTGCTCCATCAGCAGGATTGTTCACCTCTGTGAGTTGAATGCAGTCATCACAGGAAACATTCTGAGAATGCTTCTGTCTAGGTTTGATGTGAAGATATACCCGTTTCGAAGGAAGGCCACAAAGTGGCCCAAATATCCACTTGCAGATTCTACAAAAGGAGTGTTTGAAAGCTGAACTATGAAAGCAAGGTTCAACTCTGTGAGTTGAATGCAAACATCACAAAGAAGTTTCTCAGAATGCTTCCGTGTAGTTCTGGGAAGTTTATCCCGTTTCCAACGAAATCCTCAGAGAAGTCCAAATATCCACTTGCAGATTCTACAGAAAGTGGGTTTGGAAACTGCTCCATCTAAAGGAATATTCAGCTCTGTTAGTTCAATCCAATGATCACTAAGAATTGTCTGTGAATGCTTCCGTTTGGTTTTTAGATGAAGTTATTTCCTTTACTACAGTAGGCCTCAAAGCAGTCCAAATCTCCAATCGCAGATTCTACAAAAAGATTGTTTACAACCTGCTCTATCTATAGGAATGTTCAACTCTGTGAGTCGAATGCAATCATCACAAAGTAGTTTCTGAGAATGCTCCATCTAGTTTTTATGTGAAGATTTTCCTTTTCCACCACAGGCCTCAAAGCCCTCCAAATGTCAACTTGCAGATTCTAGAATAAGAGTGTTGCAGAGCTGCTCTGTCAAGAGGAAAGTTCAATTCCTGAAGTGGAACACAAACATGACAAAGCAGTTTCTGAGAATGCTTTCTGTCTAGTTTTTCTGTGAAGATGAACCCGTTTCAAACGAAATCTTCACAGAGGTCCACATATCCACTTGCAGAATCCAAAGAAAGAGAGTTTCAAAACTGCTCCATCAACAGGATTGTTCACCTCTGTGAGTTGAATGCAGTCATCACGAGGAAACATTCTGAGAATGCTTCTGTCTAGGTTTGATGTGAAGATATACCCGTTTCGAAGGAAGGCCACAAACTGGTCCAAATATAAACTTGAAGATTCTACAAAAAGAGTGTTTGAAAGCTGAACTATGAAAGCAAGGTTCAACTCTGTGCGTTGAATGCAAATATCACAAAGAAGTTTCTCAGAATGCTTCCGTGTAGTTCTGGGAAGTTTATCCCGTTTCCAACGAAATCCTCAGAGAGGTCCAAATATCCAGTTGCAGATTCTACAGAAAGTGTGTTTGGAATCTGCTCCATCTAAAGGAATGTTCAACTCTGTTAGTTCAATCCAATGATCACTAAGAATTTTCTGTGAATGCTTCCGTTTGGTTTTTAGATGAAGTTATTTCCTTTACTACAGTAGGCCTCAAAGCAGTCCAAATCTCCAATCGCAGATTCTACAAAAAGATTGTTTACAACCTGCTCTATCTATAGGAATGTTCAACTCTGTGAGTCGAATGCAATCATCACAAAGTAGTTTCTGAGAATGCTTCCATCTAGTTTTTAAGTGAAGATTTTCCTTTTCCACCACAGGCCTCAAAGCCCTCCAAATGTCCACTTGCAGATTCTAGAATAAGAGGGTTTCAGAGCTGCTCTGTCAAGAGGAAAGTTGAATTCCTGAAGTGGAACACAAACATCACAAAGCAGTTTCTGAGAATGCTTCTGTTTAGTTTTTCTGTGAAGATGAACCCGTTTCCAACGAAATCTTCACAGAGGTCCACATATCCACTTGCAGAATCCAAAGATGGAGAGTTTCAAAACTGCTCCATCAGCAGGATTGTTCACCTCTGTGAGTTGAATGCAGTCATCACAGGAAACATTCTGAGAATGCTTCTGTCTAGGTTTGATGTGAAGATATACCCGTTTCGAAGGAAGGCCACAAAGTGGTCCAAATATCCACTTGCAGATTCTACAAAAAGAGTGTTTGAAAGCTGAACTATCAAAGCAAGGTTCAACTCTGTGAGTTGAATGCAAACATCACAAAGAAGTTTCTCAGAATGCTTCCGTGTAGTTCTGGGAAGTTTATCCTGTTTCCAACGAAATCCTCAGAGAGGTCCAAATATCCAGCTGCAGATTCTACAGAAAGTGTGTTTGGAAACTGCGCCATCTAAAGGAATGTTCAGCTCTGTTGGTTCAATCCAATGATCACTAAGAATTGTCTGTGAATGCTTCCGTTTGGTTTTTAGATGAAGTTATTTCCTTTACTACAGTAGGCCTCAAAGCAGTCCAAATCTCCAATCGCAGATTCTACAGAAAGATTGTTTACAACCTGCTCTATCTATAGGAATGTTCAACTCTGTGAGTCGAATGCAATCATCACAAAGTAGTTTCTGAGAATGCTTCCATCTAGTTTTTATGTGAAGATTTTCCTTTTCCACCACAGGCCTCAAAGCCCTCCAAATGTCCACTTGCAGATTTTAGAAAAAGAGGTTTTCAGAGCTGCTCTGTCAAGAGGAAAGTTCAATTCCTGAAGTGGAACACAAACATCACAAAGCAGTTTCTGAGAATGCTCCTGTTTAGTTTTTCTGTGAAGATGAACCCGTTTCCAACGAAATCTTCACAGAGGTCCACATATCCACTTGCAGAATCCAAAGAAAGAGAGTTTCAAAACTGCTCCATCAGCAGGATTGTTCACCTCTGTGAGTTGAATGCAGTCATCACAGGAAACATTCTGAGAATGCTTCTGTCTAGGTTTGATGTGAAGATATACCCGTTTCGAAGGAAGGCCACAAAGTGGTCCAAATATCCACTTGCAGATTCTACAAAAAGAGTGTTTGAAAGCTGAACTATGAAAGCAAGGTTCAACTCTGTGAGTTGAATGCAAACATCACAAAGAAGTTTCTCAGAATGCTTCCGTGTAGTTCTGGGAAGTTTATCCCGTTTCCAACGAAATCATCAGAGAGGTCCAAATATCCACTTGCAGATTCTACAGAAAGTGTGTTTGGAAACTGCGCCATCTAAAGGAATGTTCAGCTCTGTTAGTTCAATGCAATGATCACTAGGAATTGTCTGTGAATGCTTCCGTTTGGTTTTTAGATGAAGTTATTTCCTTTACTACAGTAGGCCTCAAAGCAGTCCAAATCTCCAATCTCAGATTCTACAAAAAGATTGTTTACAACCTGCTCTATCTATAGGAATGTTCAACTCTGTGAGTCGAATGCAATCATCACAAAGTAGTTTCGGAGAATGCTTCCATCTAGTTTTTATGTGAAGATTTTCCTTTTCCACCACAGGCCTCAAAGCCCTCCAAATGTCCACTTGCAGATTCTAGAAAAAGAGGGTTTCAGAGCTGCTCTGTCAAGAGGAAAGTTCAATTCTTGAAGTGGAACACAAACATCACAAAGCAGTTTCTGAGAATGCTCCTGTTTAGTTTTTCTGTGAAGATGAACCCGTTTCCAACGAAATCTTCACAGAGGTCCACAAATCCACTTGCAGAATCCAAAGAAAGAGAGTTTCAAAACTGCTCCATCAGCAGGATTGTTCACCTCTGTGAGTTGAATGCAGTCATCACAGGAAACATTCTGAGAATGCTTCTGTCTAGGTTTGATGTGAAGATATACCCGTTTCGAAGGAAGGCCACAAAGTGGTCCAAATATCCACTTGCAGATTCTACAAAAAGAGTGTTTGAAAGCTGAACTATGAAAGCAAGGTTCAACCCTGTGAGTTGAATGCAAACATCACAAAGAAGTTTCTCAGAATGCTTCCGTGTAGTTCTGGGAAGTTTATCCCGTTTCCAACGAAATCCTCAGAGAGGTCCAAATATCCACTTGCAGATTCTACAGAAAGTGTGTTTGAAAACTGCTCCATCTAAAGGAATGTTCAGCTCTGTTAGTTCAATCCAATGATCACTAAGAATTGTCTGTGAATGCTTCCGTTTGGTTTTTAGATGAAGTTATTTCCTTTACTACAGTAGGCCTCAAAGCAGTCCAAATCTCCAATCGCAGATTCTACAAAAAGATTGTTTACAACCTGCTCTATCTATAGGAATGTTCAACTCTGTGAGTCGAATGCAATCATCACAAAGTAGTTTCTGAGAATGCTTCCATCAAGTTTTTATGTGAAGATTTTCCTTTTCCACCACAGGCCTCAAAGCCCTCCAAATGTCCACTTGCAGATTCTAGAAAAAGAGGGTTTCAGAGCTGCTCTGTCAAGAGGAAAGTTCAATTCTTGAAGTGGAACACAAACATCACAAAGCAGTTTCTGAGAATGCTCCTGTTTAGTTTTTCTGTGAAGATGAACCCGTTTCCAACGAAATCTTCACAGAGGTCCACATATCCACTTGCAGAATCCAAAGAAAGAGAGTTTCAAAACTGCTCCAACAGCAGGATTGTTCACCTCTGTGAGTTGAATGCAGTCATCACAGGAAACATTCTGAGAATGCTTCTGTCTAGGTTTGATGTGAAGATATACCCTTTTCAAAGGAAGGCCACAAAGTGGTCCAAATATCCACTTGCAGATTCTACAAAAAGAGTGTTTGAAAGCTGAACTATGAAAGCAAGGTTCAACTCTGTGAGTTGAATGCAAACATCACAAAGAAGTTTCTCACAATGCTTCCGTGTAGTTCTGGGAAGTTTATCCCGTTTCCAACGAAATCCTCAGAGAGGTCCAAATATCCACTTGCAGATTCTACAGAAAGTGTGTTTGGAAACTGCGCCATCTAAAGGAATGTTCAGCTCTGTTAGTTCAATGCAATGATCACTAAGAATTGTCTGTGAATGCTTCCGTTTGGTTTTTAGATGAAGTTATTTCCTTTACTACAGTAGGCCTCAAAGCAGTCCAAATCTCCAATCGCAGATTCTAGAAAAAGATTGTTTACAACCTGCTCTATCTATAGGAATGTTCAACTCTGTGAGTCGAATGCAATCATCACAAAGTAGTTTCTGAGAATGCTTCCATCTAGTTTTTATGTGAAGATTCTCCTTTTCCACCACAGGCCTCAAAGCCCTCCAAATGTCCACTTGCAGATTCTAGAATAAGAGGGTTTCAGAGCTGCTCTGTCAAGAGGAAAGTTCAATTCTTGAAGTGGAACACAAACATCACAAAGCAGTTTCTGAGAATGCTTCTGTTTAGTTTTTCTGTGAAGATGAACCCGTTTCCAACGAAATCTTCACAGAGGTCCACATATCCACTTGCAGAATCCAAAGAAAGAGAGTTCCAAAACTGCTCCATCAGCAGGATTGTTCACCTCTGTGAGTTGAATGCAGTCATCACAGGAAACATTCTGAGAATGCTTCTGTCTAGGTTTGATGTGAAGATATACCCGTTTGGAAGGAAGGCCAAAAATTGGTCCAAATATCCACTTGCAGATTCTACAAAAAGAGTGTTTGAAAGCTGAACTATGAAAGCAAGGTTCAACTCTGTGAGTTGAATGCAAACATCACAAAGAAGTTTCTCAGAATGCTTCCGTGTAGTTCTGGGAAGTTTAGACCGTTTCCAACGAAATCCTCAGAGAGGTCCAAATATCCAGTGGCAGATTCTACAGAAAGTGTGTTTGGAAACTGCGCCATCTAAAGGAATGTTCAGCTCTGTTAGTTCAATCCAATGATCACTAAGAATTGTCTGTGAATGCTTCCGTTTGGTTTTTAGATGAAGTTATTTCCTTTACTACAGTAGGCCTCAAAGCACTCCAAATCTCCAATCGCAGATTCTACAAAAAGATTGTTTACAACCTGCTCTATCTATAGGAATGTTCAACTCTGTGAGTCGAATGCAATCATCACAAAGTAGTTTCTGAGAATGCTTCCATCTAGTTTTTATGTGAAGATTTTCCTTTTCCACCACAGGCCTCAAAGCCCTCCAAATGTCCACTTGCAGATTCTAGAAAAAGAGGGTTTCAGAGCTGCTCTGTCAAGAGGAAAGTTCAATTCTTGAAGTGGAACACAAACATCACAAAGCAGTTTCTGAGAATGCTCCTGTTTAGTTTTTCTGTGAAGATGAACCCGTTTCCAACGAAATCTTCACAGAGGTCCACATATCCACTTGCAGAATCCAAAGAAAGAGAGTTTCAAAACTGCTCCATCAGCAGGATTGTTCACCTCTGTGAGTTGAATGCAGTCATCACAGGAAACATTCTGAGAATGCTTCTGTCTAGGTTTGATGTGAAGATATACCCGTTTCGAAGGAAGGCCAGAAAGTGGTCCAAATATCCACTTGCAGATTCTACAAAAAGAGTGTTTGAAAGCTGAACTATGAAAGCAAGGTTCAACTCTGTGAGTTGAATGCAAACATCACAAAGAAGTTTCTCAGAATGCTTCCGTGTAGTTCTGGGAAGTTTATCCCGTTTCCAACGAAATCCTCAGAGAGGTCCAAATATCCACTTGCAGATTCTACAGAAAGTGTGTTTGGAAACTGCGCCATCTAAAGGAATGTTCAGCTCTGTTAGTTCAATGCAATGATCACTAAGAATTGTCTGTGAATGCTTCCGTTTGGTTTTTAGATGAAGTTATTTCCTTTACTACAGTAGGCTTCAAAGCAGTCCAAATCTCCAATCGCAGATTCTACAAAAAGATTGTTTACAACCTGCTCTATCTATAGGAATGTTCAACTCTGTGAGTCGAATGCAATCATCACAAAGTAGTTTCTGAGAATGCTTCCATCTAGTTTTTATGTGAAGATTTTCCTTTTCCACCACAGGCCTCAAAGCCCTCCAAATGTCCACTTGCAGATTCTAGAAAAAGAGGGTTTCAGAGCTGCTCTGTCAAGAGGAAAGTTCAATTCTTGAAGTGGAACACAAACATCACAAAGCAGTTTCTGAGAATGCTCCTGTTTAGTTTTTCTGTGAAGATGAACCCGTTTCCAACGAAATCTTCACAGAGGTCCACATATCCACTTGCAGAATCCAAAGAAAGAGAGTTTCAAAACTGCTCCATCAGCAGGATTGTTCACCTCTGTGAGTTGAATGCAGTCATCACAGGAAACATTCTGAGAATGCTTCTGTCTAGGTTTGATGTGAAGATATACCCGTTTCGAAGGAAGGCCACAAAGTGGTCCAAATATCCACTTGCAGATTCTACAAAAAGAGGGTTTGAAAGCTGAACTATGAAAGCAAGGTTCAACTCTGTGAGTTGAATGCAAACATCACAAAGAAGTTTCTCAGAATGCTTCCGTGTAGTTCTGGGAAGTTTATCCCGTTTCCAACGAAATCCTCAGAGAGGTCCAAATATCCACTTGCAGATTCTACAGAAAGTGTGTTTGGAAACTGTGCCATCTAAAGGAATGTTCAGCTCTGTTAGTTCAATCCAATAATCACTAAGAATTGTCTGTGAATGCTTCCGTTTGGTTTTTAGATGAAGTTATTCCCTTTACTACAGTAGGCCTCAAAGCAGTCCAAATCTCCAATCGCAGATTCTACAAAAAGATTGTTTACAACCTGCTCTATATATAGGAATGTTCAACTCTGTGAGTCGAATGCAATCATCACAAAGTAGTTTGTGAGAATTCTTCCATCTAGTTTTTATGTGAAGATTTTCCTTTTCCACCACAGGCCTCAAAGCCCTCCAAATGTCCACTTGCAGATTCTAGAAAAAGAGGGTTTCAGAGCTGCTCTGTCAACAGGAAAGTTCAATTCCTGAAGTGGAACACAAACATCACAAAGCAGTTTCTGAGAATGCTCCTGTTTAGTTTTTCTGTGAAGATGAACCCGTTTCCAACGAAATCTTCACAGAGGTCCACATATCCACTTGCAGAATCCAAAGAAAGAGAGTTTCAAAACTGCTCCATCAGCAGGATTGTTCACCTCTGTGAGTTGAATGCAGTCATCACAGAAAACATTCTGAGAATGCTTCTGTCTAGGTTTGATGTGAAGATATACCCGTTTCGAAGGAAGGCCACAAAGTGGTCCAAATATCAACTTGCAGATTCTACAAAAAGAGTGTTTGAAAGCTGAACTATGAAAGCAAGGTTCAACTCTGTGAGTTGAATGCAAACATCACTAAGAAGTTTCTCAGAATACTTCCGTGTAGTTCTGGGAAGTTTATCCCGTTTCCAACGAAATCCTCAGAGAGGTCCAAATATCCACTTGCAGATTCTACAGAAAGTGTGTTTGGAAACTGCGCCATCTAAAGGAATGTTCAGCTCTGTTAGTTCAATGCAATGATCACTAAGAATTGTCTGTGAATGCTTCCGTTTGGTTTTTAGATGAAGTTATTTCCTTTACTACAGTAGGCCTCAAAGCAGTCCAAATCTCCAATCGCAGATTCTACAAAAAGATTGTTTACAACCTGCTCTATGTATAGGAATGTTCAACTCTGTGAGTCGAATGCAATCATCACAAAGTAGTTTCTGAGAATGCTTCCATAAAGTTTTTATGTGAAGATTTTCCTTTTCCACCACAGGCCTCAAAGCCCTCCAAATGTCCACTTGCAGATTCTAGAAAAAGAGGGTTTCAGAGCTGCTCTGTCAAGAGGAAAGTTCAATTCTTTAAGTGGAACACAAACATCACAAAGCAGTTTCTGAGAATGCTCCTGTTTAGTTTTTCTGTGAAGATGAACCCGTTTCCAACGAATTCTTCACAGAGGTCCACATATCCACTTGCAGAATCCAAAGAAAGAGAGTTTCAAAACTGCTCCATCAGCAGGATTGTTCACCTCTGTGAGTTGAATGCAGTCATCACAGGAAACATTCTGAGAATGCTTCTGTCTAGGTTTGATGTGAAGATATACCCGTTTCGAAGGAAGGCCACAAAGTGGTCCAAATATCCACTTGCAGATTCTACAAAAAGAGTGTTTGAAAGCTGAACTATGAAAGCAAGGTTCAACTCTGTGAGTTGAATGCAAACATCACAAAGAAGTTTCTCACAATGCTTCCGTGTAGTTCTGGGAAGTTTATCCCGTTTCCAACGAAATCCTCAGAGAGCTCCAAATATCCACTTGCAGATTCTACAGAAAGTGTGTTTGGAAACTGCGCCATCTAAAGGAATGTTCAGCTCTGTTTGTTCAATCCAATGATCACTAAGAATTGTCTGTGAATGCTTCCGTTTGGTTTTTAGATGAAGTTATTTCCTTTACTACAGTAGGCCTCAAAGCAGTCCAAATCTCCAATCGCAGACTCTACAAAAAGATTGTTTACAACCTGCTCTATCTATAGGAATGTTCAACTCTGTGAGTCGAATGCAATCATCACAAAGTAGTTTCTGAGAATGCTTCCATCTAGTTTTTATGTGAAGATTTTCCTTTTCCACCACAGGCCTCAAAGCCCTCCAAATGTCCACTTGCAGATTCTAGAAAAAGAGGGTTTCAGAGCTGCTCTGTCAAGAGGAAAGTTCAATTCTTGAAGTGGAACACAAACATCACAAAGCAGTTTCTGAGAATGCTCCTGTTTAGTTTTTCTGTGAAGATGAACCCGTTTCCAACGAAATCTTCACAGAGGTCCACATATCAACTTGCAGAATCCAAAGAAAGAGAGTTTCAAAACTACTCCATCAACAGGATTGTTCACCTCTGTGAGTTGAATGCAGTCATCACAGGAAACATTCTGAGAATGCTTCTGTCTAGGTTTGATGTGAAGATATACCCGTTTCGAAGGAAGGCCACAAAGTGGTCCAAATATCCACTTGCAGATTCTACAAAAAGAGTGTTTGAAAGCTGAACTATGAAAGCAAGGTTCAACTCTGTGAGTTGAATGCAAACATCACAAAGAAGTTTCTCAGAATGCTTCCGTGTAGTTCTGGGAAGTTTATCCCGTTTCCAACGAAATCCTCAGAGAAGTCCAAATATCCACTTGCAGATTCTACAGAAAGTGTGTTTGGAAACTGCGCCATCTAAAGGAATGTTCAGCTCTGTTAGTTCAATGCAATGATCACTAAGAATTGTCTGTGAATGCTTCCGTTTGGTTTTTAGATGAAGTTATTTCCTTTACTACAGTAGGCCTCAAAGCAGTCCAAATCTCCAATCGCAGATTCTACAAAAAGATTGTTTACAACCTGCTCTATCTATAGGAATGTTCAACTCTGTGAGTCGAATGCAATCATCACAAAGTAGTTTCTGAGAATGCTTCCATCTAGTTTTTATGTGAAGATTTTCCTTTTCCACCACAGGCCTCAAAGCCCTCCAAATGTCCACTTGCAGATTCTAGAAAAAGAGGGTTTCATAGCTGCTCTGTCAAGAGGAAAGTTCAATTCTTGAAGTGGAACACAAAGATCACAAAGCAGTTTCTGAGAATGCTCCTGTTTAGTTTTTCTGTGAAGATGAACCCGTTTCCAACGAAATCTTCACAGAGGTCCACATATCCACTTGCAGAATCCAAAGAAAGAGAGTTTCAAAACTGCTCCATCAGCAGGATTGTTCACCTCTGTGAGTTGAATGCAGTCATCACAGGAAACATTCTGAGAATGCTTCTGTCTAGGTTTGATGTGAAGATATACCCGTTTCGAAGGAAGGCCAGAAAGTGGTCCAAATATCCACTTGCAGATTCTACAAAAAGAGTGTTTGAAAGCTGAACTATGAAAGCAAGGTTCAACTCTGTGAGTTGAATGCAAACATCACAAAGAAGTTTCTCAGAATGCTTCCGTGTAGTTCTGGGAAGTTTATCCCGTTTCCAACGAAATCCTCAGAGAAGTCCAAATATCCACTTGCAGATTCTACAGAAAGTGTGTTTGGAAACTGCTCCATCTAAAGGAATGTTCAGCTCTGTTAGTTCAATCCAATGATCACTAAGAATTGTCTGTGAATGCTTCCGTTTGGTTTTTAGATGAAGTTATTTCCTTTACTACAGTAGGCCTCAAAGCAGTCCAAATCTCCAATCGCAGATTCTACAAAAAGATTGTTTACAACCTGCTCTATCTATAGGAATGTTCAACTCTGTGAGTCGAATGCAATCATCACAAAGTAGTTTCTGAGAATGCTTCCATCTAGTTTTTAAGTGAAGATTTTCCTTTTCCACCACAGGCCTCAAAGCCCTCCAAATGTCCACTTGCAGATTCTAGAATAAGAGGGTTTCAGAGCTGCTCTGTCAAGAGGAAAGTTCAATTCTTGAAGTGGAACACAAACATCACAAAGCAGTTTCTGAGAATGCTTCTGTTTAGTTTTTCTGTGAAGATGAACCCGTTTCCAACGAAATCTTCACAGAGGTCCACATATCCACTTGCAGAATCCAAAGAAAGAGAGTTTCAAAACTGCTCCATCAGCAGGATTGTTCACCTCTGTGAGTTGAATGCAGTCATCACAGGAAACATTCTGAGAATGCTTCTGTCTAGGTTTGATGTGAAGATATACCCGTTTCGAAGGAAGGCCACAAAGTGGTCCAAATATCCACTTGCAGTTTCTACAAAAAGAGTGTTTGAAAGCTGAACTATGAAAGCAAGGTTCAACTCTGTGAGTTGAATGCAAACATCACAAAGAAGTTTCTCACAATGCTTCCGTGTAGTTCTGGGAAGTTTATCCCGTTTCCAACGAAATCCTCAGAGAGGTCCAAATATCCACTTGCAGATTCTACAGAAAGTGTGTTTGGAAACTGCTCCATCTAAAGGAATGTTCAGCTCTGTTAGTTCAATCCAATGATCACTAAGAATTGTCTGTGAATGCTTCCGTTTGGTTTTTAGATGAAGTTATTTCCTTTACTACAGTAGGCCTCAAAGCAGTCCAAATCTCCAATCGCAGATTCTACAAAAAGATTGTTTACAACCTGCTCTATCTATAGGAATGTTCAACTCTGTGAGTCGAATGCAATCATCACAAAGTAGTTTCTGAGAATGCTTCCATCTAGTTTTTATGTGAAGATTTTCCTTTTCCACCACAGGCCTCAAAGCCCTCCAAATGTCCACTTGCAGATTCTAGAAAAAGAGGGTTTCAGAGCTGCTCTGTCAAGAGGAAAGTTCAATTCTTGAAGTGGAACACAAACATCACAAAGCAGTTTCTGAGAATGCTCCTGTTTAGTTTTTCTGTGAAGATGAACCCGTTTCCAACGAAATCTTCACAGAGGTCCACATATCCACTTGCAGAATCCAAAGAAAGAGAGTTTCAAAACTGCTCCATCAACAGGATTGTTCGCCTCTGTGAGTTGAATGCAGTCATCACAGGAAACATTCTGGGAATGCTTCTGAATAGGTTTGATGTGAAGATATACCCGTTTCGAAGGAAGGCCACAAAGTGGTCCAAATATCCACTTGCAGATTCTACAAAAAGAGTGTTTGAAAGCTGAACTATGAAAGCAAGGTTCAACTCTGTGAGTTGAATGCAAACATCACAAAGAAGTTTCTCAGAATGCTTCCGTGTAGTTCTGGGAAGTTTATCCCGTTTCCAACGAAATCCTCAGAGAGGTCCAAATATCCACTTGCAGATTCTACAGAAAGTGTGTTTGGAAACTGCGCCATCTAAAGCAATGTTCAGCTCTGTTAGTTCAATGCAATGATCACTAAGAATTGTCTGTGAATGCTTCCGTTTGGTTTTTAGATGAAGTTATTTCCTTTACTACAGTAGGCCTCAAAGCAGTCCAAATCTCCAATCGCAGATTCTACAAAAAGATTGTTTACAACCTGCTCTATCTATAGGAATGTTCAACTCTGTGAGTCGAATGCAATCATCACAAAGTAGTTTCTGAGAATGCTTCCATCTAGTTTTTATGTGAAGAGTTTCCTTTTCCACCACAGGCCTCAAAGCCCTCCAAATGTCCACTTGCAGATTCTAGAATAAGAGGGTTTCAGAGCTGCTCTGTCAAGAGGAAAGTTCAATTCCTGAAGTGGAACACAAACATCACAAAGCAGTTTCTGAGAATGCTCCTGTTTAGTTTTTCTGTGAAGATGAACCCGTTTCCAACGAAATCTTCACAGAGGTCCACATATCCACTTGCAGAATCCAAAGAAAGAGAGTTTCAAAACTGCTCCATCAGCAGGATTGTTCACCTCTGTGAGTTGAATGCAGTCATCACAGGAAACATTCTGAGAATGCTTCTGTCTAGGTTTGATGTGAAGATATACCCGTTTCGAAGGAAGGCCACAAAGTGGTCCAAATATCCACTTGCAGATTCTACAAAAAGAGTGTTTGAAAGCTGAACTATGAAAGCAAGGTTCAACTCTGTGAGTTGAATGCAAACATCACAAAGAAGTTTCTCACAATGCTTCCGTGTAGTTCTGGGAAGTTTATCCCGTTTCCAACGAAATCCTCAGAGAGGTCCAAATATCCACTTGCAGATTCTTCAGAAAGTGTGTTTGGAAACTGCGCCATCTAAAGCAATGTTCAGCTCTGTTAGTTCAATGCAATGATCACTAAGAATTGTCTGTGAATGCTTCCGTTTGGTTTTTAGATGAAGTTATTTCCTTTACTACAGTAGGCCTCAAAGCAGTCCAAATCTCCAATCGCAGATTCTACAAAAAGATTGTTTACAACCTGCTCTATCTATAGGAATGTTCAACTCTGTGAGTCGAATGCAATCATCACAAAGTAGTTTCTGAGAATGCTTCCATCTAGTTTTTATGTGAAGATTTTCCTTTTCCACCACAGGCCTCAAAGCCCTCCAAATGTCCACTTGCAGATTCTAGAATAAGAGGGTTTCAGAGCTGCTCTGTCAAGAGGAAAGTTCAATTCCTGAAGTGGAACACAAACATCACAAAGCAGTTTCTGAGAATGCTTCTGTTTAGTTTTTCTGTGAAGATGAACCCGTTTCCAACGAAATCTTCACAGAGGTCCACATATCAACTTGCAGAATCCAAAGAAAGAGAGTTTCAAAAGTGCTCCATCAACAGGATTGTTCACCTCTGTGAGTTGAATGCAGTCATCACAGGAAACATTCTGAGAATGCTTCTGTCTAGGTTTGATGTGAAGATATACCCGTTTCGAAGGAAGGCCACAAAGTGGTCCAAATATCCACTTGCAGATTCTACAAAAAGAGTGTTTGAAAGCTGAACTATGAAAGCAAGGTTCAACTCTGTGAGTTGAATGCAAACATCACAAAGAAGTTTCTCAGCATGCTTCCGTGTAGTTCTGGGAAGTTTATCCCGTTTCCAACGAAATCCTCAGAGAGGTCCAAATATCCACTTGCAGATTCTACAGAAAGTGGGTTTGGAAACTGCGCCATCTAAAGCAATGTTCAGCTCTGTTTGTTCAATGCAATGATCACTAAGAATTGTCTGTGAATGCTTCCGTTTGGTTTTTAGATGAAGTTATTTCCTTTACTACAGTAGGCCTCAAAGCAGTCCAAATCTCCAATCGCAGATTCTACAAAAAGATTGTTTACAACCTGCTCTATCTATAGGAATGTTCAACTCTGTGAGTCGAATGCAATCATCACAAAGTAGTTTCTGAGAATGCTTCCATCTAGTTTTTATGTGAAGATTTTCCTTTTCCACCACAGGCCTCAAAGCCCTCCAAATGTCCACTTGCGGATTCTAGAAAAAGAGGGTTTCAGAGCTGCTCTGTCAAGAGGAAAGTTCAATTCTTGAAGTGGAACACAAACATCACAAAGCAGTTTCTGAGAATGCTTCTGTTTAGTTTTTCTGTGAAGATGAACCCGTTTCCAACGAAATCTTCACAGAGGTCCACATATCCACTTGCAGAATCCAAAGAAAGAGAGTTTCAAAAGTGCTCCATCAGCAGGATTGTTCACCTCTGTGAGTTGAATGCAGTCATCACAGGAAACATTCTGAGAATGCTTCTGTCTAGGTTTGATGTGAAGATATACCCGTTTCGAAGGAAGGCCACAAAGTGGTCCAAATATCCACTTGCAGATTCTACAAAAAGAGTGTTTGAAAGCTGAACTATGAAAGCAAGGTTCAACTCTGTGAGTTGAATGCAAACATCACAAAGAAGTTTCTCAGAATGCTTCCGTGTAGTTCTGGGAAGTTTATCCCGTTTCCAACGAAATCCTCAGAGAAGTCCAAATATCCACTTGCAGATTCTACAGAAAGTGGGTTTGGAAACTGCTCCATTTAAAGGAATGTTCAGCTCTGTTAGTTCAATCCAATAATCACTAAGAATTGTCTGTGAATGCTTCCGTTTGGTTTTTAGATGAAGTTATTTCCTTTACTACAGTAGGCCTCAAAGCAGTCCAAATCTCCAATCGCAGATTCTACAAAAAGATTGTTTACAACCTGCTCTATCTATAGGAATGTTCAACTCTGTGAGTCGAATGCAATCATCACAAAGTAGTTTCTGAGAATGCTTCCATCTAGTTTTTATGTGAAGATTTTCCTTTTCCACCACAGGCCTCAAAGCCCTCCAAATGTCCACTTGCAGATTCTAGAAAAAGAGGGTTTCAGAGCTGCTCTGTCAAGAGGAAAGTTCAATTCCTGAAGTGGAACACAAACATCACAAAGCAGTTTCTGAGAATGCTTCTGTTTAGTTTTTCTGTGAAGATGAACCCGTTTCCAACGAAATCTTCACAGAGGTCCACATATCAACTTGCAGAATCCAAAGAAAGAGAGTTTCAAAACTGCTCCATCAACAGGATTGTTCACCTCTGTGAGTTGAATGCAGTCATCACAGGAAACATTCTGAGAATGCTTCTGTCTAGGTTTGATGTGAAGATATACCCGTTTCAAAGGAAGGCCACAAAGTCGTCCAAATATCCACTTGCAGATTCTACAAAAAGAGTGTTTGAAAGCTGAACTATGAAAGCAAGGTTCAACTCTGTGAGTTGAATGCAAACATCACAAAGATGTTTCTCAGAATGCTTCCGTGTAGTTCTGGGAAGTTTATCCCGTTTCCAACGAAATCCTCAGAGAAGTCCAAATATCCACTTGCAGATTCTACAGAAAGTGTGTTTGGAAAATGCTCCATCTAAAGGAATGTTCACCTCTGTTAGTTCAATCCAATGATCACTAAGAATTGTCTGTGAATGCTGCCGTTTGGTTTTTAGATGAAGTTATTTCCGTTACTACAGTAGGCCTCAAAGCAGTCCAAATCTCCAATCGCAGATTCTACAAAAAGATTGTTTACAATCTGCTCTATCTATAGGAATGTTCTACTCTGTGAGTCGAATGCAATCATCACAAAGTAGTTTCTGAGAATGCTTCCATCTAGTTTTTATGTGAAGATTTTCCTTTTCCACCACAGGCCTCAAAGCCCTCCAAATGTCCACTTGCAGATTCTAGAAAAAGAGGGTTTCAGAGCTGCTCTGTCGAGAGGAAAGTTCAATTCCTGAAGTGGAACACAAACATCACAAAGCAGTTTCTGAGAATGCTCCTGTTTAGTTTTTCTGTGAAGATGAACCCGTTTCCAACGAAATCTTCACAGAGGTCCACATATCCACTTGCAGAATCCAAAGAAAGAGAGTTTCAAAACTGCTCCATCAGCAGGATTGTTCACCTCTGTGAGTTGAATGCAGTCATCACAGGAAACATTCTGAGAATGCTTCTGTCTAGGTTTGATGTGAAGATATACCCGTTTCGAAGGAAGGCCACAAAGTGGTCCAAATATCCACTTGCAGATTCTACAAAAAGAGTGTTTGAAAGCTGAACTATGAAAGCAAGGTTCAACTCTGTGAGTTGAATGCAAACATCACAAAGAAGTTTCTCACAATGCTTCCGTGTAGTTCTGGGAAGTTTATCCCGTTTCCAACGAAATCCTCAGAGAAGTCCAAATATCCACTTGCAGATTCTACAGAAAGTGGGTTTGGAAACTGCTCCATCTAAAGGAATGTTCAGCTCTGTTAGTTCAATGCAATGATCACTAAGAATTGTCTGTGAATGCTTCCGTTTGGTTTTTAGATGAAGTTATTTCCTTTACTACAGTAGGCCTCAAAGCTGTCCAAATCTCTAATCGCAGATTCTACAAAAAGATTGTTTACAACCTGGTCTCTCTATAGGAATGTTCAACTCTGTGAGTCGAATGCAATCATCACAAAGTAGTTTCTGAGAATGCTTCCATCTAGTTTTTATGTGAAGATTTTCCATTTCCACCACAGGCCTCAAAGCCCTCCAAATGTCCACTTGCAGATTCTAGAAAAAGAGGGTTTCAGAGCTGCTCTGTCAAGAGGAAAGTTCAATTCCTGAAGTGGAACACAAATATCACAAAGCAGTTTCTGAGAATGCTTCTGTTTAGTTTTTCTGTGAAGATGAACCCGTTTCCTACGAAATCTTCACAGAGGTCCACATATCCACTTGCAGAATCCAAAGAAAGAGAGTTTAAAAACTGCTCCATCAGCAGGATTGTTCACCTCTGTGAGTTGAATGCAGTCATCACAGGAAACATTCTGAGAAGGCTTCTGTCTAGGTTTGATGTGAAGATATACCCGTTTCGAAGGAAGGCCACAAAGTGGTCCAAATATCCACTTGCAGATTCTACAAAAAGAGTGTTTGAAAGCTGAACTATGAAAGCAAGGTTCAACTCTGTGAGTTGAATGCAAACATCACAAAGAAGTTTCTCACAATGCTTCCGTGTAGTTCTGGGAAGTTTATCCCGTTTCCAACGAAATCCTCAGAGAAGTCCAAATATCCACTTGCAGATTCTACAGAAAGTGTGTTTGGAAACTGCTCCATCTAAAGGAATGTTCAGCTCTGTTAGTTCAATCCAATGATCACTAAGAATTGTCTGTGAATGCTTCCGTTTGGTTTTTAGATGAAGTTATTTCCTTTACTACAGTAGGCCTCAAAGCAGTCCAAATCTCCAATCGCAGATTCTACAAAAAGATTGTTTACAACCTGCTCTATCGATAGGAATGTTCAACTCTGTGAGTCGAATGCAATCATCACAGAGTAGTTTCTGAGAATGCTTCCGTCTAGTTTTTATGTGAAGATTTTCCTTTTCCACCACAGGCCTCAAAGCCCTCCAAATGTCCACTTGCAGATTCTAGAAAAAGAGGGTTTCAGAGCTGCTCTGTCAAGAGGAAAGTTCAATTCTTGAAGTGGAACACAAACATCACAAAGCAGTTTCTGAGAATGCTCCTGTTTAGTTTTTCTGTGAAGATGAACCCGTTTCCAACGAAATCTTCACAGAGGTCCACATATCCACTTGCAGAATCCAAAGAAAGAGAGTTTCAAAACTGCTCCATCAGCAGGATTGTTCACCTCTGTGAGTTGAATGCAGTCATCACAGGAAACATTCTGAGAATGCTTCTGTCTAGGTTTGATGTGAAGATATACCCGTTTCGAAGGAAGGCCACAAAGTGGTCCAAATATCCACTTGCAGATTCTACAAAAAGAGTGTTTGAAAGCTGAACTATGAAAGCAAGGTTCAACTCTGTGAGTTGAATGAAAACATCACAAGGAAGTTTCTCAGAATGCTTCCCTGTAGTTCTGGGAAGTTTATCCCGTTTCCAACGAAATCCTCAGAGAAGTCCAAATATCCACTTGCAGATTCTACAGAAAGTGTGTTTGGAAACTGCTCCATCTAAAGGAATTTTCAGCTCTGTTAGTTCAATCCAATGATCACTAAGAATTGTCTGTGAATGCTTCCGTTTGGTTTTTAGATGAAGTTATTTCCTTTACTACAGTAGGCCTCAAAGCAGTCCAAATCTCCAATCGCATATTCTACAATAAGATTGTTTACATCCTGCTCTATCTATAGGAATGTTCAACCCTGTGAGTCGAATGCAATCATCACAAAGTAGTTTCTGAGAATGCTTCCATCTAGTTTTTATGGGAAGATTTTCCTTTTACACCACAGGCCTCAAAGCCCTCCAAATGTCCACTTGCAGATTCTAGAAAAAGAGGATTTCAGAGCTGCTCTGTCAAAAGGAAAGTTCAATTCTTCAAGTGGAACACAAACATCACAAAGCAGTTTCTGAGAATGCTTCTGTTTAGTTTTTCTGTGAAGATGAACCCGTTTCCAACGAAATCTTCACAGAGGTCCACATATCCACTTGTAGAATCCAAAGAAAGAGAGTTTCAAAACTGCTCCATCAGCAGGATTGTTCACCTCTGTGAGTTGAATGCAGTCATCACAGGAAACATTCTGAGAATGCTTCTGTCTAGGTTTGATGTGAAGATATACCCGTTTTGAAAGAAGGCCACAAAGTGGTCCAAATATCCACTTGCAGATTCTACAAAAAGAGTGTTTGAAAGCTGAACTATGAAAGCAAGGTTCAACTCTGTGAGTTGAATGCAAACATCACAAAGAAGTTTCTCACAATGCTTCCGTGTAGTTCTGGGAAGTTTATCCCGTTTCCAACGAAATCCTCAGAGAGGTCGAAATATCCACTTGCAGATTCTACAGAAAGTGTGTTTGGAAACTGCGCCATCTAAAGGAATGTTCAGCTCTGTTAGTTCAATGCAATGATCACTAAGAATTGTCTGTGAATGCTTCCGTTTGGTTTTTAGATGAGGTTATTTCCTTTACTACAGTAGGCCTCAAAGCAGTCCAAATCTCCAATCGCAGATTCTACAAAAAGATTGTTTACAACCTGCTCTATCTATAGGAATGTTCAACTCTGTGAGTCGAATGCAATCATCACAAAGTAGTTTCTGAGAATGCTTCCATCTATTTTTTATGTGAAGATTTTCCTTTTCCACCACAGGCCTCAAAGCCCTCCAAATGTCCACTTGCAGATTCTAGAAAAAGAGGGTTTCAGAGCTGCTCTGTCAAGAGGAAAGTTCAATTCCTGAAGTGGAACACAAACATCACAAAGCAGTTTCTGAGAATGCTCCTGTTTAGTTTTTCTGTGAAGATGAACCCGTTTCCAACGAAATCTTCACAGAGGTCCACATATCCACTTGCAGAATCCAAAGAAAGAGAGTTTCAAAACTGCTCCATCAGCAGGATTGTTCACCTCTGTGAGTTGAATGCAGTCATCACAGGAAACATTCTGAGAATGCTTCTGTCTAGGTTTGATGTGAAGTTATACCCGTTTCGAAGGAAGGCCACAAAGTGGTCCAAATATCCACTTGCAGATTCTACAAAAAGAGTGTTTGAAAGCTGAACTATGAAAGCAAGGTTCAACTCTGTGAGTTGAATGCAAAAATCACAAAGAAGTTTCTCAGAATACTTCCGTGTAGTTCTGGGAAGTTTATCCCGTTTCCAACGAAATCCTCAGAGAGGTCCAAATATCCACTTGCAGATTCTACAGAAAGTGTGTTTGGAAAATGCTCCATCTAAAGGAATGTTCAGCTCTGTTAGTTCAATCCAATGATCACTAAGAATTGTCTGTGAATGCTTCCGTTTGGTTTTTAGATGAAGTTATTTCCTTTACTACAGTAGGCCTCAAAGCAGTCCAAATCTCCAATCGCAGATTCTACAAAAAGATTGTTTACAACCTGCTCTATCTATAGGAATGTTCAACTCTGTGAGTCGAATGCAATCATCACAAAGTAGTTTCTGAGAATGCTTCCATCTAGTTTTTATGTTAAGATTTTCCTTTTCCACCACAGGCCTCAAAGCCCTCCAAATGTCCACTTGCAGATTCTAGAAAAAGAGGGTTTCAGAGCTGCTCTGTCGAGAGGAAAGTTCAATTCTTGAAGTGGAACACAAACATCACAAAGCAGTTTCTGAGAATGCTCCTGTTTAGTTTTTCTGTGAAGATGAACCCGTTTCCAACGAAATCTTCACAGAGGTCCACATATCCACTTGCAGAATCCAAAGAAAGAGAGTTTCAAAACTGCTCCATCAACAGGATTGTTCACCTCTGTGAGTTGAATGCAGTCATCACAGGAAACATTCTGAGAATGCTTCTGTCTAGGTTTGATGTGAAGATATACCCGTTTCGAAGGAAGGCCATAAAGTGGTCGAAATATCCACTTGCAGATTCTACAAAAAGAGTGTTTGAAAGCTGAACTATGAAAGCAAGGTTCAACTCTGTGAGTTGAATGCAAACATCACAAAGAAGTTTCTCACAATGCTTCCGTGTAGTTCTGGGAAGTTTATCCCGTTTCCAACGAAATCCTCAGAGAAGTCCAAATATCCACTTGCAGATTCTACAGAAAGTGTGTTTGGAAACTGCTCCATCTAAAGGAATGTTCAGCTCTGTTAGTTCAATCCAATGATCACTAAGAATTGTCTGTGAATGCTTCCGTTTGGTTTTTAGATGAAGTTATTTCCTTTACTACAGTAGGCCTCAAAGCAGTCCAAATCTCCAATCGCAGATTCTACAAAAAGATTGTTTACAACCTGCTCTATCTATAGGACTGTTCAACTCTGTGAGTCGAATGCAATCATCACAAAGTAGTTTCTGAGAATGCTTCCATCTAGTTTTTATGTGAAGATTTTCCTTTTCCACCACAGGCCTCAAAGCCCTCCAAATGTCCACTTGCAGATTCTAGAATAAGAGGGTTTCAGAGCTGCTCTGTCAAGAGGAAAGTTCAATTCCTGAAGTGGAACACAAACATCACAAAGCAGTTTCTGAGAATGCTTCTGTTTAGTTTTTCTGTGAAGATGAACCCGTTTCCAACGAAATCTTCACAGAGGTCCACATATCCACTTGCAGAATCCAAAGAAAGAGAGTTTCAAAACTGCTCCATCAACAGGATTGTTCACCTCTGTGAGTTGAATGCAGTCATCACAGGAAACATTCTGAGAATGCTTCTGTCTAGGTTTGATGTGAAGATATACCCGTTTCGAAGGAAGGCCACAAAGTGGTTCAAATATCCACTTGCAGATTCTACAAAAAGAGAGTTTGAAAGCTGAACTATGAAAGCAAGGTTCAACTCTGTGAGTTGAATGCAAACTTCACAAAGAAGTTTCTCAGAATGCTTCCGTGTAGTTCTGGGAAGTTTATCCCGTTTCCAACGAAATCCTCAGAGAGGTCCAAATATCCACTTGCAGATTCTACAGAAAGTGTGTTTGGAAACTGCGCCATCTAAGGGAATGTTCAGCTCTGTTAGTTCAATCCAATGATCACTAAGAATGGTCTGTGAATGCTTCCGTTTGGTTTTTAGATGAAGTTATTTACTTTACTACAGTAGGCCTCAAAGCAGTCCAAATCTCCAATCGCAGATTCTACAAAAAGATTGTTTACAACCTGCTGTATCTATAGGAATGTTCAACTCTGTGAGTCGAATGCAATCATCACAAAGTAGTTTCTGAGAATGCTTCCATCTAATTTTTATGTGAAGATTTTCCTTTTCCACCACAGGCCTCAAAGCCCTCCAAATGTCCACTTGCAGATTCTAGAAAAAGAGGGTTTCAGAGCTGCTCTGTCAAGAGGAAAGTTCAATTCCTGAAGTGGAACACAAACATCACAAAGCAGTTTCTGAGAATGCTCCTGTTTAGTTTTTCTGTGAAGATGAACCCGTTTCCAACGAAATCTTCACAGAGGTCCACATATCCACTTGCAGAATCCAAAGAAAGAGAGTTTCAAAACTGCTCCATCAGCAGGATTGTTCACCTCTGTGAGTTGAATGCAGTCATCACAGGAAACATTCTGAGAATGCTTCTGTCTAGGTTTGATGTGAAGATATACCCGTTTCGAAGGAAGGCCACAAAGTGGTCCAAATATCCACTTGCAGATTCTACAAAAAGAGTGTTTGAAAGCTGAACTATGAAAGCAAGGTTCAACTCTGTGAGTTGAATGCAAACATCACAAAGAAGTTTCTCACAATGCTTCCGCGTAGTTCTGGGAAGTTTATCCCGTTTCCAACGAAATCCTCAGAGAGGTCCAAATATCCACTTGCAGATTCTACAGAAAGTGTGTTTGGAAACTGCGCCATCTAAAGGAATGTTCAGCTCTGTTAGTTCAATGCAATGATCACTAAGAATTGTCTGTGAATGCTTCCGTTTGGTTTTTAGATGAAGTTATTTCCTTTACTACAGTAGGCCTCAAAGCAGTCCAAATCTCCAATCGCAGATTCTACAAAAAGATTGTTTACAACCTGCTCTATCTATAGGAATGTTCAACTCTGTGAGTCGAATGCAATCATCACAAAGTAGTTTCTGAGAATGCTTCCATCTAGTTTTTATGTGAAGGTTTTCCTTTTCCACCACAGGCCTCAAAGCCCTCCAAATGTCCACTTGCAGATTCTAGAAAAAGAGGGTTTCAGAGCTGCTCTGTCAAGAGGAAAGTTCAATTCCCTGAAGTGGAACAAAAACATCACAAAGCAGTTTCTGAGAATGCTTCTGTTTAGTTTTTCTGTGAAGATGAACCCGTTTCCAACGAAATCTTCACAGAGGTCCACATATCCACTTGCAGAATCCAAAGAAAGAGAGTTTCAAAACTGCTCCATCAACAGGATTGTTCACCTCTGTGAGTTGAATGCAGTCATCACAGGAAACATTCTGAGAATGCTTCTGTCTAGGTTTGATGTGAAGATATACCCGTTTCGAAGGAAGGCCACAAAGTGGTCCAAATATCCACTTGCAGATTCTACAAAAAAGTGTTTGAAAGCTGAACTATGAAAGCAAGGTTCAACTCTGTGAGTTGAATGCAAACATCACAAAGAAGTTTCTCAGAATGCTTCCGTTTAGTTCTGGGAAGTTTATCCCGTTTCCAACGAAATCCTCAGAGAGGTCCAAATATCCACTTGCAGATTCTACAGAAAGTGTGTTTGGAAACTGCGCCATCTAAAGGAATGTTCAGCTCTGTTTGTTCAATCCAATGATCACTAAGAATTGTCTGTGAATGCTTCCGTTTGGTTTTTAGATGAAGTTATTTCCTTTACTACAGTAGGCCTCAAAGCAGTCCAAATCTCCAATCGCAGATTCTACAAAAAGATTGTTTACAACCTGCTCTATCTATAGGAATGTTCAACTCTGTGAGTCGAATGCAATCATCACAAAGTAGTTTCTGAGAATGCTTCCATCTAGTTTTTATGTGAAGATTTTCGTTTTCCACCACAGGCCTCAAAGCCCTCCAAATGTCCACTTGCAGATTCTAGAAAAAGAGGGTTTCAGAGCTGCTCTGTCAAGAGGAAAGTTCAATTCTTGAAGTGGAACACAAACATCACAAAGCAGTTTCTGAGAATGCTTCTGTTTAGTTTTTCTGTGAAGATGAACCCGTTTCCAACGAAATCTTCACAGAGGTCCACATATCCACTTGCAGAATCCAAAGAAAGAGAGTTTCAAAACTGCTCCATCAGCAGGATTGTTCACCTCTGTGAGTTGAATGCAGTCATCACAGGAAACATTCTGAGAATGCTTCTGTCTAGGTTTGATGTGAAGATATACCCGTTTCGAAGGAAGGCCACAAAGTGGTCCAAATATCCACTTGCAGATTCTACAAAAAGAGTGTTTGAAAGCTGAACTATGAAAGCAAGGTTCAACTCTGTGAGTTGAATGCAAACATCACAAAGAAGTTTCTCAGAATGCTTCCGTGTAGTTCTGGGAAGTTTATCCCGTTTCCAACGAAATCCTCAGAGAAGTCCAAATATCCACTTGCAGATTCTACAGAAAGTGTGTTTGGAAACTGCTCCATCTAAAGGAATGTTCAGCTCTGTTAGTTCAATCCAATGATCACTAAGAATTGTCTGTGAATGCTTCCGTTTGGTTTTTAGATGAAGTTATTTCCTTTACTACAGTAGGCCTCAAAGCAGTCCAAATCTCCAATCGCAGATTCTACAAAAAGATTGTTTACAACCTGCTCTATGTATAGGAATGTTCAACTCTGTGAGTCGAATGCAATCATCACAAAGTAGTTTCTGAGAATGCTTCCATCTAGTTTTTATGTGAAGATTTTCCTTTTCCACCACAGGCCTCAAAGCCCTCCAAATGTCCACTTGCAGATTCTAGAATAAGAGGGTTTCAGAGCTGCTCTGTCAAGAGGAAAGTTCAATTCCTGAAGTGGAACACAAACATCACAAAGCAGTTTCTGAGAATGCTCTTCTGTTTTCCCAGCACTTTGGGAGGCCAAGGTGGGCAGATTACTTGAGGTCAAAAGTTTGAGACCACCCTGGCCAACATGGTCCCATCTCTACTAAAAATACAAAAAGTTAGCTGGGCGTGGTGGCACGTGCCTGTAATCTACTCAGGAGGGTGAGGCAGGAGAATCACCTGAACCCAGGAGGCAGAGGTTGCAGTGAGCTGGGATAGCACCACTGTACTCCAGCCTAGGTAACAGAGAGACATTCCGTCTCAAAACAAAAGAAAGAAAA